>NC_000014.9:31126864-31429894 GCF_000001405.40 Homo sapiens
GGTCTATGTTGCCCAGACTGGTCTTGAGTTCCTGAGCCTCAGGTGATCCTCCCACCTTGGCGTCCCAAAGTGCTGGGATTATAGGCGCAAGCCACCACTTCTGACCAGATTTTTTTTTTTTTTTTGAGACGGAGTCTTGCTTTGTCGCCCAGGCTGAAGTGCAGTGGTGCGACCTCAGCTCACTGCAACCCCCACCTCCCGGGTTCAAGCGATTCTCCTGCCTCAGCCTTCCCAGTAGCTGGGATTACAGGCAACCGCCACCACGCCCAGCTAATTTTTTTTATATTTTTAGTAGGGACAGGGTTTCACCATGTTGGCCAGGCTGGTTTCGAACTCCTGACCTCAAGTGGTCCGCCCGCCTTGGCCTCCCAAAGTGCTAGGATTATAGGTGTGAACCACCGCACCTGGCCCCAGATAATTTTTTAATAGTCTCTCGTATTACTGAGTTTTTTCATATTATATATAAAGATTCTGTATTTGTTTGTTGTTTTCTGTTTTTTTTTTGAGAAGGAGTTTCGCTCTTGTTGCCCAGGCTGGAGTGCAATGGCGCGATCTCTGCTCACTGTAACCTCCGCCTCCTGGGCTCAAGCAATTCTTCTGCCTCAGCCTCCTGAGTAGCTGGGATTACAGGCGTGTGCCACCACTCCCGGATAATTTTCTTTTGTATTTTTAGTAGAAATGGGGTTTTACCATGTTGGTCAGGCTGGTCTCGAACTCCTGACCTCAACTGATCCACCTGCCTCGGCCTCCCAAAGTGCTGGGATTACAGGTGTGAGCTACTGTGCCTGGCCCGAAGATTTCATATTTATAAGAAGAGAGAATAATTCTCTTTAAACAAAAGTTTAAAATATCAGGAGAAAACATAATAAAAGCATCATTATGAAAGTATCTAAATACTTTCATTTTAAATTACAACTTACCATATAAGGAATATTCTGCTTCCTGACCTGTGTCACTCTCACTGGAAGTTGATGTGAGGCTGGTGGTTAAAGTGTTACTTAAAGATTGACCAACTGATAAAACTGTTGTTGCTGTAGCTACATTGCTGCTGCTAGTAACACTGGATGTTGACATAGTCACTGTTGATGTAGTACCAGGTGTGGTCAAATTAGGGAAACTCTGAGCACCCATAAGAGGAGAAGCTAAAGACAAAAATGAAGCAAATCAGTACAAATAGGTGAGATTGTAGAAACCTCAGAAAAACCAAGTTTTTTATTTTTTAAAGAGTGAGGTCATAAAACACACTAATAATAAAATGGTTCCTGAAAAGCAACAACTTTGGGAACCCAACTGAAATCCAACTAAAAATTCTTTTTATAGCACTATTATATAATTACTTTGACCTGTTAGCAGCTTAAATTGGAATTTAACTTTCAGAAGCTAAGATCAATGTAGAGTCTAAACAAAAGCTATACTTATATGATGCTTTGGTTTCACTGCACTATGATAATATTTAATAGTCATCTATTTCCTCATGCAACTTTGCTTAATGATGTATCATAAAGGAGTGAAAATCAGAAGTACTGTTTTATGCTTCTAAAATAAGAGGTTCTTTATCACACCTAGTCTGAATTCTGCAAATATTATGATTCTAGAGAACTTCATATTCCTGAACTGCTAAATTTGATGTAGCTTTATCTAACATGGTTAATGATCTAGTTAAAAACTGCAGCCAGAACAAGAGACCCTATTTTGCATCCCTCCAAGTGGAAAAAGCATCGGATTCCAGAAGGAAAAGCTCACTTACTTGCTGTGCTCATCACATTCCTCCCCAAAGTATTAGTGTTGTTATCACTGCTGCTTCGGCTTAGATTCATGTTGTTCGTGGCATTAGTCCGTGCTATGTTTGCCACTCTCCTTACAAAACTCTCCAAGCTAGATGTTTCTCTTGAGGACAGGTTAGGTACACTTGCACTAGAGCTCATAGGGGCCCCAGCAGCCAACAAAGAACTCACTGACAGTCTGTTACTTGCTGAAGAGCTAAGAGGTCGTTGTGAAGCTGCTTCTTTATTAGTTAATTCAGATACTGAACTAACATCAGGAGAACTAACACTGACAATTCCCATGGATATTGCACTAGACTCCCCAGGAGTACGAACAGAACTATCAGGGCCTAACTTCCTTTCAGCATTTTCACTTCCCGTTTCCGCTGTTAAGGTGCTGGTGCTTGCACTGGAAGATGACCCTACTTCTGTTTGAGGGACGTTTTCAGCAGATGAAAGAACAACAATTGGTTCATGGACATCAGCTCCTGAAACTATACTGTGTTCCATTACAATTTCTGATCTCCGTTCCGTTTTGGTCGAACCCAAGCTGATGTCGCTGCTACTGGCCACGCTACACACAGAACTGCTGCTTCCTTTTCTACTTGAGGAGCCTGCAGCAGCAGATGTCTTGTCTGGACAGTTGTTTTTCACCAAGCTGCTCCATGATTGCGTTGTGCCTGAAACAGTGGATGAAACAGGTTTGGGTGATGCCACTGTATCAGGGTCGTACCCTGGTGCAAGCTTGAGGTCAAATTTTCCTTCTGCGCCCATACGGTAAGAGTTTGAGCCACCAGCATCCCAGGTGACATCAATCCAGCCTGGAAAGGGACAGGAGTTTGTGAGACCCAGCAGAAAGCAGATAGGAGCGTGTCAGACAGTAGCTCCACAATATGGGATCAGCTTTTCATCAGTGCTGTCCTTTTCTGAATTTCTATAGTCAATCAAGGTCTGCCCACTAAAATATATGTAAATTTTTGGACTCAATTATTTGACGATATGACTAGCTATCTGAAAGTCTATATTATTTAACTCTCATGATACAAATATTTTAAGGACAAGAAATATGTACTCTATACAAGGTTTCCAGGAAATGTTTAAAATTCTTCCTTTTATTTCCCTTATTTCTGAACTATTCAGTCTATGACATTTAAAAGCAATGTAAGGGTCATGTTTAAATCTACTGGGTTATATTTCATTTTTAAAATTATTTGATTTTTAGAGATGAGGTCTTGCGTTGCCCATGCTAATCTTGAACTCCTGGGCTTAAACGATCCTCCCACCTCAGCCTCTGGAGTAGCTGGGATTATAGATGTGAGCCACTGCACCTGGCTTGGTTACTTCTTAAATGGAAGAACTGTTTAAGAAATTTTAAAAGATTGATATACATGGTAAAATACTGCCACTTCAGCAAGTAAACAGAATCTAGGTAAAAGTTTTAAAACTGCTAAATATAATTATGTGTAGTCAAATTTTTTTTCTACAAAAACATGCCAGCTTACCATTAATTTCTTACAATTTGGGCTAACCTCTCAAAATATTCATATATTGCCATAGAAATTTTAGTCACTAGTTCAAATAAAACACTAAAGTTAGCATTTCGGTTGTGTTCTCAAAGTTCAGTGGTTCCTTGGTTCTCTTATATTAAATAATTAAGTTCAATAAATTTGAATAAACACAGAAAATTCTAAAAAAAAATTTAAAGAGCATACTGAACTCTTTTATTAGAACTATCTGCTAAAGCTAATAACATGTACAGAATTAACGAGCATAATGATATTCAATCTATATATTTACTTGTAGTAGAAAAATGATATTCTTTTTTTAAAAAGGTAATTAACTTCCAAAAGCAAAAAAAAAATTGTCTATTAAAAGCAAATTAATAGAAATTTTACAATCTTATTTTAGTGTTATAAGCTAACTATTTCAGGGAAAAACATAAGACATAAAAAACATTTTTTTAGAAGTATAACAAGCCTTTATAAAGTTCTTACCCATACATAAAAGGGGCCCAAGATCACATACACACCCATCCACACACCCAGATGCTCACCCACACTTACACCAAGTTCATATGTTTATGATAGCACTCAGAGGGAAATAATATTGAATTACCTGTGGGGATTATCTGCATATGTGTTCTTTGAAAGGAAAAGTGACTGCCCCAAATCTACATAAGTAGCTTAGATGAGATTTTTCAATTGCCTCTATTTTTTTCTGTATGCTGAAATAATCTCTGAAGAACCAACATTTAACTATCTCTTCTGCTACACAGAAATGTGTGAGAAAAGGAAAAGTTTCAAAAACATAGCCCAATCTCAAATAAAAGTAACTTTTGTATTATATTAATTGGCCCAAAAAACATACTCTCTCAACTCCTTCTACACCCAAAAGATAAACCAAAAAAAAAAAAAAATAGAGTCAGTAATGACTATCCATCATTAGAAATGGTTGGTTTAAGTATTTGAAAGCTAAGAACCCTCTCTGACATAGAGACTCAAAGGCATAACTTGATGGGAATGGCCATGTTGATTAGGCAAAACTAAATTTCTACATTTGTCAGATTAGCAAAAATAGGCCTTTCTTGAACGCTAAACTCTGAGATTTCTAGGCTAGGTGATTTTTTTTTTTCCCATCTGTGGCAGCTAAAACGAACAAACAAACAAAAAACACTCAAAATATTCAGATGTACATGTTAGCACTCTCTCATAGGGAGGTGCCATACCTCACGGTTCAAATATATTTTATAGATCAGTAACATTATTATACTGACATGTAATTGCAACTTACTATGCAGCAAAAATGAATCGAGAAGAAAAATAACCCACAGTGTCTATTTACCTTTGTATAGGCAATTGCTTAAGTTACTCTGCTTTTAACATTTGTACTTCAATAAAATGCTTATGTATGTATAGGAATGTCACAGTGCAAGATGCTGCTAGTACAGGCACAAAGTATTAAAATTATTTTTTGAAGACTGGTGGTTGTATTAAAACTGTTGTGCCATTGTATCTTGGGAAAAAAAAAAAGATTCTAATTTCCCTATGCAATTGCTTCAGTTGACTCCATCCTGAGAAAAAAGAACTGCATTCACACATCTCTAACTAGCCTCTTCTTATCAAGTCACATACATCAAGGCCAAAACAATTACAGGAAATAGAATAACAACTTTTTAATAAGTATCATCAAGATGCCTAAAAAGAAAACTTGAAATTTTCTGAGTTGAATGGCACTACTATTCAACTCAGTATAACAATAATAGTTGATATCTCAACTATTACTGGTATTTATGAATTTTAGGTCGCTGTAAACCTGTTTTGATTACAATGATTTGCAATTAGGGCATGATACTACATAAATACATTTGGCAGTAAAATAATTCAAGGAATAGAATCTTAAAAGCAATATAGTCAAAGGGTTTATTTGAATAAATAAATGTCTTTACCACATAAAACATGAAATTAAATGTCAGTCATTCTCGTAAGTACCGTCACATTTATTCTAGCTCTTTAAATATGTGGTGTAAGTTGCCGCGTGCGGTGGCTCACGCCTGTAATCCCAGCTCTTTGGGAGGCCGAGGTGGGTGGATCACCTGAGGTCGGGAGTTCAAGACCAGCCTGACCAACATGGAGAAACCCCGTCTCTACTAAAAATACAAAATTAGCCAGGCATGGTGGCCCATGCCTATAATCCTAGCTAGTCAGGAGGCTGAGACAGTAGAATCGCTTGAACCTGGGAAGCAGAGGTTGCAGTGAGCTGATATTGCGCCATTGCACTCCAGCCTGGGCAACAAGAGCGAGACTCTGTCTCAAAAAAAAAAAAAAAAATACATATATATACACACACATATATGTGGATATATATATGTGGTGTAAGTTGAGAATATAAACATTTTTACTTTTTTTAATGCCAAAAACTGATACAAAATTGATGAAAACAAACCCACTGCCATTTAGGCAAATTATCTGCTAATAAGTCAGCCTTATAGTTTGAAGAAAATAATTAGCCACTATAATTGCTTTAAAGTTAATAGCAATTTATTAAGTGGATGACTTTGCTAAACTGTGCAGCATCAAAGAAACTTGATTCACATAGCAATATTTAGAAAACATGATAAACTCCTCCCCAAAAAGCAGGTAGGCTAAGAAACACTTTGAAATAATAATAATCTACTAACAGATAAAGAGACAATGTTTCTTGTTCCATGCATTATTAAAAAACAGTAAAAATGTTAATCCTTTTTCTTCTATATGATTTATGATACCATAAAAATTATGGTGTGAGACTAACAAGATAAAGAAAAACATAAGAAATTAAAATAAAACTCACAGTAAGCTTGAAAATAAACTAGGGGAAAAAACCGGAAGTGTGTCTTGAAGATACTCAACTTACACTAGGCTTGATCACTTCCAAAATACTACCAGTAAGTTTCTAGTCAAAACCCAAGAACTTAAAATTTTCCCTTATTTTCTTTACCTTTTTTCCATTTGTAATGTGGTATCAACAGTTCTTCTAAACAGTGCTCATACATTTATGCAATTTATAAATTATCTTAAAAGAAAAAATTTAACTACCCATTTTCTACACAAAAGTGCTGAGCACCTACTCACCATTGTGTAGTTCTCCTGTGACAGTGCCTTCTCCCTGTGGGCTGCCATCCTGATCTCGCCATTTCCAATCCAGGCCTCTGATAACACGAGCTCCTGGAACCATGTATTTCAGAACCTGGGAACGTACTAGACGTCTCTGCCGTCTAAGATTAGCTTCTGCTTCTTTAGCTGCTTTCCCTGTCAGGTAGAAATTGGAGAAATAAAAACCAAATCACTTTTTACAAAAGTAATTGTTTTAGTAAGTTAGAAAAGCCTCGTATCATCTCTTTACCTAGCTGATCTTCACATACTCCATTTACAGTGCCATAAAGTTCGAATCCAGATAATGAGAGGTAGTGTGTTTGTCCACTGGCATTTTTCCCCATCTGTTTAATTCTCACATGTCTCCACCCTTGTTTCTCATCCTTTGGTGGATCAAGAGGCCAAGTTGCAGTTGACCTGTTAATATGTTAGAGAAAAAATTATGTAATATTTTAAAAGATGAAAAAGAAATTCAAGATGGGAAAGATTTTTTATATAACAGAGACCTGTAGAAAAAATAAACTAACTTTCATATTAACTCAACAGTTCATTACAAGAATCAAGAAATCAAAGGAAAAAAAGTAGTCAAGAGAACAAGTTAAAAACGAAACATTTAAATGTACGCTATTGATTTGACTCATAACATTAATGATTTATGATTAATATAATTCAAAGATAAAAGACAAAATGCTGGGTGCAGTGGTGTTTGGGTGGCTGAGGTGAGGGGAATCACTTGAGCCCAGAAGTTAGAAAGCAGCCAACATAACAAGACCCCATTCTCCTTAAAAAAAAAAAAAGGATGGTTTACAAAGAGTAGGAGAAATTCTCTTATGATGGAAAAACGGACTTAAAAACATTTTTGCAAACTTTTAAATAACGTATTAATATTTTGTCTTTAAAGCATGAAAGGGGTGAAAACATCACCTATTAATCCTAATGTTAAGAAGCTCCTCTCATACCATATCAAATGCCAAAAGCAATTTGGGTACATAATCTACCCCCTGATATGTGCCAAAATGCATAAATAAAATTTAGTAGAACTAATTTTTTAGAAGTTACTGACTTGTCTTTTAAAAACTTATTCAATACATAAAATTTAAGGATAAAAATAAAAACATTTTAAGTCAGCCTTAATTCTATAACGAGCAATAGCCACTGCTAATATGTTGAACATTCCTAAGTATTATGTGATTATATGGAGAGTTTATGGAAAGTTTATTTCACTTGTTTCCATTAGTGGGCTGTGTGTGTATGCATAAATGTGTGTGTGTGTGTGTGTGTGTGTGTGTGTGTGTGTGTGTGTGTGTGTGCGCGCGTATGTATATACAGCTATATACCAATTTTTAAAATAAATATTCACAGCATCTCAGCCTTTTGGCTAAGATACAGTGTAAAATAGCTCGGCTTTCTATTATTTAAACTAAACCTTTTGACAAAGTTTTAGTAAAGTCAGTGTTTCAAAGTTTTAATGCCTAAAGTATCAAGTGATTTGTTTTTAGAAAGAAAATTTTGCTTCAATATTTCACAAGGAAGAGAGCTCTAGAGTATAAAATTATAAAAATAAACAAAGCTCTTTAGTGAGTTTTCCAATTTGCAAAGACTCCTCAACTAACCCTGGTTCATTGAGACTGCAGTCATCAACATGGGTATACAAAGAAGTCCAGTTCTGTCCATCTTTGGATACCTGGAAAACCCAATTTCTCAGTGCAGACCTTCCATAACCACGAGCATGACGAAGTGTATATGCTGATGGTATCACCCAGAGACCCAGATCTATGGCAAACCAGGCATTCTTATCATCATTGCTATGACAATTTAAAGCTGAATTATCACGACTTAGTATGTCTTCTAAGCGGCCATAAGGTAGATTTCTTCCTTCTGATGACGTTACTACTACAAGTCCATAGGCAGCTGGATTTACCCATTCATAAGCAGTTCTATACAAAAATAAAGAAAAATTAGCAAATAACAACGTTAAGATAATTGCATTTGCACAAGGTTTTAAATACAGAATTATATTAAGTACAATTCTAGAATTAGCAATTTAGACATTTTTTCCTCATAAAAAGTAATTTGGATAATCTTAACTTCTACCTACAAGTCAAAATTCCTTAAACCACAGAATATTCAGAGTGCTAACAATTTTATTCTACTTCCTAGAATTCTTTTACCAAGTGAATATGGTCACTCCAGCTTAAAGTAAAATGACTGACTTACTTTGCATTTGTTCCAATCCAGTAAATGATTCCATTTTCATCAAAATCATGCTGGTGCCGAAATATAAAATTTTGTCCTTCTCTTAATTTTCGAACAAAAACAAATGAAGATCGGTCAAAATCATACCACTGTTTTGCTACCTAAACCAAAGAAAATATGAAAGACAGTCACCTTAATAATGCTGTTTTCAAGCACGTTACCTACTTTTTTCCTATCTCTTTAATGTGAATTGTTTTCTTTTATTATAACAAATGCTCATTTAGGCCGGGTGCGGTGGTTCACGCCTGTAATCCCAGCACTTTGGGAGGCGGAGGTGGGTGGATCATGAGGTCAAGAGATGGAGACCACCCTGGCCAACATGGTGAAACCCCGTTTCTACTAAAAATACAAAAATTAGCCAGGCGTGGTGGCAGGTGCCTATAGTCCCAGCTACTTGGGAGGCTGAGGCAGGAGAATCACTTGAACCTGGGAGGCGGAGGTTGCAGTGAGCCGAGATTGTGCCACTGCACTCCAGCCTGGCAACAGAGCAAGACTCTGTCTCAAAACAAAACAACAACAACAACAAAAACAAAAAACAAATGCTCATTTAAAAATATAAAGAAAAATAAAAAGTCCCACAACCAAAGCACCTCACTATTAATAATCACAGAGTATTTCTTTAGTTTATTATTTCAATGGATAGGATAAAACAAATTCTTGATCATACTGTACAAAAACATTTTTCTGTTATCATTAGTCTTTATACATTTTTATGGCTATATGATACTCAAATTAATAGAAATAATTATCACACACATTTGTCAATTAAATTTAAATTTTTAATATGAATTATCTATTTAACATTAATTTATTGATTGGAATTAAGGTTTTTGTTTACTATTTCAATATTACAAAATTATAATAAACATCTTCATGTAGAAATCAGTTCTAAAATGGAATTACTGGGCCAAACTGTATTACCATAACTCTGGATATATACTTCCCAAATTATTGTCCTAAAAGGCTAAACCACAGCTCAGAATGCTTATTTCACCGTGCCCTTGCCAGAAACTCACCATTTTCAAAAGGTACTGTTCCAGAGATTCAACTGTAGCCAAAGGTTCCATCTTCAACATTCTGCCAGTCCTGTCAATCAATGCAGTTTCACCAGGTGCACGTTCCAACCGAAATCGTAATCTCCTTGTAAGTATCTACACAAAAACGATCAAAATACTCTGGAAAACGTCTTGGTTTCTGTCTCAGAATTGTAAAAAATGATATACCCTAAAACAACTGAGATTTGGATTTATTAACTATAAACATAATAGAACTATGAACAAATGTCTGTTTTCTATCAAAGATTCTTTTTTTTTTTCTTTTTTTCTGAGACGGAGTCTCACTCTGTTGCCCAGGCTGGAGTGCAGTGGCGCGATCTCGGTTCACTGCAAGCTTCACCTCCCGGGTTCATGCCATTCTCCTGCCTCAGCCTCCTGAGTAGCTGGGACTACAGGCGCCCACCACCACGCCCGGCTAATTTTTTGTATTTTTTAGTAGAGACGGGGTTTCACCTTGTTAGCCAGGATGGTCTTGATCTCCTGACCTCGTGATCCACCCTTCTTGGCCTCTCAAAGTGCTGGGATTACAGGCGTGAGCCACCACACCCGGCCTTTTTTTTTTTTTTTTTTTTTTTTTGAGATGGGAGTCTTGTTCCTGTTGCCCAGGCTAGAGTGCAGTGGAGTGATCTCGGTTTACTGCAACCTCTGCCTCCCGGCTTCAAGCAATTCTCCTACCTCAGCCTCCTGAGTAGTTGGGATTACAGGTGCGTGCCACCACGCCCGGCTACTTTTTGTATTTTTAGTAGAGATGGGTTTCACTATGTTGGCCAGGCTGGTCTCAAACTCCTGACCTCAGGTGACCCGCCTACCTTGGTCTCCCAAACTGCTGGGATTACAGGCGTGAGACACCACGCCCAGCCTATTAAACATTCTTTAGGCCAGGCACAGTGACTCAGACCTGTAATCCTAGCACTTCAGGAGTCTGAGGCAAGAGGATCAATTGCTTGTGCCTAGGAGTTCAAGACCGGCCTGGGCAACACAGTGAGACCTCATCTCTACATATTAAAACAAACAAACCAACAAAAAATTAGCCAGGCATGCATGCCTGTAGTCCCAGGTATTGGAGAGGCTAAGGCGGGAGGATCAGCTGAGCCTGGGACACGGAGAGTGCAGCGAGCTGAGATCACGACACTGCACTCCAGCCTGTGCAACAGAGCTAGACCCAGTCTTGAAAAGAAAAAAAGAAAAAAAAGAAAACAATCCAACAGGAAAGATTCTTTTATAAAAGGGACACTAAGTAAGTTACAGTGGCTATCAAGTAAAAGACAAACTTAACTTCCTAGAATTTCTAAACAACTTCTAAATATACACAGTTTAAATAAACTTACAAAACTTCTTAACTTCTAAATATACACAGTTTAAATAAACTTATAAAACTTCTTAATCAAAGTGACTTATAACTCACAATTTTCCAGGTAAGTTTTTGAAAAGTAGCTAATTAGCTTACTCCGCTAGAATATATTCTACAGGATAAGCATCCCTAATCTACAAATCTGGAATCTTGAAATGCTCCAAAATCTGAAACTTTCTGAGCACTGACATGATGCTCAAATGCTCACTGGAGCATTTCAGATTTTGGACTAGGAATGCTGAATCGGTAACAAATATTATAAAATCCAAAACACTTCTGGTTCCAAGCATTTTGGATAAGGAATACTCAACCTGTATAATCAAAGGCTAATAAACTTTAAAAGATGCAAAATAGTTTTTAATCCAATACATTTTAGTAAGCAACAAGCACAGGACTAGCAATTTTAGGTAGATTCATTTCTGTATAAATCTTAACTAATTCCTATAAAAACAATTAAAGATTTATATGTGCATTTCGGTAGTTTTAGACAGCAAAATTACCAGAGAGCACATTCCTGGCCTTCCTCTCTTTGGATCTTGCACAATCTCCTGAAGTGAAAAATGCATAATAAAAGGCATCGGTGCACTGTCTTTGAGACTTATCTCCAACTCATCCACTTACCAGGAATAAAGCTTAAAAACAATGGACCAAACAGTCCCCATTACTCCTGTTATTCTGTCTGAAACAAAACACAAAGTAGCCCTCCACATCTTTTACATATAGAATATCAGGTGCAACTACTGCACTGTAAAACTCCCTAAATAAGTACTCTAGTTTGGGAGTCTAGTGGCACTGATAACAGTATTGGGTTCTCAGAGGTATGGCAAGTTTTGTTAGCTTTGCATTGCTTTGGCATATATAGATCCTCAATCACTCATTAAAGGCTATTATTCAAAAGAAACTATTCCATGCAGTAGAATGCAGAACAGTTTAGATAAAGGCAAAATTCAAAGCAGAAGGCCTTGCTAGGAAACACTAAAAAACCCACAAAAAAAGTGATAAAGTTCTGGGCTAGGACATTAGTAAAATGTATTGTTTGTTTGCATCTAGATCCCAGCTACTAAAGAAAAGAATAATTGAATGAATGAGAATGTAAATAGGAAGTTACATATTATATACAGATATATATATATATATATCTGTATGGGGAGGAGGAGGGAAGGAAAAGAGGCTATGAAACCATGTGATTGATAGGAATAGTGAAGACTTGGGCAATCTGACTCTAACCACTGACATAAAGACCCGAAAAAAATTGTGCTTAAAATATCTTGACTTTTTTTCTTATGTTTACAATATAGTGATAAGGAAGGGACTTGCCATGGTCTGAATGTTTGTGTCCCCGCAAAATTCATGTGTTAAAACTTAATCCCCAGTGCAGTGGTGTTGGATGGTGGAACTTCTGGGGGGGCTCTGCCCTCATGAATGGGATTAGTGTCCTTATAAAAGAGGCCTGAGAGATCTTGTTCATCCCTTCTACAATGTGAGAACACAGTTAGAAGGTTCCATCTAAGAGGAATAGGCCCTCACGAGACACCAAATCTGCTAGCACCTTGATCTTGGACTTCCCAGCCACCAGAATTGTGAGCAATGAATTTCTGTTTATTAAGTTCGCAGGAATTTTGTTACAGCAGCCCAAATGGACTAAGACAGAACTGACTCATAATTGTAGAATAAGAGGAACCCTTTTCTCAGCTTTTTCCACTGATACCTTTTGCCACTTATGATCTACGAAATATAATGCTTTTAACAAATATTAAATGAATGCATCATTTTCCAGTGATTTGATCAAACAAAACAGACTTCAAGTCATTAAGATCAATCAAATGGCATATAAGCTAAAATCTTTAAAGATTAAGTAGAATCATTTTTATTTTAATCCGATGTGAAAGAAAATAATTTTTTTTAAAGAAAAGTGTCACACTGTTCCTAGATGCATTCAGCAATACTAGCTACTACATTTTTTATGGTTACCTGGAGGTTATATGTGGATCCTGGTGTATCATACAAATGGAGAGGTAGACGTTCAATAGATTCTAGTACAGCTATTAACTTTCGAATTAACGCAACTGCTGGTCGACTGCGAAGAAATAATTATTATTAAGAGGTTTTGTATAACTACATGTAAATGTTCATGCAGAAAATATGGTAATCAACTTCAATATATACCCCTACTTTTTCATGACTACAGTTTAATTTTTGTATTAGATTATGTCTGAGTAGAAATACTCTCACAACTCAATTTCCTTTACTTAAGAATAAAACATTTCATTTTTCTAATAAAAACTTAATTATATTTAAAGCAGATGTATGATTTATTTTTAAAGTTTAAATAATTTTACTGGATAATATTTGATAAATAAAAAAGAATATAAAGCAACAAAGTTTTGAAAAAATATTTGATGGCTAGGGTATCACAACATATACTTTCTCATTATTAGTGTAAACTGCAATGACACTTCCGGAAAACAATGTGAAAATTTGAATCAAGAACTTTCAAAAATCGTCTTGCAGAGCTGGGCAAGGTGGTATATGCTGGAGTCCCAGCTACAAGGGAAGCTGAGAAAAGAGAATTGCTTGAGCCCAGGAGTTTAAGGCTGTAGTGCAAAATTCTGGCACCCGTAAATAGCCACTGGACTCCAGCCTCAGCAACACAGCAAGACTCCATCTCTTAAAAAAAAAAGAAATCATCTATAACCTATAACACAGTATTACCACTTACGGAATTTATGTAAAAAGATGCTTCCATTGAGACTAGTATATTTAAGTATTAGTAATAGTTTGCAAAGAGCTAAAACACAGTAATACTTCAAAACATTATACATCCATAAAGATATAATATGCATTCATTAAAAATGAAATTTGAAATTAACACAATTATCTGAATAAATTGTATAACTTGTTATTTGACAAGTGCAATCCCATTCAAATGTACACAGAATAATATAATGAACCTTTATCAACCCAGCTTTAGCAATTAGCTACTAATGGCCAATCTCCATCCAGGTTTTTTTCTTTTTTTTTTTTTGTTATAGAGTCTCACTCTGTCACCTAGGCTGGAGTACGGTGGCTCAATCTCAGCTCACTGCAACTTCTGCCTCCAGGGTTCAAGGGATTCTCCTGCCTCAGCCTCCCGAGTAGCTGGGATTAAAGACGCCCACCACCAGGCCCAACTAACTTTTGTATTTTTAGTAGAGATGGGTTTTTGCCATGTTGGCCAGGCTGGTCTCGAACTCCTGACCTGAAGTGATCCACCCACCTCAGCCTCCCAAAGTCCTGGGATTACAGGCGTGAGCCACCGTGCCTGGCCTACTTCTTCTTATATATTTTGAAAAAATACTAAAGAGCTTATCATTTCATCCAGAGATAGTCTTTGTACATAAATCTAACAAAAGAATTATTTTTTAAAAAAAAACAGTATTACACTTTTAAAAAGAACAATTATTACTTAATATTATCAAACATTTCATCAGTGTTCAAATTTTCAACTATCTTAAACAGGCATGTAATTTAAACTAAGTGATCAGGCTAGGAACGGTGGTTCATGCCTATAATCCCAACACGTTGGGCAGCGAAGACAGGAGAAATGCTTGAGCCCAGGAGGTTGAGGCTGCAGTGAGCCAAGATGACATCACTGTACTCCAGCCTGGGCAACAGAGCAAAATCTTGTCTGAATTTACAAAATAATAATTATCATGAATAAGTAAACTAAGTGATCAGCTGCATTCATACCAGACATGTAATTTCAATGTTTCTTTTTATTCCATTAGATTAAAAAAAACTTCAAAAATTTTCCTCTTATTATACATGTATAATATGTTACTTTCTTATTAAGAGTTTCTTTTGTGTGCATAAATGTTACACTAGACTTATTTTAGAGGAAGTATACCAACTGTGTGAACATTACAAACATCAAATTCAAAGAAATTTGAGATTTTACCTTTCATCATCTTCATTTTCACTAAAGGCAGTTTTAAAAACATTTATTCTTTCTACCAGTTGACTACAATCTTGTTTCATATCCAAATCCATGCTCTAAAGAAAACAAAAAGTATAAAGTCCAAAAAAAAATAATTTAAGGATCTTACTGAAATTCATCAAAAACTAAGAGACAAATGTTAACATATTGTTATACAATGATCACTACAATGTGAATAAAATCATTCATCATTTCATGTTTCAATTAAAATTATTTTTAGTATGTGACTAGTAGGCCATGGCTAACATACAAAATTTTTTCCTTCTTCAATGTTATAATATACTCACCAATTATGCTGCAAAATCAGTGTTTCCCCAAGTATACAAGATGGTTTCAGACTATATTAATATAGGAATGAACATTTTCCATTTTAACAGTACTATTTACTTTAATAAGTATTAGGAAAAAACTGGTACATCAAAACTATTTCATAGATTACTAAGTGATATAATGTGATATATCACTATAATAAATGAGAATAAATGCAAATAGTAAAGTTTATGAAGGGACTATGGGACTCATTGAAGTTCCAGTGAATTTTTTTTTTTTTTTTTTGAGACAGAGTCTCGCTCTGTCACCCAGGCTGGAGTACAGTGGTGCTATCTTGGCTCACTGCAACCTCGCCTCCCAGGCTCAAGCAATTCTCCCGCCTCAGAATTACAGAAGAGTAGGTGGGACTACAGGTGCATGCCAACACGCCTGGCTAATTTTGTTTTGTATTTTTAATAGAGATAGGGTTTCACCATGTTGGCCAGGCTGGTCTTGCATTCCTGACCTCAAGTGTTCTGCCCACCTCAGCCTCCTAGAGTGCTAGGATTACAGGCACGAGCCACCGCGCCCAGCCTAAAGTAAATCTTAAGAGTGCATCAGCACATACAATGATTAAGATCAAGAAATCAACTCTGGCCAGGCACAGTGGCTCACACCTGTAATCCCAGCACCTTGGGAGGCCAAGGAAGGCAGATCGCTTGAGCCCAGCCTAGGCATCATGGCGAACACACAGATGCACATACACACATGCACACACACTAAAAAGAACTGAGTAGTCCACGTTTCAGCAGTACATATACCAAAACTGAAATGATACAGAGAAGATTAGTATGGCCCTTGCACAAGGATGACACACAAATTCGTGAAGCATTCCAAATTTTTAAAAATATAATTAATTAATTAATTAAATAAAACTAAGTAGAACTGAAATGAATATAATTCTTTTATTAAAATAAAGGAAAAAAGAGCCAGGTGCAGTGGCTCATGCCTGTAATCCCAGCACTTGGGAGGCAAAGGCGGGCGGGTCACTTGAGGTCAGGAGTGCGAAACCAGCCTGGCCAACATGACAAAACCTCGTCTCTACTAAAAATACAAAAATTAGCCGGGCGTGGTGGCAGGTGCCTGTAATCCCAACTACTCAGGAGGCTAAGGCAGGAGAATCACTTGAGCCCAGGAGGCAGAGGCTGCAGTGAGTCAGGACTGCGCCACTGCACTCAAGCCTGGGCGACAAAGCGAGACTCTGTGTCAAAAATAAATAAATATATAAACAAAGGAAAAAAGTTTTACCACAATAAAGAGACATTCTTAAATCGAAAAAATATATAAGGTTATTAGCAAATATTTATCAAATTTTCACATAAACTTCCTAAACTTTTTTCCTTTTAACTCATCTGTATTTGTTGTAACTTTAAGCAGAATGTGACTCGAGCGCTACATTTCCATCCACAAGACTGAGTCTGAGTTATTTTTGAACAGCTTTATGATATGCTTAGGTAGGCTTATAACTTTGCTCCTCCAAACAACACTTTTCTTTGGAAAACAAGCCCTGTGGAGAGTTCCTTCCATCATAAACTTCCTAAACTTTCATTGTTCACACATTATGCATATAACTTGGGTACTTAAGGTCTACAGACATATTCTATTTTATATAACTTATGTAAAAATCAGAGGAGTGAATAATAACAAATCAAGCTGAAGTGTTTTTAGTCAACAAAACCTTTAGCAAATTATAACTGGGAACTTAGAAATCAAAATAAACAATTATTTAATTCATTTGGCTCAAACTAATCATAAAACCTAAAGGCTGAAGAAATTAGAAATATTAACATCATTCAGCTTTTAAATATTTCTTGACAAAACAAACTAAAAACCACTCTACCGAAGGAGTAACTACAAATAATTTTTAAAACTGTATTTTTGTTCTTTACTACTTGATAAACTTACATTGTTTAACACAGTAAGAAGTGCTTGTACCAAGCCACTGCTACACATTTCATATGGTGAAATTGTGTTTTCATCCTTCAAAAGTACAATTAGGTTTTCTAAAGCTGTCTTCATTAAATCTCTCCAAGTGTTCTCACTCTCAATACACTAAAAGAAAAAAAAATTTAATGAAGGCAATCAAAAACATAAACATAGCTCTTAAAATAACTTATCAGAACATCAATTATCATGACAATAATTTAGATATTAAGCAAAATTAAAAGTTCAAATTATTAACACAAATTATGTCTACCAGAGGTCAGCAAACGTTTTCGTAAAGGGCCCAGTGCAAACAGTTTAGGCTTTGCAGGCCATATAGTCTACATCACAGCTATTCAACCACGCCCCTGTAGCACCAAAGTAGTCATAGACAATATGTAAATGAATAAGCATGGCTATGTGTGATTAAATTATATGGATACCGAAATCTGATTTTCATGTGTCTTGAAATTGTCCTTCTGGTTTGTTTTCAATCATTTAAAAGTATAAAAACCATTCTTACCTCATAAAGCCATACGAAAATGGGGAGCAGGCCAGATTTGGCTCCTGGGCCATAATTTGCTGACCCCCTACTCAATACCCATGACATAAAGGATAGAGGGGAAGACATCAAACTAAAATTCACTACATATCATTAAAATCTAGAGGATGACATACTTGTCTATTTGTATGAAGTTCCCAAGATGACTCTAACTGAGTTGCTATGTTTCTGAGTGTTACCACTACTCCACGAGGCATGCTTTCAACAGCTTTAAAATGGTCATCGTATAAATCTCGAGCCATAGTTCGTACCTACCAAAATAAACACAACAAATGTGAATTTTTACAATTAATAATTTTACCAAATCTTCACTTTTATAGACACTCGTATTTACATATTTCACCACGAAAAGGTACGTATGTACTGTCATTTGGGCACAAATGAGCTCTCGAAGTTACAGTTATTTGAGGAAACAACCTATGTATGTTCTGGGTCTGATGAAATTTAGTACATGATATTATTTAAAAATATATGCTTAAGTAATGTAAATTTAGGATTCACCTAATGCCATTTTAATCCCAAACAAACCCAGCATAACTCTAATGCAACAGAAAAAAACGTATCTCTCTAAACTACTTAATAATACTTTCTATTCTATTTTGGTATGCCCTTCAGAATTAAAAGATGGCAATCATGGATATAAGACAAGTTTGAAGAAACTATCTCTTTATAAAACAGTATTAATAATTAATACTGGTGTGGTGGCTCATGCTTGTAATCCTAGCACTTTGGGAGGCCAAGGCAGGCAGATCACTTGAGGTCAGTCAGGAGTTCAAGACCAGCCTGGCCAACATGGTGAAACCTCGTCTCTACTAAAAATTAAAAATAAAATTAGCTGGGCATGGTTGTGCATGCCTATAGTCCCAGCTACTCAGGAGACTGAGGCGGGACAATCATTTGAACCCGGGAGGTGGAGGCTGCAGTGAGCCAAGATTGTGCCAGTGCCTGGGTGACAGAGCAAGACTTTGCCTCAAAAAATAAAAAAAAATAAATAAATTAGTTAAAATTATTTTTGCCTAAAATATTTTGATGCATACTTGTTTATATATGCAAAAGGATAGCCACCTACTCACTGAGTTGCTACTGATTTCAAATCAAGAAAGTGAAGCAGTAATTTTTAAAATTTTTTTCTTACAATTTCAACTTTTATTTTAGATTCGGGGTACATGTGCAGGTTACATGGGTATACTGTGTGATGTTAAGGTTTGCAATACAAATGATCTCAACACCCAGGTAGTGAGCATAGTACCCAACAGTTCTGGAACCCTTGCCACCCTCACTCCACACCCTCCATAATTTTTTTTTTTTTAATGAGAATACAGGATTGAGACAATGTCCTCACTGATTTTTTTTAGTTTGTGTTATGAAATTTCAGTATCCTGTAGTCTAGATTTGGTTGGTTAATACGACATATTAGATATTCCAAAAAACTCTTGAGGTAGGTGATTTATAGTCAGATTATTCAACGGTTCCATGCTTGCAAATATGAGTATTCATTAAAATTTGTAACCTCAAAATCAATCATTGCAGAGCTTTCACATTCATTGACAGACATGCACAGTGCAGCAATAAATTTAAGGTGCCCAATATGCATGTTCCCAGCAGAATTCAAAAAGGTGACACTCTTTCTTGCTTCAGGTCTCATACTATAAACAAGTGCCCTATTCACAATCTACTTAGTGTCACATATTTTGAATTTTGGGGCTTTTTCTTCCTGATTTCATTGTTTAAAATGGCCCCCAAACATAGTGCTTAAGTGCTATCCAGTGTTTCTAAGCACAAGGAGACTGTGACGTACCTTGCAAGAAAAAAAAAAAAAAAGTGTGTGCTAAAATAAGCTTTGTTCAAGCATAGCAGTGCTGTTGGCCAGTTCAATATTAATAAATCAACAATACATATCAGGCTGGGCGCAGTGGCTTTTGGGAGGCCAAGGCGGGCAGATCACTTGAGGTAGGAGTTTGAGACCAGCCTGGCCAACATGGTGAAACCCCGTCTCTACTAAAAATGCAAAAATGAGCCGGGCATGGTGGCGCGCACCTGTAATCCCAGGTATTTGGGAGGCTGAGGCAGGTGAATCGGTTGAACCTGGAAGGCGGAGGTTGCAGGGAGCTGAGACTGTGCCACTGCCCTCCAACATAGGAAACAGAGTGAGACTCTGTCTCAAAAAACAAAAAACAATACATAGCAAATAAGGTGTCTTTAAACAAAAACATACTAAAAAACAAGGTGAAAAAATGTTGTCACAACAGGCCTTAGGCCTAGAAGAAATCTAACCCAGTATTTCTCCCACAAGCAATGGTTCAGTATTCACAATAACTTTATAAAATGTAACTACTGTTGGCCGGATGTGGTGGCTCATGCCTGTAATCCCACTACTTTGGGAGGCCGAGGCAGGTGGATCACTTGAGGTCAGGAGATGGAGACTATCCTGGCTAACACAGTGAAACCCTGTCTCTACTAAAAATACAAAAAAGTAACTGGGCATGGTGGTACGTGCTTGTAGTCCCAGCTACTCGGAAGGCTGAGGCAGGAGAATCACTTGAACCTGGGGAGGCAGAGGTTGCAGTCAGCCGAGATCGCACCGCTGCACTCCAGTCTGGGTGACAGAGTGAGAATCCATCTCAAAAAAAATAAAAATAAAAATAAATAAATAAAAAAGCTATGTTCTTTCCAAAGTATACCACCTGCAAATATCTTTGGGATAACCTAGCACATTCAAACAGGAAATAAAGATGTGAACATCTTTATATAAAACATCCGCTTCAAATGAAAACCACTATCACAGGACTGGCACAGTGGCAAATGCCTGTAATCCCAGCACTTTGGAAGGCTAAGGAGGGTGGATCACCTGAGGTCAGGAGTTTCAGACCAGCCTGGCCAACATGGTGAAACCCCGTCTCTACTAAAAATACAAAAAATTAGCTGGGCATGGTGGCAGGCACCTGTAATCCCAGCTACTCAGGAGGCTGAGGCAGGAGAATAGCCTGAACCCAGGAGGCAGAGGTTACAGTGAGCTGAGACTGCACCATTCTACAGTTTGGGCATCAAGAGCGAAACCGAGTCTCAAAAAAAACATTACAAGGGTTTCACTAAGTTTGTTTAAAAAAAAAAACAGAAACATCATTATTACAATTTCTCTGGTCAAAGCCATAAAAACACAAGAACTCTCCCCTAATCCTAATCATATACAAGTATTCTTTGCATACTGTATTTAAAAACTATCTTAGAACCAGGCATAGCGCCTGTAGTCCCAGCTACTTGGGAGGCTGAGGCAGGAGGATTACTTGCACTCAGGTATTTTAGACCAGCCTGGACAATACAGAGAGACTGTTTCAAAACAAAGCAAATTAAAAAAATCCTATTTTATATTACCATTATAGGTAAAATAAACATACTAGTCACCAGAAAATGTTGACTCTAACTATGAGATTATCTTACTTTTTTTTAAAAATGAAAAAAAAAATGCAAGAACAATAAACATGGAAATATACTGGCCATATTTTAAAGTAATAATGCAAACCTGATGGAAGCATAAAAAAATTAGTCAATTATGCATCTGCTACTGTATCTTCTTGAAGTAATAATTTCAGCTGAGATGGCCATTAAACTAAGTATCAAAATAATCTGAATTTAGAACCAGGCAGTTAAGTTTGCTGTATCACAAGGTATTAACCCAGATTGTAAAATACAAGTCATTTTCAATCCCACTACAACACTAAAAATATCCTAGTATCATTAATAATCTCAATGAGTTGAATTTTTTTGTGCAATTAATAAGTCAAGTAATTTACATTTTGTTTCATATTAACATCCATTTTGATTCTGTTTTAATGTTGGTATTTAGTATAGGTATAAAAATTATATGTAAATAAATATTTAAGAAAACACAGAAAATAGAAAAACTAAAAATATATTATATTAGGGCTGCTTATGTTCTATGGCTCAATTTTTTTCAGTGCTTATACTTTACCACTGAAAATTTAACAAATCAGTATAAAAGACAAGAATAAAGCACATCCAACAGATATACCTTTTGCTTTGTTTTTTCTAACTTAGATTTCAGTTTTCTGCCTCTTTTGCCAGTCCAGCCAGTCACAAATTCTGAACCTTGGGGGGAAAAAAAAGAATATTCACAGAGCTTACTTTGTTACAATTTAACATATTCATTTATTTGTACCCAATAAACTTACATATCTACATACTTACCCAGGGAAGTTTCTGCAGTAAATGAATGTTTGGTTCCTCTATTAGATTCAAATACAAAACCAGGTAAATCTTCTTTCAATATTGTAGCTTGCTGACCATCTGAATTATGAATAGCAATTTCTCCTTCTTTCAAACATGTCAGTGACCAATTTCCTACAGTAAGTTTAGTGGGTCCTGGTGCTGACAGTATAGGTTGACTTGAAGTAGATGGCTTTACTTGGCCTCGAGCTCTTTGTAACTTCTCTAAGAATTCACTTCGGCTTTCTATAAAGACAAAATACTTGTTTCAAAATCTTATTTCTTTCAAGTATGACATGTATTTTCTCTTAGGAAAAAAAGACCTATTAAAATATAAATTTTAAACAATAAAACTAAATTAGAAACTGGAAATATTAGCCAGGCATGGTGGTACGCATCTGTAGTCCCAGCTACTTGGGAAGCTAAGGCGAGATGATCACTTGAGCTCACGAGTTTGAGGCTGCCATGAGCTATGATCACACCACCGCTCTCTAGCCTGGGAGACAGAGTAAGACACTGTCTCCAAAACAAAAAAAAAAAAAAAAAAAGGAGCTATATTTGTAAAGATATTTTTTAAAAAGTAGATACAGTGTTGTTCCTTGTCCCATGCAGTAAAAAGACATTTAGGAAATATTTTCATGGTATAATAATTTTTCTCTACTGATACAAAAGAAATTGATATTAAAAAATAAAGAAACAAATATTTTTGTTTCTACAGTGGCTCACACCTGTAACTCCAGCACGTTGGGAGGCCGAGGTAGGGGGATCACCTGAGGTCAGGAGTTCGAGACTAGCCTGACCAACAAGGTGAAACCCCATCTCTACTAAAAATAGAAAAATAAGCCGGGCATGGTGACAGGTGCCTGTAGTCCCAGCTACTCAGGAGAGTGAGACAGGAGAACTGCTTGAACCTGAGAGGTGGAGGTTGCAGTGAGCCGAGATCGCACCACTGCACTCCAGCCTGGGTGACAGAGTGAGACTCCGTCTCAAAAAAATAAAATACCTTGACAATGGTAGCAAAAATATGAGAAAAAAACCAAACTGTAGAAACTAGGAAAATATTTTAATTGAAACAAAATATTACCTGAACTGTCAGATCCACCTTCCGGACTACCACTTGAATACATGGTGGCAAGTTTTCCATCCAAGATAAATCTGAACCATCCATTACTGCCATTAGATAATTCCAAGGCTGCTGCATCACTCCAAATATATAAGCAGTCCCTTCCCCTAATGATTGACCAGTCTCTCCAATGATATGGTTTACCTTGTTGCAATTCTTTAGCATCTTCCTGTGGTTCATCTTCCTAAATGTGTAGAATTATTCAATTAAACATGGAAAATAATTTCAATTTCAAATATTCATACATATTTTAAAAACATGAATCTAATTTAATTTCAAATTTAAATACTCTGAACATAATACTCAATTGCCTGTAGCTTAATCTTTTTCCCCCCTTTTAGAAACATGGTCTCAACTCTGTCATCCAGGCTGGTGTGCAATAGTGTCATCATAGCTTACTGCAGCCTCTAACTCCTGGCCTCAGGCAATCCTTCCACCTCAACCTCCCAAGTAGCTGGGATTACAGGTCCAAGCCACGGCACCTGGCTCTCAATTCTGACTAATTAATTACCTATAACTAAATCTTACAAATAAGTGTTAAAAATATTAAGAAATTCATGTAAATAATGACCTATATTATATCATGTCCAGGTGTAGTGGGGTAAAGACTAATGGATTAGAGCACTACACACAACAACATAATAACCTAAAACCTTGGTGAACTCATTACATCTCTGGGCCTATTTGTAAACAATGATGATTTAGAGAGGCTCAATGGTATCCAAAGTGAAGTGTGTAACAGAATCACCAAAGAAGCTTTTTAAAGATAAATTTTGGCTGACAGTGATGGCTCATGCCTATAACCCCAACACTTTGGGAGGCCAAGGCAGGAGGAGTGCTTAGGCCATGAGTTCAAGATCAGCCTGGGCAACGTAGCGAGTCTGTCTCCACAAAAAAAAAAATTAAAAATTAGCTGAGGGTGGTAGTGCGCACCTGTAGTCCTAGCTACTGGAGAAGTTGAAGCACGAAGACTGCCTGGGCCCTGGAATTTGAGGTTATAGTGAAGGACTGTGCCACAGAACTCCAGCCTGGGTAACAGATCGGGACTCTGTCTCTATTATCTATATCTATCTATCTATCTATCTATCTAGATAATAAAGACACTATCTATAATCTCTATATAGATAATAGAGACAGGGTCTCACTCTATAATAATAGAGACATTATCTACAACCTCTATAAAGATAATAGAGACAGTGTCTCTCTATAAATATATATATTTATAATTTATATATAATATATATTATCTATTATAAGTAAATAAAATTCATTCATTCATTCCAAGACCCCACCCTTAGCCAAGTGAATCAAATATACTCATTCCCATGATCATACAAGTATTTTAGTTAGAGCTTTTTTTTTTTTTTTTTTTTGAGACAGAGTCTCGCTCTGTCACCCAGGCTGGAGTGCAGTGGCACAATCTCCACTTACTGCAAGCTCCACCTCCCGGGTTCACGCCATTCTCCTGCCTCAGCCTCCCAAGTAGCTGGGACTACAGGGGCCCGCCACTACGCCGGACTAATTTTTTGTATTTTTAGTAGAGATGGTGTTTCACTGTGTTAGCCAGGATGGTCTCTATCTTCTGACCTCACGATCTGCCCTCCTCCATCTCAAAGTGCTGGGATTACAGGCATGAGCCACCGCGCCTGACTCAGCATGTTTTTTTTTTTAAAAAAAATGTATAAACATTTTGTAGCTCAGCCTGTGTTCCTAAAACTTTTTTTGGACACATTTAAAAATGGAAAATATTCACATAAAAAAAGATATTAAATTATCTAAATACGTCCATCATAAACAACTAAAATATAGACAAGATATACGAAAAATGTGTTTTCAAACACTAAAGAACAGTCAATGCAGGACTATGATCCCCAAGAAAATGAAAGCAAACAAAGCGAGTCTCTTAGAACCAGAGACCATTTTCTGGCTAAGCTCATGTGGAAGGGGAACACAGATCCTAGCAGTACAAGTTAAGAAAATAGAGATCAGAGTTTGAAAAGTTTGAGGCAACTGGAATATGTGGAGGCTGAGTTCACTATTACGGAACTAAAGAGAAAAAGCCTCTCCAGAAATCTGCAAAGTAGTTTCCACTGAGTACTACACTTATATACGGGGTGATACTGCATAAGATTGGGCAAAGAACAACTGGAAAGTTATAAGAGATCATACAAGTAGCCAGACATTTGCATTCCAAACAGCCAGAGTAGAAAATCCTCATAGATCACCAGGATATTCAGTGAATTCAAAGAAATCACAAATTTGGGATCATAGGGGTGAAGTTCCCTAGAGTAAAAGCTATTCTGCCACCATGCAATGACAATTTTGTACTCTTTGTAGAGACAGAGTTTTGCCATGTTACCTAGGCTAGGCTCGAATTCGTGGGCTCAAGCGACCTGTCCGCCTCGGCCTCCCAAAGTGCTGGAGTTACAGGCATGAGCCAAGGTACCTGGCCAAAACCCAATATTCTTTACAAAAGACCACAAAGCCCAGAGCCCAACATCATCACATTTACAATATCCAGTAGCAAATCAAAACTTACTAGACAAAGAAGCACAGTGGCTCACACCTGTAATCTCAGCACTTTGGAAGGCCAAGGCAGGAGGATAACTTGAGGCCAAAAACCAACCTAGCCTTGGCAACATTGTGAGACCCGCATCTCTACAAAAATAAAATAAATATTTTTTTAATTAAACAATAAAAAAATAAAGAGGCCAGGTGCGGTGGATCACTTTGAGGTCACGAGTTCGAGACCACCCTGGCCAACATGGTAAAACCTTGTCTCTACTAAAAATACAAAACTTAGCTGAGCATGGTGGTGTGCACCTGTAATTCCAGCTACTTGGGAGGCTGAGGCAGGAGAATTGCTTGAACCCGGGAGGCAGAGGTTGCAGTGAGCCGAGATCACGCCACTGCACTCTAGCCTGGGTGACAAAGCGAGACCCTGTCTCAAAAAAGAAAAAATTAGAAAGAAGGCCAAATAATTTTCAGATACATAAAATCTGAGAGAATTATCTGGCTTGCCTTTTCTTTTTTTTCTTTTTTTTTTTTTTTTTAATAAAAATAGAGATGGGTCGGCCAGGCGTGGTGGCTCATGCCTGTAATCCCAGCACTTTGGGAGGCCAAGGCGGGCGGATCACGAGGTCAGGAGATCGAGACCATCCTGGCTAACACGGTAAAACCCTGTCTCTGCTAAAAATACAAAAAATTAGCCGGGCATTGTGGCGGGCGCCTGTAGTCCCAGCTACTCGGGAGGCTGAGGTAGGAGAATGGCTTGAATCCGGGAGGCAGAGCTAGCAGTGAGCTGAGATCACGACAGAGCGAGACTCCATCTCAAAAAAAAAAAAAAATAGAGACTGGGTCTCACCTCACCATGTTGCCCAGACTGGTCTCGAACTCCTGGGCTCAAGTAATTCTCCTACCTGAGCCTCCCCAAAGTGCTGGGATTACAGGCATGAGGCATCATGCCCAGCCGACCATTTCAACGTATTTTGAAGAGCGTAAGTGTGTAATGATGAAGTACAACTTACCAATTATTTGTTCTTTTACAGTATAACCTTTTGAAGTTTAATTTACAAAATCTTTCCCAAGTCCAAGGTCACTAAGATTTTCTCTTTTCCTCTAGAAGTGTCATAATTTTAGTGTATACATTTTAGTCTATGGTTCATTTTGTTAATTTTTGTATATGGGACCCTAACCATGTATATATATAATGTATATATATAATGCTATATATATACATGGGTAGTAAGGGTTGAGACTAAGGGAGACTCAATCTCAAAAAACAAAACAAAAAAAGAAATGATACAAATATATATATATGTGGTAAGGGTTGAGGTTTAATTATTTTGCATATGCTATTGGCTTGTTCATTTTTTGAAAAGATCATCCTTTCTTGGTGGTCTTAGCACTTTTGTTGAAAATCAATTGGCCATATGTGTAGTGGGTCATTCATCTATCTTTACACTATTGTCACACTTTCTTGATTACCAAAGTTTTATAAAAGAGTTGAAATTGATGTATATCCTTCTACGCTGCTCCTTTTCCAGGTTGCTTTGGCTATTACATTTATATACAAATGTTAGACTCTCCTTGTTTTTTTTTTTTTTGAGATGGAGTTCTGTTCTGTCAACCAGACTGGAGTGCAATGGCACGATCCGATCTCGGCTCACTGCAACCTCTGCCTCCCAGGTTCAAGCAATTCTCCTGTCTCACCCTCCCAAGTAGCTGGGATTACAGGTGTGTGCCACCACGCCCAGCTAATTTTTTTTTTCTTTTTTTGAGATGGAGTCTTGCTCTGTCGCCCAGGCTGGAGTACAGTGGCGCGATCTCAGCTCACTGCAACCTCCGCCTCCCAGGTTCAAGTGATTCTCCTGCCTCAGCCTCCGGAGTAGCTGGGACGACAGCCAAGTGCTACCATGCCTGGCTCATTTTTGTATTTTTTGTAGAGATGGGGTTTCACAATGTTGGCCAGGCTGGTTTCGAACTTCTGATCTCAGGTGATCTCCCTGCCTCGGCCTCCCAAAGTGCTGGGATTACAGGCATGAGCCACTGCACTCAGCCTAGAATCTCCTTGTCAATTTCTACAAAAAGACTGCTGGGATCTTGGTTGGGATTGCTGTAACCTATTTCTTGAGAGAGAGAGTTCCAGAAAATAAACTCGGATAATATTTTTGTTTTGTTTTTCCTTAAATCCCCCAGTAATTCTGACGATTAAACAGATTTGGGTAACACATACACACTCTCTCTTTCACCACCCTCGGGATTCTACAATTATTAACTCATATACCACCATTTTTTTCAAAAATATTACTACCCTGTTATTAACACACAGTAAGCATTCACTAAATATTAGAAATAAATCTTGCTGGGAACCACTAGACACAGAAAAGGTATATTTAAATTTGCAGTCTAAGGCAAGAGTTACCAATGAATACAGAAATTGGTGGGTTAAATTTACTGAGGAACAGCATATTTACACAGTCTGGAATTATGTCCCTACAAATTACTTATTACAAAAGGAAAAAGAGGCCAGGAGCAGTGACTCACGCCTGTAATACCGACAGTTTGGGAGGCCGAGGTGGGTGGATCACCTAGGTCAGAAGTTCGAGACTGGCCTGGCCAATATGATGAAACCCTGTCTCTACTAAAAATTCAAAAATTAGCTGGGCGTGGTGGTACGTGCCTGTAATCCCAGCTACGCCGGAGGCTGAGGCATGAGAGTCGCTTTAACCCAGAAGGTGGAGGGGGCGGTGAGCCGAGATCATGCCATTGCACTCCAGCCTCAGCAACAGAGCAAGATACCGTCTCAAAAAAAAAAAAAAAGGAAAAGAGCAACTTTACAACTTTACAGTAGAGAAACCTGGAAGAGAAAAACTTAAGCAAGTGATCCAAGTTATCATAACCAACAGGGTAAACAGACACAAATGTGCCTCCAAGAAGGAACATTATGCACCTAGAAGAGCATAGTATCACCTCTATAGGACTTTTGCTAAAACACATAAGCTGAATTTAATCACAAAGAAACATGACACAAAGTTAGGCTCTTTGTTCAAATTAACTGTTCTATTCTCTTCATAAACACCAAAGCTATGAAAATAAAAGGAAGGCTGACAGACTGCTGTAGGTTCTCAGGACAAACTATCGCAGGTTCTCAGGAATATGATAAGCAATGTAATGTGTGCTCCTGGATTTCATTGTGGACCAGAAAAAAAAATTACTATGAAGGACATTAAAGACAATGGCAAAATCTAAATATGTCTCCAGAGAATATATTAGTGTTACATAAATATTAAATTTTCTGATTAGTACGATTTTGATAATTATACTACAACTATGTCCTGGCTTTTTTCTGGTGAAATATTTAGGTTAAAAGGTAAAACTCTGTATTCACCTTACCATCAATTTTTTTTTTTTTAAGATGGAGTCTCAGGCCGGGTGCGGTGGCTCACGCCTGTAATCCCAGCACTCTGGGAGGCAGAGGCGGGCGGATCACGAGGTCAGGAGATCGAGACCATCCTGGCTAGCATGGTGAAACCCTGTCTCTATTAAAAGTACAAAAAATTAGCCAGGCATGGTGGCAGGCGTCTGCAGTCCCAGCTACTGGGGAGGCTGAGGCAGGAGAATGGCGTGAACCCAGGAGGCGGAGCTGGCAGTGAGCCGAGATCGCGCCACTGCACTCCAGCCTGGGTGACAGAGCGAGACTCTGTCTCAAAAAAAAAAAAGCTGGAGTCTCACTCTGTCGCCCAGGCTGGAATGCGGTGGTGCGATCTCGGCTCACTGCAACCTCAGCCTTTGGGAGGTCAGGGCAGGCAGATTACCTGAGGTCAGGAGTTTGAGACCAGCCTGACCAACATGGAGAAACCCCGTCTCTACTAAAAATACAAAATTAGCCAGGGAGGTGAAGGTTGCAGTGAGCTGAGATCACAACATTGCACTCCAGCCTGGACAACAAGAGCGAAACTCCATCTCAAAAAAAAAGTACACACACACACACACACACACACACACACACAAACAGATACATGTGTCTGAAAAAATGTTAAAGGAAATGGGGCAAAATGTTAATAACTAGTGAATTTGGATAGAGAGTATTCTGATATTCTTTAACTATATTTGCAACATTTCTATATGTTTAAAATTGTTGATCAAAATGTTTTAAAAGAAAATTGACCAATTTAAAAAATATACAGAATTATTTCATATTGTCATTATCCTGTCAAAAACCATCAAAAATTGAAACTAGATTTTCCTCAAAAAAAAAAAAAAAACTCTTCCTGATACCTCTATAATTAAGACCACTCACTTTTTCTGGTTTTGATTCCTCTTCATTCTCATCATCAGAGGAAGGACCTGCCAACGTTGACACTTTGCTAATTACACCAAGTCTGGCTAGCTGATCCAAAAATATATCACCACCTTTATCTACTAAATCCCTTATGATCTGCAAAGCCAGCAAGTGGCCATCATCATCATCCTGAAAAATAAAAAATAAAAATAAGTTTAGTTGCCAGGAGTAGAGAAATGCAGTAATTTGCACAACATGATTTACTGAAATTAAAACAAAAATTTTATTTCAGACTACTAGCTAAAGGAAATTAATGCTAAAGAGTTTTGAAAAAGAAACGGACCTCTTGATCCAGGACAGTTGCAGTGATTTCCACTAGTATTGTAGGCAAATTGTGACCAACATCAGAATCACAAACTTCTTTTAACAGTGCTTCAGAGCAAAAATGAATCATTTTTCGAATTAGAGCAAGACTTGCTTTCCTTGAAAAGTAAAAATAGAATTATATGAAGCCAAATGAAGTTAAAATAAATCAAAATGCATGCATTAATGAACAGTAAAATATCCAATGTTACATTTTATACACTCTGCTAAAAAAATACACTTAATAAAAAAATACAAAAAATTGGGACTCAGCACTATATGTTCATTTTTGAAATAATTCCATTTATTTTCTATTATAAATATATTGAGCTCACCAAAAATGACTTATAATTTTCTTAAATGCACTTTTCTATTCTATATTCTACACTTTACTAGCATGAATGTTAACATGTCATGATAATTTTAGAAAATCAAGTAAAAAGTACTACAACTACTAAGAAAATAAATGGGGCCCAGTGCAGCGGCTCACGCGTGTAATCCCTGCATTTTGGGAGGCTGAGGGAGGCGGATCGCTTGAGGTCAGGAGTTCAAGACTAGCTTGGCCAACATGGAGAAACCCCGTCTCTACTAAAAATACAAAAACTAGCTAGACGTGGTGGCAGGCACCTGTAATCTCAGCTACTCAGGAGCCTGAGGCGGAATAATCACTTGAACCTAGGAGATGGTGCCACTGTACTCCATCCTGGGAGACTGAAGGAGACTCCATCTCAAAACACAAAATAAAATTAAAAAAAGAAAAGAAATGATACAAATTATACCTAAAATTTCCTATAATCCAAAATACAATGCTCTAAGAACTTAAGATACTAGGTAATTTATATGAAAAACAAAATTTTGATTTAATTTGTCCTTCATCAAATTTAAAATCCACGTTCACTGCAACTATGGACTCATATAAATGAAAATAAGAGATCCTAATAATCCCATGCCCCCAAAATATTCCCATCATTAACAAATTAGTATGCCTCCTTTCCCTTTTATTCACTTACTGCTTTGCTTAGACCGTAGCAGACACTCAATAAAGTCACATAAATTAACCTCAATTTTTTTTTTTTTTTTTTTTTTTTGGAGACAGAGTCTCGCTCTGTTGTCTCGGCTGGAGTGTAGTGGCACAATCTCGGCTCACTGCAACCTCCGCCTCCCGGGTTCACGCCATTCTCCTGCCTCAGCCTCCCGAGTAGCTGGGACTACAGGCGCACACCGCCACGCTCAGCTTTTTGTATTTTTTGTATTTTTAGTAAAGATGGGGTTTCACTGTGTTAGCCAAGATGGTCTTGATCTCCTGACCTCGTGATCCGCCTGCCTCTGCCTCCCAGAGTGCTGGGATTACAGGCGTGAGCCACCACGCCCGGCCAAATTAACCTCAACTTTATAACATGTAACCTGATCTTTTAAAATAAAAAACACATATTCACATACATTTAAATGATAATAAACTACTAATAAGATGAGGCTTGGCTGGGTGAGGTGGTTCACACCTGTAATCCCAGCACTTTGGGAGGCTGAGGCAGGTGGATCACCTGAGGTCAGGAGTTCGAGACCAGCCTGACCAATATGGTGAAACCCCGTCTCTACTAAAAATACAAAAATTAGCCGGGCATGGTGGTGGGCATCTGTAGTCCCAGCTACTCAGGAGGCTGAGACAGAAGAATTGCTTGAACCCTAGAGGCAGAGGTTGCAGCAGGCCAAGATCGTGCCACTGCACTCCAGCCTGGACGACAGAGCCAGACTCTGTCTTAAACAAAAACAAACAAACAAAAAAAAGGCTTGTCTATTATGTAAGAGCCAATAATCAATTCATTTAACAAATATTTTCTAAGTATCTAACAATGTTCTAGGCACTAAGCTGCAGATATCATTACCCTTGAGGTGAATGATAGAAGGATAAAGAGGCAAAATTTTCAACTGATGTCCTAGAGAGGCATGTGACACAGCTGTATTTCTACAGCATAGGGTCTCTACATATTTTATAACTCTCTCTAGCTGAAGTTATAACATTATATTTCTTTAATGAAGGAATATGCTTTATTACAAATTCAAGTACAGTACAGAAAATGATAGGTGGACAGAGGACAAACTGTTCTAACAGGATTGGTTCTTTCCAGTTTTTGTTTTGTTGTTTTTAATTTAATTTAATTTATTTATTTTTTTTGGGACAGAGACTCGCTCTGTCACCCAGGCTGGAGTGCAGTGGTGTGATCTCGGCTCACTGCAACCTCCACCTCCTGGGTTCAAGTGATTCTCCTGTCTCAGTCTCCAGAGTAGTTGTGATTACAGGTGTGCACCACCACACCCAGCTAATTTTTGTAGTTTTAGTAGAGACGGAGTTTCATCATGTTGGCCAGGCTGATCTTGAACTCCTGACCTCAGGTGATCTGCCTGCCTCAGCCTCCAAAGCGCTGGGATTACAGGCGTGAGCCACCGCACCTGGCCATAATTTTTTTTTTTTTTTTGAGACAGGGTCTTGCTCTGTCCCCCAGGCTGGAGTGCGTGGCAGGATTTTGACTCACTGCAACCTCCGACTCCCAGGTTCAAGTGATTCTCGTGCCTCAGCCTCCCAAATAGCTCGGACTACAGGCTCCTGCCACCGTGCCCAGCTAATTTTTCTATTTTTTGTAGAGACAGGGTTTTACCACGTTGCCCAGGCTGGTCTCGAAATCCTGTGCTCAGGAGATCCACCCTACTCGGCCTCCCGAAGTGCTGGGATTACAGCCATGAGTCACTGTGCCTGGCGCCGGTTTTTATTACTGGCCCCAGTTTTTATTTATATTCCACTGTAAATACCAGAATTTAACTATTAGTTTTATATCATGACTTATTTCAATTAACAATGTATTAGAATGTTTATATGTTATTTATCTATCTCTCTCTCGTATACTGAGCCATCATGAGCAGTAACCTTTTTATGTACTTTAAAAACATAATTCATTTAACCCACACAACAAAACCTATGAGGTGGGTTTTATTATCTCAAATTTACAAGTGAAGATACTGAGCGATAGTTAAGTCAGTCTACTAAGATCACCAAGCTAATAAATTACAGAGCCTGTATTCAAATTCTATCTCTTAATTAGATGATACATAATACTCACAACATAAAATTTTCCTGTTTAACACTATTATATAAATTTTGAACATTTAGTTTACAGTCTTTTCTATTAAAAATAGCACTATTTATTTTTGTGTAAACAGTTTCTTCATATTCCTTCAGTACAGAGGGATTCTTGGATCTAACAGCCTAAACACTTTCATTAAGTATTGAATGTGTATGAGTACTGCATTCATATTGGCAAACTGATTCAAAAAAGGTTGTTAACACCTTAAATTATCACTAAATATGAATATCTACAATATTCCTTTTTACTTAAAAAAAATTCTCATTTTTTAAGTTTCTTAACTGTCTAATAGGTAAAAATGATACCAAATTTTACTTATTTCTAAAATGTTTTGCTTTTTACTAGTAAGGAAATACTTTTTTTTTTTGAGACAGCATCTCACTTTGTCATCTAGACTGGAGTGCAGCAGCACAATCTCAGCTCACTGCAGCCTCGACCGCCCAGGCTCAAACAATCCTCCCACCTCAGCCTCTCGAGTAGCCAGGACTACAGGTATGCGCCACCATACTCAGCTAATTTTTGTGTGTTTTGTAGAGACAGGGTTTCACTAGTTGCCCAGGCTGGTCTCAAACTCCTGGACTCAAGCAATCCTCCCACCTCAGCCTCCCAAAGTGCTGGGATTACATGCATGAGCTAACACACCCAGCTAGGAAATACATTTTTCCATATTAATTTTTTGCCGTGTTTCCTCTTGAACACTGTGCCTTAATTTCATTGACTAATTTACTCAAATGGCTCTGAAATTTTTACGATCAATTTGTAAATACCCTTTGTATATAATAAAGACAGTATCCCTTTGTCATATTTGCTAACAAATACCCACCTGCTGGCAAATTTTTTTAGATTAAAAGTTTCTATTCTGAGACATTTGTGGCTGCAGGTAATATTGTTTCTGTTATGTAGTAGTTTTATGTTTTTTACATAAAATAAATTTAAAAGGACACATTTGGCTAATGCAAATAGGTTTCTAAAGTAAGCCAGGCATAGTGGCTCACGCCTGTAATCCCGCAGTTTGGGAGGTCAAGGCAGGGGAACTGCTTAAGCCCGGGAGTTCAAGACCAGCCTTGGGCAGCAAAGCAAAACTATCTCTAAAAATAAAAATTAGCTGGACCTGGTGGTGTGTGCCTGCAGTTCTAGCTACTCAAGAGGCTGAGGCAAGAGGATACACTGTGCCATGGAATTCAAGGTTGCAGTGAGCTGTGATCATACTATGCACTCCAGTCTGGGTGACACAGCAACACCCCGTCTCAAAAAAAAAGAAAAAAAAAAAGAAAAAAAAGAAAGAAAGAAAGGAAAAAGAAAAACAAAAAGCCAGGCTGGGTGTGGTGGATCACGCCTGTAATCCCAGCACTTTGGGAGGCCAAGGCAGGCAGATCACCCGAGATGAGGAGTTCGAGACCAGCCCAGCCAACATGGCAAAACCCCATTTTTACTAAAAACACAAAAAAATTAGCCGGGCATGGTGGTGTGTGCCTGTAATCCCAGCTACTCAGGAGCTGAGATGGCGCCACTTCACTCCAGCCTGTGCAACAGAGCAGGACTCTGTCTCAAAAAAAAAAAGAAAAAGAAAAAGCCATTCTTCCTATCAAGGTCTGATAAACATTCAAGTATATTTTCTTTTGCTCAGAGGTTCTGGAGGGGCTCACACCTGTAATTCCAACACTTTGGGAGGCTGAGAAGGGTGGATCACATGAGGCCAGGAGTTCAAGACCAGCCTGGCCAATATGGTGAAACCCTGTCTCTACTAACAAAATACAAAAATTAGCTGGGCATGGTGGTGCATGTCCTTAATCCCAGCTCCTCGGGAGGCTGAGGCACGAGAATCGCTTGAACCTGGGAGTCAGAGGTTTGCAGTGAGCCAAGATCATGCTACTGCACTCCAACCTGAGTGACAGAGCAAGACTGTCTCAAAAAAAAAAAAAAAAGTTTTGGAGGATAGGGAAAAAAAGTATCTTATCTTTTTGTTTTCCTAATATTTTAGTTTTTAAGTCTTAGAATTTGTTTAGATTTAAAATATAAGATAAAAGATTAGGGTGATTTTTAAAATCAAACTACAAAGCAGATACTCCAGTACCACTTAATAAATAGTACCCCCTCCCCTGAATGATCTGAGAAACATCCATTATAATACATTCAATACCTATATATAACTGGCTCTATTGGGGGGACTATTTTATTCCATTGATTTACACACTACTCTGCTAGTTATCATAAAAATTTCATTGCTAAAGGGTTACACTAACATTTCAGATTTTTCTTTAATAATCTCACCTATTTATTCTTCCAGATGAACTTTGGGATCTGTCAAGTTCTAAAACAAATTCTGTAGTTATTTCCTTTAGAACTGCATAACCTACAAATTAATTTTAGAAGAATTTATGTCTTTAGATTATTTAATGTTTTCACCCAAGAACAATTTCCCACTATATCCCACCAAGTCTACTTTTTTCTCTCAAATTGTTTTAAAAAAAAAATTGGGCCAGTCGCAGTGGCTCACACCTGTAAACCTAGCACTTTGGGAGGATCACTAGAGCTTAAGAGTTCAAGACCAGTCTGGGCAACATAGTAAGACCTTGTTTACACACAAAAAAATAAAAAAATTAGTCAGGTGTGGTGGTGCTCGCCTGTAGTATCAGCAACTTGGGAGGCTAGAGAACTGCTTGAGCCCAGGAGGCTGAGGCTGCAGTGAGCTGAGATCACGCCACTGCACTCCAGCCTGAGCAGCAGGGTAAGATCCTGACACACACACACACACACGCACACACACACACACGCACACATGCGCACACACACACACGGAAAGCAAGAAAAGAAAACCAGACCACACACGGTGGCTCACGCCTGTAAACCCAACACTTTGGGAGGCTGACGTCGGAAGATCGCTTGAGCCCAGGAGTTTGAGACCAGTCTGGGCAACACAGCAAGACTTCATCTCTACAAAAAAAAAAAAACTATTTTAATTAGCCAGGTGTTTAGCCAGGCATGGTGGCATGCATCTGTAGTCTCAGCTACTTGGGAGACTAAGGTGAGAGGATCACTTGAGCCTGGGAGGCAGAGCCTGCAGTGAGCCAAGATTGTGCCACTGCACTCTAGCCTAGGTGACAGAGTGAGCCCCTTTCCTCCCCCAAAGAATTAGCTGGGCGTGGTGGTGCACAACTGTGGTCGCAAGTGGTTGGGAGGCTGAGTTGGGAAAATCCCTTGAGCCCAGGAGTTTGAAGTTGCCGTAAGCTATGAGCACTCCACTATACTCCAGCCTGTGCGACAGTGAGACCCTGTAGCTAAAACCTTTTTTTTTAATTTTTAAAGGGCCAGGCGCAGTGGCTCACTCCTGTAATCCCAGCACTTTAGGAGGCAGAGGCAGGCGGATCACTTGAGGTCAGGAGTTTAAGGCCAGGCTGGCCAACATGGCAAAACCCCGTCTCTACTAAAACTACAAAAATTAGCCGGGCATGGTGGTGCGTGCCTGTAATCCCTGTAAACCCCTGGGAGGCTGAGGCAGGATAATCACTTGAACCCAGGAGGCGGAGGCTGCAGTAAGCCAAGATCACGCCACTTCACTGCAGCCTGGGTGACAGAGCAAGACTCTGTCTCAAAAAAAAAATTTTTTTTTCAAAAGGTCCTCATAAAGATCTAGTTTGCTGCAAAGGAGACTCAATCTTTGTCCAGTTATTTATACTAACTCCTAAGATGTTTACTTATCAGACCTGTTCAAAATTCTATGTAGCTTTCTTCTAAAACAAAGTGGAGAAGTACTCAGTCTAATTATCTTACAGAGAAAATAACCAGGCTTTTACAAACTACTCCACCACTGATACTACCAATCTCTGTTTTGAAGCCTTCACTGATCTGCTGTCTGCCTTTTATTTCCTGAACAGATACTGTGCACAGGCCTACACAGGTAATAGCTAATGTCAATATACATGGACACTCTTAACTGTCTGAATCAGTGTTATGTTTACTTATCTGATAAAACTTCAAAAAAACTGGTAAAATATCAGGTTGTAACCAATCCACCTTGTTTTTTCGAGACAGGGTCACATTATGTTGCCTAAGCTGGTCTCAAGCGATCCTACTACCTCAGCTTCCCAAGTAGCTGGGACCAGAAACGTGCCACCGTGTGCTCCCCCTTGTTTTTAATAATGCTAAATAATTCCAAAAAATAAACTATCACTTTTCAAATACCTCTAACATTGTAGACACTATGCTACACACATATTTAATTTTTATTCTCACTCCTAAAGAGGATTAAGTATAACTATCCTCACCTTGGAGACGAGCCAATTGATTAAGAGGTTATGTGCTTTGCCCATGGCCAAACATATAGGAAAGTGCAATGAGTTGATTCCAGAGTATGAGTTCTTAAACTAAGACATATATTATTTTCCTAGCTACAATTAAATGTGTCTGCTAATAACTACCTGGGAAAATTTAGCATCAAATTTTCTAACACTAATATCTCCAAACATTTAAAATGATAAAAGAAAATAACCATCCAATAAGGGAACTCTGTTACATGGTAGCATACTTTATAATTTTCTGATGGCCTTATCATGAAGCACTTATACTCCAGAATGATTCTTGCACTGGCATAACAGATGGTCCTCTAAAATTTTCAGACCAAATTATCTTGTTCAAAACTGAACTTGCTCATTTAAGATGATTCAAGTCTTGTGTAATTAAAAAAAAAAAAAAAAGTGACCCCACTAACACCTACACCTCTGTAGCTATTTGGGGAAGAATTAAAAACCAAGCTATTAAATGTTCACAGTGAATTATTTTGCGGCCAGTTCTCTCCTATTTAAAGCAGACTGCTTGTATTTTAATGTCAGCTCATAATACTGGTATTTGAGGTACTTGAATCTTATAAAACTGCCTGCTCTACAGACCTCCTGAACTGAAAACGACCAAAATCAGATTCCTACTCAGCCAAAAACCTGCAGTCATCTTTCACCCTTTCTTCCTTCAATCCACCATCTAACTGGTCACCAATCCCTATACAACCCATCTGCCAAACTCTTAAATTTGTTCTCACTAATCCAGTTGCCCTGAAGTTCCTATCTCAATCAACACTTGTCTGTTTCTATTCTCTCCTTCCTCCAGTTCTTCTCTCTGCCAGGGTGTCAAAGTGATCTTGATCAACAGAAATCCAGATGTGTCAAATTTTCCTTACAGGTCTTTAATAATCCTTCTTAAATGTGAGGTAGAGTCCACGCTCTTTCACATGGCCTACAAAAGCCATCATAGGTTATAAAAAGCTCCTCTCTACTTTCTTAACATTATTCTCGGAGCTTTCCAAATGTATCCTGTACTCCATTAATATTGAAATACTTGCAACTGCTAACAAAACACACTCATTCAATCATTCAGTAAATATCTACTGAGGACCTAAGGATCAGGCCCTATTCTGTATCTCCTTGCCTTTGTAGGAATATAGCAGTACATAAGACCAGCTCTCGTGGTGCTTACTTTAAAGAGACAAGACAATAAAACAAACAAAACCCCCCAAAAACCAGTATTTCAGAGAGTGAAACCTTTTTTTTTTTAGATGGAGTCTTGCTCTGTTGCCTAGGCTGGAATGCAGTGGCGCAATCTTGGCTCACTGCAACCTCCGCCTCATGGGTTCAAGCAATTCTCCTGACTCACCCTCCCGAGTAGCTGGGACTACAGCCAAGTGCTACCATACCCAGCTAATTTTTTTATTTTTCATAGAGACAGGGTTTCGCCACGTTAGCCAGGCTGGTCTCAAACTCCTGGCCTCAAGTGATCCACCTGCCTCGGCCTCCCAAAGTGCTGGGATAACAGGCGTGAGCCACCGCACCCAGCCAAGATAGCATAAGCTTTGTAAAGTCAGTAAAACATTATTGATATAAAAAGTGTAACGGGGTAAATTTAAATCAGGGAGACAGACTTCAATGGATGTAACATTTGAACTGAGAGGTGAATGGTATGAAGCAAACACCCATTCAGAAGATCTAGGGACAGAAAGTTTCAAGCAGATGACAAACAAGTACAAAAGCCCTAAGGCAAGGATGTACTTGGAGGGTTCCACAACAGAAAGAAGGCTAGCGTAAGTGTAATGGGCCAAATGTTAGGTAGTACTCTGTTGGAGAGCTGGGTTGGGATTATGTAAGAACTTGCAAGCCTAAGGGTTAAGGAGCTGAGTTTTTGTTAAAGCCAATTAGAAGCTATGAAGGGTTCAAACTAGGCAGTCGTGTGATATAATTACGATTTAAAGATATAATTCTCAAGCCAAGTGCGGTAGCTCATGCCTGTAATTCCAGCACTTCAGGAAGCTGAGGCCAGAGGATTGCTTGAGCCCTGGAGTTAAAGACCAGCCTGGGCAAGATGGCCAGACCTCATCTCCACAAAAAAATGAAAACATTAGCTGGTGTGGTAGTGCATGCCTGTAGTCCTAGATACTCAGCAGGCTGAGGTGGGAGGATTCCTTGAGCCCAGGAGTTCAAGTATGCAGTAAGCTGTGATTGTGCCACTGCACTCCAGCCTGGACAAGAGAGCAAGACTTTGTCTCTAAAAAAAATTTTTAAAAAAATGTATATAATTCTCAGGACAGGTGCATGCAGAAGCTCACACTTACAATCCCAACACTTTGGGAGGCCAAAGCAGAAAAATCCCTTGAGGCTAAGAGTTCAAGACCAGCCTGGGCAACAGAGCAACACCATGTCTCTACAAAAAATTTAAGAATTAGCCAGGCAAGGCGGTATACATCTGTAGTCCTAGCTACTTGAGAGGCTGAGGTGGGGGATCGCTGGAGCCCAGGAGTTCAAGGTTACAGTGAGCTATGATTGTGCCACTACACTCCAACTTGGGTGACAGAGCAAGACCTGTCTCTAAAAATAAATATGGTCAGGTGTAGTGGCCCATGTCTGTAATCCCAGCACTTGGGAGGCTGAGGTGGGCGATCACTTGAGCCCAGGAGTTTGAGACCAGCCTGGGCAACGTGGTGCATCCCCATCTACACTAAAAGTACAATCTGGTCATGGTGGCATACTTGTAGTCTCAGCTATTCGGGAGGCTAAGGTGGGAGAATCACTGGAGCCCAGGAAGTCAAGGCTGCAGTGATCCAGCCACTGCACTCCAGCCCAGGTGACAGCGATACCCTGTCTCAAAAATTAGTTAATTAAAAATATATATACACGCACACATCTACATATATAATTCAGCCTAATATGTACAAACATTGTAAAGGAGCAAGAGAGAAAAAGCAGAATGATTAACTAAGGAGGCTACTGCAGTGGTCAAACCCTTTGGTAGTTTGGATCAGAGTACTGACTAGCAAAAGATGAAAAGAAATAGCAAGCTATGGATACACTGTAGAGGGAGAGCCACAAGGAGTTCCTGATGGATGGATTCATACCTTCATGCATTTGCACATACTGTTCTTCACTCATGCTTCCAAATCTGTCTGCCTAGAAAACTCCTAAGTATCCTTTAAACCACAATTTAAATCTCACCTCTGCATAAAACTGTCTCCAATCTGCCCAGCCCAATTAGTTGTTAAATTATCTATATTCCCAGAGAACCCTGAATATGTGCCTAATCTACCATTTACCACTCTATGTTTTACCCACATACATCCTTACTAGCCCGCAAGGGGAAGAGTAAGCAAGAGCCAAATCTCATTTATCTGTATAACTCCTCCAGTGGCCATCTCATACCGTCCCTACCAACAGGCTTCTAAAAAGCTCAATAAGTGGTTGCAATACTTATCAAACAGAGATTTAATATTCAGAGAGCTACCTAAAATTTGTTAAGAATCTAGTAATCTTTTCTAAAACTTCTCTTCGTTCAGATCGTCAGAAGAAAAGATAGGGCTTTCCCACTTCTCATCTAAATTTTATTCTTACCACACCTTTTTAACATTAAAATAAACCTCAAATACTTCTGGAAAAGGGAGATAAATAAAACCATATAATTGGTGTAATTTGACTAACACATCAAATAGTATGAATAACTACCTTATTGAAGGCAGCATAGTTTGCTGAAATGTTTGTGCAAACACTGGCAATAACCTTTTCAAGTATATGGGTGCCATTTCCGGATCTCCTTTGGGCTCATTACATTCTTCTTCATCTTTGTTTGTATCTTTCTTTTTCTTATCATCTCCTTTATTAACTGGACACATCCAATCACCTACAGACAAATATTTTTTAAAGAAATACTTTTTTGGAAACTTTTGCTTTCAAGGAAAAAAACCTTAAGATATATCCAACTTCAAATAATAATTATCTCTAATTAACAAATACACTGAAATTAGAACATTGTTTCAATGATGCTTATAAGAATACTAAAGAGCACTAGTAACTTCAATGTGCTCAATAACAAATTAAGAAGATAATTTTGGATACTCCACTTCGTTCCAAAAATTATTTCACAGAGCTTCTGGATTCATCAACCCTCTGAAAACTTAAAACTTTGGTCAGCCGGGAGCAGTGGCTCACGCCTGTAATCCCAGCACTTTGGGAGGCCGAGACGGGCGGATCACGAGGTCAGGAGATCGAGACCATCCTGGCTAACACGGTGAAACCCCGTCTCTACTAAAAATACAAAAAAAATTAGCTGGGCACGGTGGCGGGTGCCTGTAGTCCCAGCTACTAGGGAGGCTGAGGCAGAAGAATGACGTAAACCCGGGAGGCGGAGCTTGCAGTGAGCCGAGATAGCGCCATTGCACTCCAGCCTGGGCGACAGAGCAAGATTCCACCTCAAAAAAAAAAAAAAATTTTTTTTGGTCAAACTACCTATCTAAACAATACCAAAGTATTCTTTATCTGACATTCCCATATTCCTTGAACTTTAGATTTTGGTTATTCTGGAATCAGGCAGTCACAATCTCAAAGAACATAGAAAATTAAGCTGTTAAACAGGTTTATTAAATATAAGGATATACATATATAATTATTTGACTTCATAGGAATAGTTCATTTATATAAGGTTAATGTGTCTACAGAAAGCTATGGAAGTGAAAGCTGAAAAATAACAGTAGATGGCTTCAAAAGAAAGAATGTAGCTCTCACCTGGAGACTGAAGAATAGCTACCACTTCACTATGGCCCCTTTCTCGAGCTTTATCTAATGGAGTTTTCCCATCTTCATCTCTCAGATCTGGATTTGCACCATGCCGTAACAGAGTCTAGAGAAGAAAAGCATTTAATTTGAATATAACAATACTTTATTTCTTTGACATCCAACTATGTAAACTAAAGATTTTCCAGAATTACTTAATCAAGCAGGTGGCAATCCATATCTCTGCCTTTGCACTTAGTACCTTAAAAGCAGCCTATTCTGTAATCTCAGCACTTTGGGAGGCCGAGGTGGGTGGGTCACCTGAGGACGGAAGTTCAAGGCCAGCCTGACCAACCTGGAGAAACCCCGTCTCTACTAAAAATACAAAATTAGCCGGGTGTGGTGGCGCATGCCTGTAATCCCAGCTACTTGGGAGGCTGAGGCAGGAGAATCGCTTGAACCCAGGAGGCAGAGGTTACAGTGAGCCAAGATCGCTTGAACCATTGCACTCCAGCCTGGTCTACAAGAGTGAAACTCCATCTCAAAAAACAATACAAAGCAGCCTATCGTAACTTGAAAAACTTATGAATTAATTGTACTTGGTTATTTATCATCATCTCAAATTAAGTATATTCCATCTTAACATGTCACCTTCTCCATCAAACTCTGCCTCCCAATTTCTTTAAAGAGAGGTACTGTTTAATTTATGATCTGGCAATCAATGACATCGCCTCCTATATACTGCCAATTACCAAGTTAAGTCAAATTAAATTTTAGACCAAAAAGTCAACCAGGTGTGGTAGCTCACGCCTATAATCCCAGCACTTTGGGAGGCTACACCGGAGGATCACTGGAGGCCAGGAGTTCAAGATCAGCCTAGGCAACATGGTGAGAGCTCGTCTCTACAAATAATACATAAATAACAAAATAAAAATAAAAATTAGCCAGTATGGTGGCACACGCCTATAGTTCTATAGTGACTCCGGAGGCTGAGGCAGGAGGATCACTTGAGCCCAGGAATTCAAGGTTACATGAGCTATCATTGTACCACTGCACTCCAGCCTGTGAGACAGAGCAATACCCTATTTCAAAAATAAAAAGTCATCAATATATCCACCTCTATACCCACTAACACCTTAAACCTTTCATAATTTCATACCCAGACTAATTAATCACAATGGCTCAATAAAAACTTTTTTGCTAACAGCTGACTTTAAAAGTACTTGAAAGGGAAACTCTAAAACCTTCTTTGCTCACTCAGTATTAGTCACCCTTAGAAGCATCATTCTCTCTAAAAACTAACCAATTCAAACAAATAGAATTCAGGCTTGAAGAGACCATCCTTCACAGGCTAGAAAGCTACGAACCTGTTATTGAAAATGTTGTTGTAGTGTAAAGATGACAATAATAGCAGCTACCATTTGAGCACCTGCAATATGCTGATTACTACAGTAAATCTATACAATATATTTTTCTAATTCTCACAATAATCTTGCTAAGAATATATACTTATTTTATAGACAAACTTAATAAATTGTCCAAGATCATATAGCCTTTTTTGTGCATAAGCTGAGACTCGAATCCAGGCATGCACAACTTCAGAGTGGACTAACCTCGTACTATACCAAATAACTTCACGATTGGCAGATTACAGACACCTAGTTCATACATTTGATGTAAACCTTTCCATTTAACCTCTTTGGACCTCAATTTCTCTAACTGTAAAAATAACTCCCCAAAGTCCTTTGCTAGTCTGAGTCTAGTGATTCTTCTACAAACAGAGTATTTGGCTGGGTGCAGTGGCTCACACCTATAATCCCAGCACTTTGGGAGGACAAAGCAGGTGGATCACTTGAGGCTAGGAGTTTGAGACCAGCCTGGCCAACATGGCAAAACCCTGTCTCTACTATAAGTACAAAAACTAGCCAAGCATGATGGCACACGCCTATAATCCCAGCCACTTGGGAGGCTGAGGCACGAGATCGTTTGAACACAGGAATTCAAGGCTGCAGTGAGTCGCTACTGTGCCACTGCCCTCCAGCCTGGGTGACAGAGCAAAACCCTGTCTCAAAAAAAAAAGAAAAGGAATATTTTATTGATGAATACAAACAAGAGAAAATATAGGCAAAGTTATTCATTGCCAAGAGTAACAAATTGGAAACAATCACACGTTCAACACTAGGTGACTAGTTGAATAAACTTGTAGTACAGGATATGCATACAGATATAAAAAAGTTCTCTACATGCTAACAGGGAGAGATCTCTAATTTATATTATTAAGTAAAAAAACAAAGTACAGGTGAGTGTATAAGAAAAGGAGGGAACACATATATATATATTTGTTTTTATTGAATCTGTATTAGGAAACACTAAAAAGAAAAAACTAATTAAAAACACTTACAGTGAGTAAGGGGGAATGAAGTGGATGGAGATGGCATGGAAATAAAAGGTTTTATATCATTCTAATTTTTAAACCATGTAAATGTTAAAAATTAGTAATTTTAAAACCTAGACTTTACCTTTGCTACTTGAGGTCTTCCAAAACATGCAGCATAATGTAATGATGATGACCTTTGACCTCTATTAACATCTGCACCTCTCTCACAAAGAAATTCTACCTGTAAAATGATAACGAATCATAAAGCTGCTTTTTATTAATATTTCTATCCTTAATTTAAATACCAGCTTTTATTTATTAGCTTACCATTTCCTGAGTTCCAAAAGCAGAGGCCCAGTTTAATAGAGTCTGACCTACATCATCCATAAAATTTACTTCAAAGGCTGAAATTTTGAAGGAAAAAAAAAGAAACGTATTTTTAAAGCCAATAAAATACTAAACTTTTCTAAAGACTGAACCATTTTAAGATCGTCATTAGTCATCATCTAAATAAAGAGCCAAGAGAGTGTTTTAAATATTTAGGTCAACTATAGAGCAGTACATAATCAGCAAACTTGAGATCAGCTAAGAAAAAGTATTTAAGTCCAGGCACCGTGGCTCACGCCTGTAATCCCAGCACTCTGGGAGGCCGAGGTGGGAGGAGGTCAGGAGTTTGAGACCAGCATGGCCAACATGGTGAAACCCCATCCCTACTAAAAACACAAAAATTAGGCGGGTGTGGTGGCACATGCCTGTAATCCCAACTACTTGGGAGGCTGAGACAGGAGAATCGCTCAAACCCAGGAGGCAGAGGACGCAGTGAGCCAAGATTGTACCACTGCACTCCAGCCCGCACAACAGAGCGAGACTCTGTCCCCCTACTAAAAAAAGAAAAAACATTTGAAAATGTTTAAACCACTGGAGATTCACAAGGCTTTAAGTCTTAAAAATAAACATGAAATAACAAAGGAAAATACTAAATACACAACTAAATAAGGTAGTAGTTGCTAAAAGAGGCTAATCCACATCCATAATCCAAAGAACACAGAAGAACAAATCTGATGACCCAGAAGCATCTTTCAGGAATTATATTTGCTCATCACCTCATGTAGCAGTCAAAAAAAATCTGCATTATTATAATTCATTCACATCAGTTCCTATCAATCTTGAGAAAACCTTAGAATTTATAAGATCTCCTTCAGGTAATAAAACAGAAATTTCAAACTTTATAGAAGTTTTACCCATTCAACAAGCATTTATTCAGGTTTCACCAAGAACCAAGCTGATAATTACATAATTATGCACAGGGATAGGGGAGAATATCGAAGGGGTGCCACTTTGTTATCTGGATTTCTAAGAGTACTGTCCGAAAACTAGAAACTGCCTATATGGTTATCTCACAACTTTCTTTTTATATTTAAAAAAATATTTTCTGACCTCCTGTGTCAATTGCATCTATAAGTGCATCGGTATCTTTACTTCGAATACAATCTATAAGCTGCCGATGTGAGCGCTCCCCAGAACTATCTAATCTCCGGAGTCCTGGGATTCTGCCTGTAGATCCAGCACTAGACTTTGGCAAAGCTTTTCGTCCTTCAAATAATAGCACCAAGAGAAGGTCAACCAAACGCATAGTATCAAGCACACATCTTTCATCACCCTGCAATGCACTTTCAATTGAATCTGGAAGCTCCGACCTCAGAAGATCCTAGAAAGAGAATGGGAAGAAAGATGTTTAATATATTAGCATTATACAAAAACACTTTTTCTGAAGATTAAAAAGCAAAGATTCAAAAACATTCTTACATGTGTTACTACCGGAGAGCCTCTGCAAAGTGTTGAGAGCAGACTTACAATTGTTGACACCTGATTACTCAATTTGGAATCTGCAGTGGTGGATGGAGCTCCTGTGGTGCTGCGACCTGGTTTGCATGCTGATGATGGTCCTGAAACAGTACCACCAGCAGCAGCCATTCGAGATAACAGCTCCTCAGTTAATCCATGCTTGGCTAATGGAGCTGGGTCAACACCACGACGGGTAAATCGGTCAGCCAGTGATGCAAAGCATCGCAGAGCTCCATCTGAAACCTAACAATGTGAAGAAAATGCCCACAGATAAAATCCACCTAAAAAGGGTTAGTAATGATCATTTCAATACTGACACTATAAGAAAGGCAACTGCAGCAAAGTGATTAAGCATGTGATCTGCCTATTGAATCGTGGCTCCATATACTGCTAACTGTGTAATCCGAGGAAGTTACTTAAACTGCTTAAGGCCTCAGTTCCCTCATTTGTAAAATGGGGATATTAATGGTACCTATATCTCATTGTGTTAGCTTAAATGAGGTAACACATATAAAGAATCTAGATGGATAATAAAAGCTCAAAAATATTAACTATTATTATGTGTACCTTTGTCATGATAATCTATGATATCAACTGAAAATAACATCTGAACAATAAAAAGTCATTAAAAGCCAAGTTTTATTTTCTAAAGTATGCTAATTCAATAAGGATTTACAGATAAGATTATAAATACTGTCTTATGCCTGGCACAGTGGCTCACGCCTGTAATCCCAGCACTTGGGGAGACTGAGGTGGACAGATCACAAGGTCAGGAGTTCAAGAACAGCCTGGCCAATATGGTGAAACCCTGTCTCTACTAAAAATACAAAAATTAACCAGGCGTGGTGGTGGGCACCTGTCGTACCAGCTACTTGGGAGGCTGAGGCAGGACAATCGCTTGAACCCGGGAGGCAGAGGTTCCAGTGAGCCAAGATCATGCCACTGCACTCCACCCTGGGTGACAGATCAAGACTCCATCTCAAAAAAAAAATAATAAAAATAAAAAATACCGTCTTATTTAAATGAGATCTATCTTAAGTCAACAAAATCAGGTCAACAAAATTGCACCAAGTCAGCAAAATTACACTCAGTACAAGTACAGCTGTAAAAACATTTTTATGATATTTAAATTTTAAGAATAAACATATATCACACTTATAATCTTAAAAGTTTCATTCCCAAAATGGAGATTACCACATGCAGAGATAAAATTAGAGAAAGAGGATGGAATTACCTCGATTTCATCAAGTGAAAAGCACAAATTACAGTCTATCATAATTATAAACAGGGGAACACTAAAAAAATCACTTTCTGAAAATGGAAAGTATGTAACAGCAACTTATTTACCTGATGATCTTCATGCTTTAATAAACTAGACAGAGATTCTACACAAATTTCTAAAGAAGAATCTTGAGGCTCCATTTTGCCACAGAGTCTTGATACCACAGCCATAGCAGAGTGCAAGGTGTCTTTATGAACTAGATGTCCACTGTCACGAATGAAGGTAAGCACACAATTCAAACCACCAGCCTCAAAGACTGCTCCTGACTCACGAGTACATATCAGTTCTAATACCTATAATAGTAAAACAAATGTAACGAAAGAATGCAAGCCTGATTTTCAAGAATCACAGAAACAATGCGCTCTCCAAATTTATTAGTGACACATTAAAAACAGAAAAGTGAAACAAATGAAATTAATTTTAATAATACATTTTAGATGGGTGTGGTAGCTCACACCTGTGATCCCAGCACTTTGGGAGGCCAAGGTTGGCAGTTCGCTTGAGCCCAGAAGTTCAAGACTAACCTGGGCAACACGGCAAAACCTGATGTCTACAAAACATACAAAAAATTAGCCAGGCATAGTAGTGGCATGTGCTATAGTCCCAGCTACTCAGGAGGTTGAGGTGAGAGGATCACTTGAGCCCAGGAGGTCAAGGCTGCAGTGAGCCATTATCGCCCATTGCATTCCCATCCTGGGCAAGAGAGTGAGACTCTGTCTCAAAAAATAATAGTAACAGCTGGGCATGGTGGCTCACGCCTGTAATCCCAACACGTTGGGAGGCCGAGGCGGGTGGATCACTTGAGGTCAGGAGTCCAAGACCAGCCTGACCAACATGGAGAAAACCTGTCTCTACTAAAAAATATCAAATTAGCCGGGCATGGTGGCGCATGCCTCTAATCCCAGCTACTCGGGAGGCTGAGGCAGGAGAATCATTTGAACCTGGGAGGCGGAGGTTGTCGTGAGCCGAGATCGCGCCACTGCACTCCAGCCTGGGCAACAAGAGTGAAACTCTGTCTCAAAAAAAAAAAATAATAATAATAATATTTTTTATTTAACCCAATATATCCAGGCATCATCATTTCAACATGAAATCAATATAGAAAATTACTGATATATATTATAGTCTTTTATGTATAGTCTTTAAAAATGCATGTATACTTTATACTTATAATGCATCTCTATTTGGAGTGGCCACATTTGAAGTGTTCAATAGACTTATTTGGCTACCATATTGGACAGTGCAGGTTTAGAAAGTGACATCTGTATGGCAAGGTAAAGAACTACAAGTAATTTAGCAAAAGCTCATAATAATACTCTAACACTATTTGTCTTTTTCATTATCATTCTCATGAGTCTAGGGTAGCATTTTCCAGAAGCTAAGCATGATGTGATACTGTACAAGACTGAATGCAAAAGCAGACAGGAGGATCCAGCTGTCTACTGTAAAAACAGAGTGTTCTTAAGAGACTTGCAAAAATGCCTAACAATTCCAGTCTTCTCACTAACTTTGTTTATTTAAAAAGGTTATTTTTCATTAACCTGTTATGTATAACATGTAATTAATTTATTTTAAGATAAATAAATACTTTAAATTTATCAGTTTCAGTATCTAATATGGTAAATAAATAGACAAAACCTATATGAACAAAAGCTCTTTGGGTATCCTCAATTATTTAAGACTTGTAAGGGGATCCTGAGACAAAAAATTTGAGAACTGCTGACCTAAAGCAGCAAAAATTATAAAAAGAATGAAGCAGAAATCATTAAAAAAAAAAAAAAACAAGAAAAGAAAAAAGAATCAGGGGCCAGTCACAGTGACTCAAGCCTGTAATCCCAGCAGCACTTTGGGAAGCCGAGGCAGGTAGATCACCTGAGGTCAGGAGTTCGAGACCAGCCTGGCCAACATGGTGAAACCCCATCTCTACTAAAAATACAAAAAATTAGCCGCGCATGGTGGCACGCGCCTGTAGTCCCACCTACTCAGGAGGCTAAGGCAGGAGAACCGCTTGAACCCAGGAGGCAGAGGTTGCAGTGAGCTGAGACTGCACCACTGCACTCCAGCCTGGGAGACAGAGCAAGACTATCTCTCAAAAAAAAAAAAAAAAAAAAAATCATGTAAAATCTCAATGTATTCACCACAAATAGTTCCAAAAAAGTATGGATCTAGCACTAATGCTTTTAGAGTTACATAAAGACAACAGCTTACTTTACAGGGAATATAGCAAAATAGTTAAATCCCTGGGCCCTAGAACCAAACTTCCTAATCTTCAAATTCCTAAACTTCAAGTCTTGACTCTTCTGCTCACTACTCCCAAGTATGTTCCTTAACCTCAGCATACTTGAATTTCTTTCATCTGTAACAGAGAAATGATAATATTCGGCTGGGGGTGGTGGCTGACACCTACAATCCCAGCACTTTGGGAGGCCAAGGCAGGGGGATCACAAGGTCAGGAGTTCAGGACCAGCCCGGCCAACACAGTGAAACTCCATCTCTACTAAAAATACAAAACAAATTAGCCGGGCGTGGTGGTGGGCACCTGTAGTCCCAGCTACTTGGGAGACTGAGGCAGGAGAACCGCTGGAACTGGGAGGTGGAGGTTGCAGTGAGTCAACATCGTGCCACTACACCCCAGCCTGGGAGACACAGCAACTGTCTCAAAAACAATAATAATAATAATAATAATAATACTATTCCTGGCACCAACCTATCCCATATAGGGTTGCTGTGAAGATTAAATGAGTTAATACCTTAAAGTGCTTAGAATAATGTCTAGCACTGGTGGGTGGTGTTTGTTGTGGTGGTGATTGTTACTATTATAATACAAAATGATTTGGGTAAGAACAGGGATAACCTATCTCTAAGTGACTACCAGGAACTGAAGTGCACTGAAGCAGCACATAACATAGCAATCACCTACAGTTTTCCTTCTAAGATAAGATTTCTTTTCGCAAGTCCCATGGAACCTCCTTTGGTGCCACAAGTGTTGTGATTTCCACTGTTCTCAACTACTCTCAATAAAGTAAGACTGAAGATAGGAAGAATTTTTTTTTTTAGAAATTTTTTTTTTTTAGTAAATACATTTTTCAGTCTCTAAGTGATGTTTAAATGAGCCAATACTCATCCCTGAGAGGTCTGAGAAAAATAAGTAATGAGCCAATAAGTAATACTTACCTTTACACACTGTTCGGCTAAGTCTCTGCTAGTCCTGTTGTTAAGTTCAACTACAACCAAACGATTACAAAGTGCTTTTATAGCTCCATCTACCCCAACAATCCTTCGGGTACATTCCGCAGATACATCCAGGTAGTATGTTATGGCACGGGCTGTCACCTCTAATACATTGTCTGGAGCACTTTCATCAAGAAAAATTTTGCAAAGGGCTGGTAAGAAAGTGCGAGGAGGACATCTGTAGTGAAAGAAATCATATTACATCTAGGGTTATTAAATTCTTAACAGCAAAATATTAACAAAATAATAGAAAATAAAAAGTTATAATGTAACACACTGTGCTCAATACTGTGTCTGAATGTTTATTAGGTAATATTTCTCACATTGTTTTTGCTTCCATAACAATACTCACATGCTAATTTCATCGCTGCTGAGAATACCAAGGTGTAAATGGTTTAAAACAGCAGCATTAACTTGAAAGCATGTTTAAAAAAAAAAAAAATGGCCAGGCATGGTGGCCCATGCCTATAATCCCAGCACTTTGGGAGGCCGAGGCGGGCAGATCACCTGAGGTCAGGAGTTCAAGACCAGCCTGCCCAACATGGCGAAACCTCATCTGTACTAAAAATGCAAAAAATCAGCCGGGCGTGGTGACAGGCACCTGTAGTCCCAGCTACTCAGGAGGCTGAGGCAGGAGAATCCCTTCCGGGAGATGGAGGTTGCAGTGAGCCGAGATTACGCCACTGTACTCCAGCCTGGGCAACGAGAGCAAAACAAACTCTGTTTCAAAGAAAAAAAAAAAAAAAAAATTCAGCGCTCACCTCAAACATGAACTGCTCTATGAAACCCTCCTTAAGCTCCCAAATACTTAAGTGGTACTTTCATGTTCCTTAACCCTCATAAAAGCAGCACATACACTGTTTAATGTATCACTTTATTTCCTTATTCACTTAAAATCCCAGAAGGCCAGGAACACTGCTCAATTCATATTTTTCAGAAAGAAGCACTGATTTGGGGTCTAAAAGACTGGGGTGAAAAAAAGAACAGCAACTGTGTGACTTTTCTGCGTCTGTTTCCTTACTTATAAAGCATAAGTAATAGCTAAATAACACCTACTTTAGGTCAGGCACAGTGGCTCATGCCTGTAATCCTTGCACTTTGGGAGGCCGAGGCAGGCAGATCACTTGAGGTCAGGAGTTCAAGAACAGACTGGCCAACACAGTAAAACCCCGTCTCTACTAAAAATACAAAAATTAGCTGGGCATGGTGGCACATGCCTGTAGTCCCAGCTACTTGGGAGGCTGAGGCAGGAAAATCACTCAAGCCCAGGACAGGGAGGTTGAAGTGAGCTGATATTGCGCCACTGCACTCCAGCCTGGGTGACAGAGCAAGACTACATCTCAAAATAAATACATAAAATAAAATAAAATAAAATAAAACAAAATAAAATAAATAATAATACTTTATATGGTTATGAAGATTAAATGAAATCATACACATTAAAAACAGCTCAGTGCCTAGCATATTAAACTAAACTTTAGCCCCCATCCTCTCCCTTTAACAGTCTAATGCTTATTACACAAACCTGTCCAAGATAGTTCCATCAAAAACAGAATTTTTGAGATATCATTAATACTCCCTATATTTTATCAACACTTAAAATATGAAAAGATCATAATTTACATTTAGTAGAAATCTCAGCTATGTGACATCAAATACATTATTCTAGTTTCTCTAGACAGACTAAACTACAGCTACAGACAACACAAAGGGTAATACCCTCAACATTTTAATGGAATAATTTATCTTCCTATTCTTAGTGTATGCAAATGAGTACTTCCCATACCTTTAGTAGCCTTTAAGAAATATCTGTATGAGGCCAGGCCCGGTGGCTCACGCCTGTAATCCTTGCACTTTGGGAGGCTGAGGCAGGTGGATCACCTGAGGTCAGGAGTTCAAGACCAGCCTGGCCAACATGATGAAATCCCGTCTCTACTAAAAATACAAAATAATTAGCCGGGTATAGTGGCAAGCACCTGTAATCCCAGCTACTCAGGAGGCTAAGGCAGGAGAATTGCTTGAACCTGGGAGGTGGAGGTTGCAGTGAGCTGAGATCATGCCACTGCCTGGGCAACAAGAGCAAAACTCCGTCTTAAAAAAAAAAAATCTGTATGAATGTTAAAGTATATCTAATTCTATGGTTTAATATCTGCTTAGATGATTCTTAACTTAAAGGGTCCAGAAGAAAGAATACTGTTAAAAAAATTTTAGGGCCCGTATGGCGGCTCACACTTGCAGTCTCAGCACTTTGGGAGGCTGAGGCAGTTCAAGATCAGCTTGGCAACATGGCAAGACTCACTATTAAAAAAATACATAAAAATAAAAAAATTTTAGAAGACATCTTTCATGCAATGACTGAGTAATCATTGATTAAACACAGGTTTTTGTTTGTTTTTTGATAGTCTCGTTCTGTTGACCAGTGCAGTGGCATAATCTTGGCTCACTGCAGCCTCTGTCTCCCATGTTCAAGCAATTCTTGTGCCTCAACCTCCAGGGTAGCTAGGATTACAGGCACACGCCACCACACACAGCTAATTTTTGTATTTTTACTAGAGATGGGGTTTCACCATGTTGGCCAGGCTGGTATTGAACTCCTGGCCTCAAGTGATCTACCCACCTCAACCTCCAAAAGTGCTGGGATTACAGGCATGAGCCACTCCACCCAGCCAGAGGTGTTTTTTACTAGCCAGCAACACTGGCAACCTATGACATATAGTCATTTGTAATATTTCTAAGTCAGGAATTAAATGCCTTGAGGCTAGGTTGTAAGAGCTAGTCCAGCAGTTCTCAGGTAAGGTCACAAAACTGCCTAGCATATCAGAATCTTAAGCCTTGTTAGAGCATACTACATATGCTCTATATATGCATATGTAGTAGATGGAAGAAATGAAAAGAGACTGTTAAAGTGTTAATACTAAAGAAAAAACACAGTCTAAAAGAGTAATGTGTTTTCTTTAGAAAATAGTAGTTTTTTGAATAAAGAATAAAATGAAGTTGATAGTCCAAGTATCAAATGACAAGAATAGATTTACCATATGCTTTATAGTAATACAATTATTCATCCATTTTTCTTACCCAGGGTAAAAACTGTACATCAAAAAAAAAATAAAATTTAAGAGCAATGCTTAGTATAAACTTAATACATTTCATGGGGGAATGTAGTATTTGCTAATTTGGGGAATAATAGTTCCTGCTGTGTTCCCTAAAATGCGATGCATTTCCTGAACAAGTATAGTTAAAGAGCCAGTTTAGGCTGGGTGCAGTGGATCACTCTGTAATCCCATCACTTTGGGAAGCCAAGATGCTCCCATCTTGAGTGCTTGAGTCCAGGACTTCAAGAACAGCCTGGGCATCACAAGGAGACTTCATCTCTACAAAAAAATGAAAAACCAAGCCAGGCTGGTAGTGTGCACCTGTGGTCCCAGCTACTCGGGAGGCTGAGGCAGGAAGCTCATGTGAATCCAGGAAATCAAGGCTACAGTGAGCCATGATCGCACCTGTGCACTCCAGCCTGGGTGACAGAGCAAGACCCTGTCTCAAAAGAAAAAAAAAAAAAAACAACAACAAAAAAACAGAGCCAGTTTCAAAAAGGTCAAAACCCAGAAAGCTCTAACCTCATAGGGTATCAGATTTTAATTGTGATCAACTGTGTTCCTAAGAAATATCTGTTGTGCCTTGGCTATTGGACAGAAAAACCAATTTGTTTTTTTAGCTGTTGAGTTACTTTTTCAACAGTAACAAGGTATCCGGGGCATATTCCTACATACGTAAAATGCACTTTTTTTTATATCAAGGTTTCAAGGAAAATCAAAGAATGTCTTTTTCTTTTTTTTTTTTTTGACAGTCTCGCTCTGTCACCCAGGCTGGAGTGCAGTGACACCATTTCGGCTCACTGCAACCTCCGCTTCCTGGGGTCAAGTAATTCTCCTGCCTCAGCCTCCTGAGTAGTTGGGACTACAGGCACCTAACACATGCCCGGCTAATTTTTGTATTTTTAGTAGAGAATGGGGTTTCACCATGTTGGCCAGGCTGATCTAGAACTTCTGACCTCAAATGATCTACCCATCTAGGCCTCCCAAAGTGCTGGGGTTACAGATGTGAGCCACTGCGCCCAGCCTCTTTTTTTTTTTTCCAGACAGGGTCTTGCTCTGTCGCCCAGGCTGGAGTGCAGTGGTGTAATCATGGCTTACTGCAGCCTCAACCTTCTAGGCTCAACCTTCCTCCCACCTCAGCCTCCCAAGTAGCTGGGACCACAGGTGTATGCCAACACGCCGAGCTAGTTTTTAAAAATTTTTTTGTAGAGATGCAGTTTTGCCATGTTGCCCAGGCTGGTCTCGAACTCCTGAGCTCAAGCAATCTGTCCACCTCAGCCTCCCAAAGTGCTGGGATTACAGGCATGAGCCACTGTGTCCAGCCAATATTCCTATTAAACTAGTTACATGATAATGAGATTTTTCTTTCTGTGAGTTTTGCTAATAAAAACTCACATTACTGGCCAGGCGCAATGGCTCACGCCTGTAATCCCAGCACTTTGGGAGGCCGAGGCGGGCAGATCACTTGAGCTAAGGAGTTCGAGCCCAGCCTGGCCAACATGGTGAAGTCTCATCTCTACTAAGAATATAAAAATTAGCCAGCATGGTGGTGTGCGCCTGTAGTCCCAGCTACTTGAGAGGCTGAGGCAGAAGAATGGCATGAACCCGGGAGGCAGAGCTTGCAGTGAGCCAAGATCAAGACACTGCACTCCAGCCTGGGCAATAGAGTGAGACTCTGTCTCAGAAATTAATAATTAAAAAAAAAAAAACTCACATTACTATAAGCTACTATTATGAATACATTAATTGCCAATGCAAAAGGAAATCAGCTGGATTAGGCAGACTCCTTTCATTTACGTGGTATTTCCTGTAATACAGCCACTGATTTACGGCAAATACAGCCAAATTCTTGAAAATTATCTCTTTAATACGAAAACTTAACTAAAATTTACTTTACACACAAAAAAGGTAAAAAAAAATCCCAGATTCCTAAAAATAAAGCAAGAAATTTGATGTAAAACTCAGTAACCCTCTAGCAATCAGTATGTGAAAACATATACATTAAAAAAAATAAATTATATAGAATTTGTTATATTTTATTTAAAATATACATAAATATAATTATACTGTATTTATGTGAAATGTATTAGCAAAAAGGTTTACATGAGTAACAAATTTTTGAAAGTTAACTCAAAGTTAATATACTTGGATACCTCTCATGCTAACAATACTTACCTAACAGAACAGGTAAATTTGCTCTAAAGTTTATTCTGTTATAAATTCAGTTGCTCATAAGTGAGGTTTTAAAAATAACAGGTTTTTTTCTTAAGGGATTCAAGTGTATATTATTTCCCCTTTATCTGTTAATTTATAATAGACTAGCATAGCAAATAAAATTTGCAACACATGAAATTATAGTGTATGAAACTCAAGATGGGTCAAAATTATCTGAAGTGAACAATGTTAAATTCAGTCTTCAGAGAAGAGAAATTCTGCTGAACTCAGTGGAGGGCCTTTTAAGTCAAAAACTATTCCAATAATTTTGTGTCATCACTACTCAACTTAAAACTTATGAGAATTCTTGAAATAGTAAAATTTTGTCTTTTTTTTTTTTTTTAAGACAGGGTCCCACTCTGTCACCCAAGCTAAAGTGCAGTGGCGCGATCTTGGCTCACTGTATCCTTGACCTCCCAGGCTCAAGCAATCCTCTCAAATCAGCCTCCCAAGTAGCTGGGACCACAGGCATGCACCACCATACCCAGTTAATTTTTTTATTTTTGGTAGAGACAAGTTCTTGCTATGTTGCCCAGGCTAGTCTTGAACTCCTGGGCTCCAGCAATCTTCCCATCTCGGACTCCTAAAGTGCTGGGATTACAGGTGTGAGCCACCACACCTTGCCCAAAATAATAAAATTTTAAGTGGTTATAAAGACATATTATTCAAGTGAAAATAGATGTAATCATTATCTTACACATAATTCTAAAAACTTTTCTTTAAAACAACTTTAAAACACTATTAGAAGATTCCTAACAAAAGTACTCAATTAAAATACAGGTTAAGCCATGCACAGTAGCTCACTGCTGTAATCCTAGCTACTCAGAAGGCTGAGGCAGGATGATCACTTGAGCCCAGGATTTCTAGACCAGCCTAGGCAAGATAGGGAGACCCGTCTCTAAAAAAAAGATTAAAAAATTAGCCAGCTGGGTGCAGTGGCTCACACCTGTAATCCCAGCACTTTGGGAGGCCGAGCCAGGTGGATCTCTTGAGCTCCTAAGAGTTTGAGACCAGGCTGGACAACAAAGTGAGACCCTGTCACTACAAAAAATACAAAAAGCCAGGCATGGAGGCGTGCACCTGTGGTCCCAGCTACTTGGGAGGCTGAGGTGGGAGGATGGCTTGAGTCTGAGAGGCAGAGGTTGCAGTGAGCCAAGATCACGCCACTGCACTCTAGCCTGGGTAAGCCACACCCTGTCTCAAAAAAAAATTAGCTGGCATAGTGGCGCATGCCTGCAGTCGCAGCTATTTGGGAGGCTGAGGCAAGAGGATCACTTGAGCCCAGGAGTTCAAGGCTGCAGTGAGCCATGATCACGCACAATGCACTTTAGCCTGGGCAACAGAGTAAGATTCTCTTAAAAAATATATGTATACACAGACATACACATACACACACATATGCATATAGGTTAATAGTATTTATTCACAACTGAAAAGCCAATTACAAAATCTCAAAAATCTAACTATAAATCAAGCAAAGACATTGGGAAGAAAATGCCAACATTAATTACTGAATTCTAAAAAATACAGATAGTTGAGAGAATTGTATTACCTGAAAGTTCACATTGAAACTAAAAAAAATAACAAGTGTCATTTCCTAATAGATACTTGGCTGGATATTCTGCTTTAATACAGCCATTGTAATTTAAACAGATAAGATTTAAAAACTGATGCTTCTGGCCGGGCGCGGTGGCTCACGCCTGTAATACCAGCATTTTGGGAGGCCAAGGAGGACGGATCATGAGGTCAGGAGATCGAGACCATCCTGGCTAACACGGTGAAACCCCATCTCCACTAAAAATACAAAAAATTAGCTGGGTGTGGTGGCAGGCGCCTGTAGTTCCAGCTACTTGGGAGGCTGAGGCAGAATGGTGTGAACCTAGGAGGCGAAGCTTGCAGTGAGCCGAGATCGCACCACTGCACTCTAGCCTGGGCGACAGACAAAGAGAGACTCAGTCTCAAAACAAAAAACAGAAAAAAAAAAAACCTGATGCTTCCACTGTTAGGGAATTTCATAGCATCATTTTCAGAGAAACCCTGTGTTGACAGATAATTCAACTTGAGGCCAGGCATGGTGGCTGATGCCTGTAATCCCAGCACTTTGGGAGGCTGATGTGGGCAGGTCACTTGAGCCCAGGAGTTCGAGACCATCCTGGGCAACATGGTAAAACCTGGTCTCTACAAAAAACACAAAATTTAGCAGGTGTGGGGACACGTGCCTGAGGTCCCAGCTACTCAGGAGGCTGAGATGGGAAGATCACATGAGCCCAGGGAGGTCCAGGCTGCAGTGAGCCATAATTGTACATTGTACTCCAGCCTGGGCAACAAAGTGAGACCCTGTTTAAAAAAAAAAAGAAGATAATTCAACTTGACCTTTGTGGTTATTGGACAAGCACTCGACTACCTTCTATGAGCAAAACTCTCAAATCCCTTGCCCCATTTCTGGCTAAATGAACGACCCCCCACATTCCCTAGGTCTGAATCTATGTCAACAGGGATTGACAAAGAAAAAATATTCACATTATCAGGAAATTTGACCTTGCTATAAATTTACGATCACCAACCTTAAATGAGCACAATACCTAATAATTCTGCTACATTTCTTTCACGGTCTGGAATGAGTATTTTCTTCAATTTTCTCTCGATTTATGACTCCCCTGGTTTTCCACTCTAGCTTCCTTCCTAGATTCCCTCGTCATCTTTCCTATCTCTTTAATTACCTTTTTAATGGATTTCATCCATTCTCTTAGTTCATACACCACAAATATAAATCTCATCCACATATCACAAAAACTCCCTAAGTATTTTCTCCACCCTAGACTGACTCAATATCACTATCTCCATTTAGAAATATCACAGGCATCTTAAAATGAGTATATTCAAAACAAAACTCCTGATGTGTGCCTCTATTCCCAAATCTCCATCATAGTAAATGTCAACCATCCAGAAAGCCAAAAAGCTGAGAATCATTCTTGATTTCCCCCCATTTCACACCCAACCCATCAGTTAAATCCCACCAATTAGGCCAGGCATGGTGGCTCACACTTGTAATCCCAGCACTTTGGGAGGCCGAGCCGGGTGGATCACCTGAGGTCAGGAGTACGTGACCAGCCTGACCAACATGGTGAAACCCCATCTCTACTAAAAATACAAAAATTAGATAGGCGTGGTGGCACGTGTCTGTTATCCCAGCTACTGGGGAGGCTGAGGCATGAGAACTGCCTGAACCCAGGAGGCAGAGGTTGTAGTGAGCTGACATCACGCCACTGCACTCCAGCCTGGGCAACAAGAACGAAACTCGGTCTCAAAAAAAAAAAAAAAAAAAAATCCCACCAATTAAGCCCTCCAAAATATATCCTATGGGCCAGGCACAGTGGCTCATGTCTGTAATCCTAGCACTTTGGGAGGCTGAGGTGGGCAGATCACTTGAGGCAAATTCGAGACCAGCCTGGCCAACATGCGAAACCCCGTCTCTATTAAAAATACAAAAATCAGCCGGACGTGGTGGCACATGCCTGTAATCCCAGCTACTCGGGAGGCTGAGGCAGGAGAATCACTTGAACCTGGGAGGTGGAGGTTGCAGTGAGCCGAGATCGCACTACTGCACTCCAGCCTAGGCGAAAGAGCGAGAGAGACTCTGTCTCCAAAAAAAAAAAAAAAAAAAAAAAAACACCCAAAAAACAGGCCTGGCGTGGTGGCTCACGCCTGTAATCCCAGCACTTTGGGAGGCCAACGTGGGCAGATCACCTGGCTTACAGAGTTCGAGACCAGCCTCGCCAATGTGGCAAAACCTCGTCTCTACTAAAAAACACAAAAAATCAAATTAGCAAGGGGCAGTGGCTTGTGCCTGTAGTCCCAGCTCCCTGCTGGGAGGCTGAGGCAGGAGAATTGCTTGAACCCTGGAGGTGGAAGGGGCAGTGAGCCAAGATCACGCCACTGCATTTCAGCCTGGACGACAGAGTGAGACTTTCTCAAAAATAAAATAAAAGTAAATTAAATTAAAATAACCTCTAATCTAAGCCAACTTCAAAGTCTGGTTTGCACTACTGAAATAACCTCTTATACATCTACATAAGAGCTATGTCCAGCACTGGCACTGAGGAGCAGCATATCTGGAAAGAAGAGGAGATCATTCTGGTATAGGATATTACAGCATGAGCAAAGTGAACAGGACATTTGTGCAATGGAATGTCCCAGTGATGGGCAATTGATACATACAGAAGAATTGATCAAATAAATATATGAAGGATAATGGGAAGGATAATGTTTCTCACTGAAGGAAAAGAGAACTGAAAATACAGAAAGAGAAAACTAGCATGAGCCCTGTGGTGTTAGATTAGAACTAGAGATACTTGTATGAACTCATGGTTTTTTGTTTTTCTTTGTTGTTGTTGATTTTTGAAACGGAGTCTCACTCTATCACCGGAGTGCAGTGGCACAATCTCATCTCACTGCCTTCTGGGTTCAAGCAATTCTCCTGCCTCAGCCTCCCAAGGAGATGGGACTACAGGCACAAGCCACTGGGCCTGGCTAATTTTATTTTTGTATTTTTTAGTAGAGACGGGGTTTCACCATGTTGGCTAGGCTGGTCTCAAACTCCAGACCTCAGGTGATCTGCCCACCTTGGCCTCCCAAAGAGATGGTATTACAGGCGTGAGTCACCACACCTGGCCTGAACACATGGGTTTCAAAATATAGAGACAGCTGTAGATAGATAGATAGATAGATAGATAGATAGATAGATAGATAGATAGATAGATAGACAGACAGATAAAAGCTAATGTGTGTGCTGTTCCATCTGTCTAAAATCCTTTTCCCCTAACTCTTTCCAAAGCTAGCTCTTTGTTATTCTTCCTTTTTTTTTTTTTTTTGAGACAGAGTCTTGCTCTGTCGCCCAGGCTGGAGTGCAGTGACACAATCTCAGCTCACTTCAACCTCTGCCTCCTGCGTTCAAGCGATTCTCTTGCCTCAGCCTCCCAAGTAGCTAGGATTACAGGCGCCTGCCACCACACCTGGCTAATTTTTGTATTTTTAGTAGAGACGAGGTTTCACCATATTGGCCAGGGTGGTCTCAATCTCCTGACCTTGTGATACACCCGCCACGGCCTCCCAAGGTACTGGGATTACAGGCGTGAGAAACCGCGCCCGGCCTTGTTATTCTTTCTATCTCAGCCTAAATGTCACCTCCTAGACTTTTAGACTACATTCCCTAACTACCCCAAACAGACCTGTTTTTTTCTCTTTAGAATTTATATTTTATTTCTTCTTATCCATTGTAACTCTCTCCTAAAAGCTCCTCAGGACTAGGGATTTATTTCATACAGCACACAGCAGAGTTTCCTGCACAGAAGTGACACTAGCCTTTTACATGCTGAATAACTTTTTTCTGCATCCAGAATGAGAAGCCAAATGAAAAGAATTCCTTCAGCTCCCTTAATGAACTCCACCACACATGCCCAATCCCTCACAAATATACCCCCATCCCTCCATACACAACTTCATCCTGGCCCAATTCCCACAGGGTCACCCACCTCACTCTACCCACCTGCCCCCAACTTTCCCACAACACAAACAACTGAATCCACTTCCATCTCTCATTTCCCATAGTAAAGCAAAATGTCAACTCTAGCCTCTAGCCCAAACTGCTCTTCTAAATAACAGAACTGCAGACACAACTGCCTCCCCTACTCATCTACTGCCACCTGGATATGTTTCAGGAGCCTTCAAACATAACTTGCCCAAAACTAAAAGACGCTTCTCTACCAAAAGCCATATTACGCATATCCTCTAACCTACCATATGCCTAGTCACTCAAGTAAAATTCATAAAAGTTTTCCAGAACTCTTGTTTCTAAAATACAAAATCTAAGACTTAATCTTGTTGGTTCTACCTCCTAACTCGGTTTAGTATCTGTCCTTAGAATTCCAACCCTCCTCACTTCTTTTTTGTATTACTACCACAGCTTCCTAACCAGAATCTCTCACTAGATTCTCCAGTCCATTCACCATTCTATTACCTATTACCAAAGATATATTTTTAAAACACAAATCTGTTAATTTCATATCCTTCAGTACCCTGAGGATAAAATCCAAATGCATCAGCCAGGCACAGTGGCTCACACCATTAATCCCAGCACTTTGGGAGGCCAAGGTGGGATTGCTTGAGCCCAGGAGTTCAAGACCAGCCTGGGCAACATAGCGAGATCCCATCTCTACAAAAATTTTAAATAATTAGCTGGGCATGGTGGTGTATGCCTATAGTCCCAGCTACCGGATGGGGGTTAGAGGGCTGAGGTAGGAGGATCACTCGAGCCCAGGAGGTAGAGGCTGCAGTGAGCTGCATTCCAGCCTGGATGAGAGTGAGACCCTGTCTTAGAAAAGATGCTTGAGGAATTACATGATAAGGCAGCTAGTATTTTCCAATGATGTCCACAACATTATCTACCTCCCACCCCACATAATCTTTTTTAAAATGTGACTTTGATAGTCTTCCCTATGAGAGGGCCTGAGTTCTTTCCTCTTGAATCCGAGCAGGCTTATGATTATAGTGAAAGTGACCACTGTGTGACTTCAAATGCTAACTCAATGAACAAGATGATACAGCTTCTGCTGCATTCTTTTGGGACTCATGCTCTTAGAACCCAGTCACCATCCTGTGAGGAAGCCTAAGCAGCCACATTGAGAGTCCACATGTAGGTGTTTCAACTAAAAAATCTAGGCAAGGTCCCAGCTAGAAGCCAGGCTCGACCACATGCAACAGAACAAATCATCTGGTGATTCTAGTGCCTAAGTGTCAAGTCACTTCCCATCTTTGAGATTTCCTAGCTGAGGTCCCAGATATCGCAGAACAGAGACAAGCCATCTCCACTCTACCCTTTCCAGTTTCCAAAATCCAGATAATCTGTTAGCATAATTCTTGTTTAATACTACTAACTTTGGGGTGATCTGTCACACAGCAATAAGTAACTGATATAAATGATCCACAAGTATTGTGGTGCGGCTGGAAATCAGAGCCAAAGGGCAAAAGATCAGGATGAACTCACCGAGTCCAGATTGTGTCTTAGCTTTTTTCTGAGTACAAAGCAATAAAATGAAAATACCATAGAAACATATAATGTACAAAGTGAAAGTCCCCATAATTTCAACCAAAGAGGTAATACTGTATCTAAAGATTGATGAGTGTTAGTCCTTTTCTTGTTTTGTTTTGAATTCTAAGAGAGTCAGTCCTACTCTGTAGGCCAGACTGGAGTAGGATGGCACAATTACAGCTCACTGCAGCCTTAAACACCATATGCTTGGCTAACTTTTTTTTTATTTTTTGTAGAGATGGGGGTCTCACTATGTTGCCCAGGCTGGTCTCAAACTCCTGGGCTCAAGCAATCCTCCCACCTTGGCCTCCCAAGTGTGGGGAGTCGCTGCGCCAGGCCCTATTTTTTATACATTGATTTTTTTAAGAGATAAGTTCTCTCTCTGTTGCCCAGACTGGTCTCCGACTCCTGGCCTCAAATGATCCTCCCACTTCAGCCTCCCAAAGTGCTGCGATTACAGACATGCCCCACTGCACCCCACCTTTTTTGGTTTTGTTTTTTAAAAAGACAGTGTCTCACTCTGTCACTTAGGCTGGAGTACAGTTGTGCAATCATAACTCCCTGCTACCCGGATGTTTCAGGAGCTCCAAACTCCTGGGCTCAAGCAATCCTCCTGCCTCAGCCTCCCAAAGCACTGGGGTTACAGACCTGAGTCACTGCGCCTGGCCTCATTTTTCCATATACTTAAACATTTTATGTTTTCGTAATTCACAAGTAGAACCATACTATAAATACTATCCCATAATTTGCTTATTTCCTTAGTATGTTATGACCGGCCAGGTGCAGTGGCTCACGCCTGTAATCCTAGCACTTTGGGAGGCCGAGGCAGGCAGATGGCTTTAGCTCAGGAGTTCCAGACCAGCCTGGGCAACACAGCAAAACTCTGTCTCTACAATAAATACAAAAATAAGCCGGGTATGGTGGCACATGCCTGTAATCCCAGCTAGTCAGGAGGCTGAGGCAGGGAAAAATGGCTTGAGCCTGGGAGGTCAAGGCTGCAGTGAGCCAAGATGACACCACTGCACTCCAGCCTGGGCTGGAGATGGGGTTTCTCCGTATGGACCAGACCCTGTCTCAAAAAAAAAAAAAAAAAATTACTAACTGATTGAAATACATATATAACATCAAACTTTGTAGGATACAACTAAAGTAGTATATAAAGAAAAATTTATGGCATTAAATGCTTCAGGCCTCAAACCCCAGCTTTCAAAAATCAAACCCCAGCTTTCACTTAAGAAAACAGAGAAGGGCTGGCGTGGTGGCTCACGCATGTAATCCCAGCACTTTGGGAGGTCGAGGCAGGCGGATCACCTGAGGTTGGGAGTTAGAGACCAGCCTGACCAACATGGAGAAAACCCCGTCTCTGCTAAAAATACAAAAAAAAAAAAAATTAGCCAGATGTGGTGGTGCATGCCTGTAATCCCAGCTACTCAGGAAGCTGAGGTAGGAGAATCGATTGAACTCGGGAGGCAGAGGTTGCAGTGAGCCGAGATCACACCATTGCACTCCAGCCTGGGCAACAAAAGCAAAACTCCATCTCAAAAAAAAGAAAGAAAGAAAGAAAAACAGAGAAAAAGGCCAGGTGTGGTGGCTCACGTGTGTAATCCCAGCACTTTGGGACACTGAGACAGGTGGATCACCTGAGGTAGGTGGATCACCTCAGGTCAGGAGTTCAAGATCAGCCTGGACAAGTTGGTGAAATCCCATCTCTACTAAAAATACAAAAATTAGCCGGGTGTGGTCTTGAGCGCCTGTAATCCGCTGAGGTAGGAGGACAATCGCTTGAACCCAGGACCTGGAGCTTGCAGTGAGCCAACATCCCTGTCACTGCACTCCAGCCTGGGTGACAGAGCGAGACTCTGTCTCAAAAAAAAAAAAAAAAAGAAAGAAAGAAAACAGAGGGAAAAAGAGCAAATTAAACCCAAAACCAAAGCAGAAAGCAATAATAAAGAACAGAAATCAATAAAACTTTAAACAGAAAAATAGGGAAAATGAATGAAGCCAAAAGCTGGTTCTTGGAAAAGGTTCTTGGACAATGGCTAAATCTCTAGTCAGATTAACCAAAATAAAAAGGATAAAAATAACCAGTATCAGGATGAAAAAGGGGTTTATCACTAAAGACCCTACAGATATCAAAAGGATAAAAGGGAATATCACAAACAACTCTATGCCCATAAATTTAAATTCAGATTAAACAGACAAATTCCTTACAAGACATTCTACTGGCCGAGCGTGGTGGTTCATGCCTATAATCTCAGCACTTTGGGAGGCCAAGGCAGGCAGATCACCTGAGGTCAGGAGTTCAAGACCAGCCTGGCTAACATGGTGAAATTCCGTTTCTACTAAAAACGCAAAAAATTAGCCGGGTGTGGTGACAGGCGCCTGTAATCCCAGCTACTCAGGAGACCGAGGCAGGAGAATCACTTGAACCCAGGAGGCGGAGGTTGCAGTGAGCCAAGATCACACCACTGCACTCCAGCCTGGCGGCAGAGCGAGACTCCACCTCAAAAAAAAATAAAGTAAGACATGCTACCAAAACTCACGCAAGCAGCATTAGATAACCTGGATAATCCTATATCTATCACATAAACTAAATTAGAAGTAAAAACCTTCGAACATAAAAATTTATTCTCTTATGAATTGTGCTTTTGGTGCTTATCTAAAGAAATATTTGCATAACGCAAGGTCACAATGAATTTCTCCTATGTTTTCTTCTAGAAGTTTTATAGTTTTAGGTTTTACAACTAGATCTATGATTCATCTGGGTTTTTAAAAATATATATAGTGTGAGATAGTATCAAAGTTAAACTTACTGCATATGGATATCCAATTGTTTCAGCATCACAAAAAAAACTATCCTTTTTCTACTGAACTGCCTTTGTACCTTTGTCAAAATAAGTTTTCCATATATGTGGAAGTCTATTTCTGAACTCTATATTCTGTTCCACAGTACTATTTGTCTATGTTTATATCAATACCACATTGTCTTTATTACTGTAGCTGTATAATAAATATTGAAATATAGACTAGTGTTAGTTCCCAACTTTGTTCTTCATAAAAGTTGTTTTGGCAAGCATAAGTCCTTTGCATTTCCATATAAATTTTGAAATACGTTTTTCAATTTCTACATCTTGTTGAATTTATCTCCAAGAATTTCAGAATAAAAACTTATGGCTGGACGTGGTAGCTCACGCCTGTAATCCCAGCACTTTGGGAGGCTGAGGCAGGCAGATCACCTGAGGTCAGGAGTTCGAGACCAGCCTGGCCAACATGGTAAAATCCTGTTCCTACTAAAAATACAAAAATTAGCCGGGCATGGTGGCGGGCACCTGTAATCCCAGCAACTTGGGAGGCTGAGGCAGAAGAATCGGTTGAACCCGGGAGGTGGAGGTTGCAGTGAGCCAAGATCACGCCACTGCACTCCAGCCTGGGCAACAAGAGCAAAACTCTGTCTCAAAAAACAAATAAATAAATAAATATTTTTTAAAAGCTTATGTTCTCACACACACACAAAATCTATACACTACTGTTTATAGCAGTTTAGGTCATAATCACCAAAACATCCATGAAAAGGAATATTACTTAGCAACTAAAGAGAATGAACTATTGACACAATAGCAACACAGATGAATCTCAAATGCGATATGCTAAGTGAAAGAAATCAGACTCAAAAAACTACGTATTGTATATATGATTCCATTTACATGACATTCTAGAAAAGTCAAAACTATATCAACAGAAAACAGGCCACCAAGTGCCAGGCATTGGGATGGGGAAAGGGTTTGAGTTCAAAGGGACAGCACTAGATGATGTTTCAAAGTGATGGAAATGTTCTGCATTTCAATTATAGTGGTGGTTACATGACTCATAGCAATGTACAATAATAAAAAGCTAACTTCCCCGTATGTAATTTAAACAAATTTAAGAAAAAGTTAACTATCATTCATAGAATAATCACAGCCCTCCCTGAATAATGCTAAAATGATACTTCTAGGCACAAAATTTTATATATAATTACAGTTGCTCAAAATTTTAAGCTTGCCAAGTATTTACCTCTTACATTACAGGTAGAAATTCTTCTTTTTTATTATCTTAACGTGAGTACTATATTATTAATATAATACCAATAGATTAGGAAGCCTATTTAGGAAACTTTAGGATCAATCAGTCTATACAGAACTCCTGTCAGAGTAGTCAACCACACAAGTGAGATTATGAAGAATCTTCAGATGACTCCAAATTAGGCACTGGTTTCCAAAATGCTACCTGTAAAGACATCAGAATCTTTCCCTGATGGAAGCAATAAAAAAAGGTTACATGAGGTTCCAAAGAGAAAGAATTTCCCTGGGAACTGTAATATTTTCTGTATTATAACTACCATATGCTTTTTTCACTTGAACTTGGGCCAAGATTTCAGAAGATTGGCAAAGACATGAAAGAATATAACTGTTTTTAAAAAAAATAAAGGGCATTATCTGTAGTAGAGATATTTTATAAAATAGTCTGTAAATCAGGCACTTCATTTTAAAAAAATGAAATATTTTAACTGAAAAACCTGAACACATCTGGTTTCTTAAAGACAATAAATAACGCAACATCTTTTGATCCATTTCATATTCCATTTTTGCCTCTGCTCCCAGCCTTGACTTTCTTGGTATTGCTGAGCTAAAAATAACTCCTGGTACAGCAGCTGAAAATTGTGGTTTTCCCTTGCAAAGAAAAAGGGGGTAAAGTCCAATTATAAGATGTAAGTTTGCTTTTCTCCAATTAAAATACACATACAAATTTGACTGCAATTCATTCAACACATCTATTGAATGCCTTTCTACACCAAGTGCTATGCTAAGTGTTGGGGGTGGGACACAAAGATGAGTAAGAAAGAGTTCACTGACTCTGAAGAATTCAATCTAATGATACAGTCAAGAACTATGCAAAGTACACTTACAAAGCGTTATAAAACACAATGTCATACCCATAAATAAAAATGATAAAAATCTATCTCTGATAAATTTTCCTTGTATTTTTCCTGTTGAAACTATTAAGAGTGGTTTTTAACTTTTTTTTTTTTTGAGACAAGGTCTCACTCTGTAGCCCAGGCTGCAGCACAGTGGTGCAATTTCGGCTCACTGCAACCTCCGCCTCCCAGGGTCAAGCAATTCTCCTGCCTCAGACTCCCAAGTAGCTGAGATTACAGGCGCATGCCACCAGACCTCTGCTAATTTTTGTATTTTTAGTAGAGATGGGGTTTCACCATATTGGCCAGACTGGTCTCAAACTCGCGACATCAGGTGATCCACCCGCCCTGGCCTCCCATAGTGCTGGGATTACAGGCATGAGCCACCAGTGGAGCCTGGCCTCTACATTTTTTTAGCTGACAGAAACTCTGGTAATCGTCACAAAAGCTCCCTGAATTTAATCACCTATGGACCCCCTGGAGTCCCAGGTAAACCCTCACAGACAGTGTTTCTCATTCCAGCACTTCTCTCTGCTGTCCACTGAAAAGAAGCACATACACAGTTGCTGTCTGTTTACAGGAATTCATTTAACTTTTTTTTTTTTTTTGAGACGGAGTCTCACTCTGTCTCCCAGGCTGGAGTGTGGTAGTGCAATCTGGGCTCACTGCAACCTACACCTCCCGAGTTCAAGCGATTCTCGTGCCTCAGCCTCCTGAGAAGCTGGGATTACAGGAATGTGCCACCACACCCTGCTAATTTTTCTATTTTTAGTAGGGAGGGGGTTTCTTCGCCATGTTGGCCAGGTTGGACTTGTACTCCGGAATTTAAGTCATCCACCTGACTCAGCCTCCCAAAGTATCGGGATTACAAGCATGAGCCACCGTGTTCAGCTCATTTATTTAACTCTTGAGGATTATACATATTTGATATATCAATGAACATTCCTTCTCCAGTAAAGGGTCAGGGCTGATCAACAAAAGTAATTCATTTCCCTATTACTCTGCCATTGGGTAGAAGAAAACAGGTCAATATAGAAAAGGCAGGTACAGGTCGGGCGCAGTGGCTCACACCTGTAATCCCAGCACTTTGGGAGGCCGAGGCGGGAGGATCACGAGGTCAGGAGTTCGAGACCAGCCTGGCCTATATGGTGAAACCCTGTCTCTACTAAAAAATACAAAAATTGGCTGGGCATGGTGGTGTGCGCCTGTAGTCCCAGCTACTCAGAAGGCTAAGGCAGAAGCATTGCTTGAACCCGGGAGGCAGAGGTTACAGTGAGCCGAGATTGCGCCACTGCACTCCAGCCTACACGACAGAGCAAGACTCCGTCTCAAAACAAAAAAAAAAAAAAGAAAGAAAAGGCAGGTATATTAATGGTAGAAAGTAAGGAAAGTACTTATTGATACTGTATCTGCTAAAAAAAAAAACAAAAAAGAATACAATACTCTTCCTCCTGCATACTAACAACAAGTTTCTCAACTCCACAAATACCTTCCATGGGCATTTTAGGCATTAGGTGGAAAACAGGTCCAATATAAGCAATCTCTTCAATTCACTCCTTCAGTATCTGGATATTAGCTATTTGTGTGCCAGGCACTATGCTTAGCAATGGGAAAACAAAGACGAGCTCGTAGTCCAGTGGAGAACTGAAAGTATAGTAAAGTGGAAGTAGTGTATACATGTGAGAATATGCAGGAGGGGTCTTTGAAGACATTTAAATTTGATCCTGTAGGTGAAGAACCCAACAGATTCTGTAAAAGGGAGTAGCACAGGCAAATCAATTTTTAAGACTATAACTCAGGGCCAGGCACCGTGGCTGGTCTCGAACTCCTGACCTCAACTGATCCACCCACCTCGGCCTCCCAAAGTGCTGGGACTGCAGATAGGCATGAGCCACCACGCCCAGTCCCAGCCCTTAACTTTTTACCATCAAACCCAAAACATGTGCATCTAACGTCTCTATCTTCTCTGTTACAACGGCAGTACACAACTTCTTTCTGCCTAAAACCAATCTCTCCACCAGTGGATCAGGGTTTTGCTACTCAAGGTGGGATTTTCTGACCAACAGTTTCTGCATAATCTAGGACCATATTAGAAATGCAGAATATCAAGCTTCATATAAGACCAACTGAATCAGAATATGCATTTTAACATGATCCCCAGGTGACTCTCATTATGCACATTAAAATTTAAGAAGCACTGCTTCTATACAAAAGCCAATTCTCTCCCAGTTTTTCAGAATCCTTACCCTAGGGATTATTCACTCTCTTTCTTATCTCTTTGACCTTTAAAAGAAAAAACCCCACACTCCTTTTCCAATTCAATTCTTCAAAAAAGTTTCCACATGTCCTCCATTTCATGTTCCACTCACTCCTCAACCCATTCAGATCTGCCCCTCACCACCACTCCACTCAGCTCTCATTAAGATCAATGACCTTGAGAATGTTGCTAAATCTAAAGGACATCTTTTCATCTAACCCCTACTTGACCTCTCACTAGTATTCAAAACAATTGCCCTTTCTCTTCTTGAATCACTTTCTTTCCTGTGTTGACATGCGCACTAATGATGCAAAAGCAATAGTGGATAAAACTGCAGGTGCTTTAACATGAATCAAGGCAGTAGCCCTAACCTGTACTAGATAACTGTATTCTTCACTGCCAAGCACTGGTATTAAGAAAAAAGCCAGTTTCACTAAAGAATAAACTAGATGAAGCAAAATTATTAAATTTACTAAATCTCAACCCCTGAAGATACATCTTTTCAATATTCTACTTAAAGGAAATGGGAATTAATTATAAAGCACTGCATACGGAAGAATAATGGCAAAGTACATACTTGAGGACTGAACTAGCCACTTTTTTCTTGCAACACCATTTTTACTTGAAGGACTATCAGACAAACTGATCATTCAGACTTGGCTATCTGGCAAACATTTTTTCAAAATTTAATCACGTATGCCTTTCATTTCAAGGAAAACGATCAACTGTATTTGTTGCCAATCATAACACTCAACTTTACAAGCAAAAATGACATTTTTGGAAAACTTGTATTTGACACCATGAGCTTGAAAGCTTCTGAATATTTAAAAACTTGTCTGATGAGAGTGGTAGTCATATTGACAAATAAGACTTTTTGGCACTGTGGAATGAGATATGTCCACATTTGGAAAATCTGTGTAACTCAGTGGACTGATATTTTCCACATGACCAATGCATAATTTTTGCAAAAGTAAACATGGGTAAAACAGTCACTCAAAGTATAAGACAGACCATCAGATTTTAATGTAACAGAGTGAGTATAAGTTCACTGATATGATATCAGAATCCACATTATAACTAATCCTGGTAGGGTGCAGTGGCTCATGCCTGTAATCCAGTACTTTGGGAGGCCAAGGCAGGTGCATCACTTGAGGTAAGGAGTTCGAGGCCAGCCTGACCAACATAAAATACTAAAAATAAAAAAAATTATTCCAGTGTGGTTGTCTGCGCCTGTAGTCCCAGCTACTCAGGAGGCTAAGGCGGGAGAACTGCTTGAATCTAGGAGGTGGAGGTTGCAGTGAGCCAAGATCGCACCACTACACTCCAACCTGGGTGCGAGAATCTGCCTCGAAGAAAAAAAAAAAAAAAAAAACAGAATCCACATTATAACTAATCCTTAAGAAACTATCACTTGTTGAATTTTGACATGTTATCAAAGAAGCATATCCATGATTACGTTAAAAAATATAATATTCTTCTTCCCTTTCCCAAATACATCTGTGGATGATTTTTTCATATATTTCAATCAAAATAACATAATGCAACAAACTGAATGCAGAAGCAGATATGAGAATCCAGCTATCTTCCATTAAGGCAGACTTTAAGGAGATTTGCAAAAATGTAAATTAATGCCTCTATTCTCCCAAAATGTTTTCTTTTAAAAAAGTTATTTTTCACAAAAAAATTTTAACATGTAAGGGGTTTATTATTATAATTTTTTTTTTTTTTTTTGAGACAGAGTCTTGCTCTGTCGCCCAGGCTGGAGTGCAGTGGGGCGATCTCGGCTCACTGCAAGCTCCGCCTCCTGGGTTCTGACCTGAGGTCAGGAGTTCAAGATCAGCCTGGCCAACATGGTGAAACTCCGTCTCTACTAAAACTACAAAAATTAGCTGGACACGGTGGCGCACACCTGTAATCCCAGCTACTAGGGAGGCTGATGCTGGAGAATCACTTGAACCCAGGAGGCAGAGGTTGCAGTGAGCCAAGATTGTGCCACTGCACTCCAGCCTGGGTGACAGAGCAAGACTCCATCTCAAAAAAAAAAAAAAAAAAAAAAAAACAACTTCCCAGTTTCATTCTGAATATGGCAAATAGCAGTAAGCATACTAACATAAACAAAAGTTCTTCAGGATCCACAATAATTTTTAAGAGCTTAAGGAAGTCCTGAGACCATAGAGTTTAAGCATCACTGCCCTAGATCTCAATCACATCCCATGGCCACAATTAACCTCCACAGGTGCTTGACTCTAAAATTTTTCTCTAATCCAGGCTTCACCTCCAATTTCCATTTATACAACTGCTTACTTAATATCTCCACTGAGATGTCTCAAAAGTACCTCATACTCAACATATCCAAACCCAAACTCATGATCTCAATCTCTCAAACATGGTCCTCTTTCCAGTGTTCTCTCTCAGTGAGTGGCATCATCATCCATTGTAACCTGAGTCATCCACGACACTTCCTTCTCCCTCTCTCATATTTAATCATTCGACAAATCCTGACTATCTTGCCTTCCAAATCTCTCTCAAATATATTCAACTTTCTACTTTTATCACAAAACCCTCTATCTCTCTGGATCATAGCCTCCTATCAAGTCTACAAGCATTTGTTTGTTTTGTTCCCACTTCCTATCTCTCCTTACTCATCCTTCCTAGCTCTAGGAAAAACCACTTCCCCTTTCTTGGCCAGGCACGGTGGCTCACGCCTGTAATCCCAGCACTCTGGAAGGCCAAGGCGGGAGGATCACTTAAGCTCAGGAGTTCTAGATCAGCCTGGGGAACCTAGTGAGACCTTGTCTCCATCTAATTTAAAAAAAAAAAAAAAAAAAAAAGGTCACACCTGTAATCCCAGCACTTTGGGAGGCCAAGGCGGGCGGATCACTTGAGGTCAGGAATTCGAGACCAGCCTGGCCAACATAGTGAAACCCGATCTCTACTTAAAAATACAAAAAGTAGCCAGGCATGGTGGCGTGTGCATGTAATTCCAGTTACTGGGGCGGCTGAGGCAGGAGAATCACTTGAACCTGGGAGGTGGAGGTTGCAGTGAGCTCAGATCACGCTATTACACTCCAGCATGGGTGACAGAGCAAGACTCTTGTCTTGAAAAAAAAAAAAAGAAAAACCACTTCCCCAAAGACCACTCTGCCCATCCCCACCTCTCCAGGTCTTGTCCCTGCTTCATGCTGTCACAGTACCCTGAGCTTTTCCTTCATGACATTTAACACAGTTTGTAACCACATTTTTTCCCCACAATTATCTGTTTTCCCTATTAGACTATTAGGCACATAAGGTGCTGTATTTGTTTTGGTCATCACCATATCTTTCCAAGACCTAACATAAAGTAGACAATTTAAAGTTAAAAAACTTGTTCCTGTACAGGTATTTTTTTACCTTTTAGTGTAAACATATCAAAAAAGATTTTTTTACCACTGTGTTCAATAACTTTGGAATCCAGACTCAAAACAATGTTCCTTGGATATCTCTTGAAGGATACACTAGGAAATGATTAACAGTGGTTTCCTCTGGGAAGAGGAACCAAGTAACCAGGAGACAGGAAAGGGAAGACAACGGACTTTTTACTGTATATCCTTTTGTGCCCTCAAAATTAAGTGACATCATTATTTTTTAAATAAAGCCTACTAGCACCTAAAAGCATCTTCTGAGATGCTCAATTTCCAGAGGACATAACTTTCAAATTATATTCAGATTTAGTAGCAAGATCTAGAAATGCCCATAATACATATTTATAACATTAATACATATGATGATCACCTATTTTGATGTGAATACAAAATGCTCATTAGCTAATAACTCATATTACTATTACTTACTTTTTTTTTTTTTTTTGGAGGCACGGTCTCACTCTGTCACCGAGGCTGGAGTGCAATGGCACAATCTTGGTTCACTGCAACCTCCGGCTCCCAGGTTCAAGAGATTCTCCTGCCTCAGCCTCCCAAGTAGCTGGGATTACAGGCACATGCCACAGTGCTCAGCTAAATTTTGTATTTTTAGTTGAGATGGGGTTTCACCATGTTTGCCAGGCTGGTCTTGAACTCCTGACCTCAAGTGATCTGCCCACTTCAGCCTCCCAAAGTGCTGGGATTACAGGCATGAGCCACCGCACCCGGCCATGTTTACATTACTACATTTTAGAACTCGATACATCAGGTAAAAGCAAAAACGAATCTTGAACGTGTTTTACTTTCTGGAGCATTACCTTGATAAGTTCAGGCATTAATAAGAAGCACTGACACATCATAGAAGAAGTTATATTCGTTGAACTTCAGAAAGACACTGTCAAAATGGGTACAAACAGTGGAGAGCCGGCCGGGCGCGGTGGCTCACGCCTGTAATTCCGGCACTTTGGGAGGCTGAGATGGGTGGATCACAAGGTCAGGAGATTGAGACCATCCTGGCTAACACAGTGAAACCTCGTTTCTACTAAAAATACAAAAATTAGCTGGGCATGGCTAAAATAGCACTGCGCTCCAGCCTGGGTGACAGAGCGAGACTCTGCCTCAAAAAAAAAAAAAAAAAAAAGTGGAGAGCCATGTACAATACTAAGTTAAAGGAAAAAGAAATCCTTGACTATTATCCCATTTATTTTCAGAAAAATCCTGCAAGGATGAGGAAACAGACTTCAAAGGCTATCACACAACTATTCAGTGGAAAAGGCAGGTATCTGAACCCAAGTCTATCCCATTGCAGAGGCCACTGTTTCTACCACACCACCTGCCTTTCCTGACTAAACAGATGTGAAACTATTAAGACAAGCTAATTAAGCAAACATATTATCAGGACATACAGGCATGTTTTGGTTTATTAGACAGAACTAAGTCCTATTTGCTACTACTTTATGAAATCAAGGTAGTATGAAAGATTTTTACCAATATTCAAAATATGCACATCATCTTGCTTTTTTTGCCTGCTGGGAGTTGATTGTTTAAAAGAATTTTAAAAGACCTTTCCAAATCAATCACTTTATTCATGGAATAAAGTGCTAAAATAAAATTCAAAATTAGATATTTATTAATGATGGCATCAGTGGGTAGCCCACTTTACTCAAAACACTTAACATACATTCTCTCCTTTAATCCTCACAAGAAGGCCCACTGGAAAAAAGACTACTGGCTGGGCATGGTGGCTCACACCTGTAACCCCAGCACTTTGGGAGGCTAAGGCAGGTGGATCAGGAGATCAAGAGATGGAGACCATCCTGGTCAACATGGTGAAACCCCATCTCTACTAAAAATACAAAAATTAGCCAGGTATGGTGGCACGCACCTGTTGTCCCAGCTACTCGGGAGGCTGAAGCAGGAGAATCACTTGAACCTGGGAGGCGGAGGTTGCAGTGAACCAAGATCGCACCACTGCACTCCAGCCTGGGCAACAGAGCAAGACTTCATATGAAAAAACAGAAAAGAAAAAAAGACTACTGCCATTTTACAGGGGAAGAAAGTAAGGCTCTCAGAGGCTAATGAACACAACAGACCAAGAATCTGAACCCAAGTCTCTGATGCCACAGCCCATTCTTTCCATCTCACTATGCCTCCCTCACTAGTTTCAAGAAGGAACCAGGACAATTTTCCCTTGTAACAACAAGAAAATCTGGCTATAGAATGAAAAGCAAACTAATGTTTAAAAACAAAACAGTCACAAAATTAAACCAAATGTCTAGTTTTTGGAGGTTACTGGTACACTACCCCAAACACGGCTAACCCCTTCAACTTGAAATACTCTTGTATCTTCATATAGTAAATCATATCTGACTTAACTTTAGGTTCATTTCCTTAAAATTACATTATAAAGCCAGGTGTGGTGGCACAGCCTATAGTCCCAGCTACTGAAGAGGCCGAGGCAGGAGAATCGCTTGAACCCAGGAGCTCGAGGCCAGACTGGGCAACATAGTGAGGCCCCAGTCTCTTAAAAATTACATCATACTATATATGAATAAAGCCTAGAAAGGAAAATGGAAAAAATAACAGCTGTTATGTTAGGATGGAAGGATTTTACATAGAGATAAATTTTATGTTTTAAAAATTTCATTTAAATTGTTTTAACATGGCAACACTTTTTTTTTTTATTATACTTTAAGTTTTAGGGTACATGTGCTCAACGTGCAGGTTTGTTACATATGTATACATGTGCCATATTGGTGTGCTGCACCCATTAACTTGTCATTTACATTAGGTATATCTCCTAATGCTATCCCTCCCCCCTCCCCCTACCCCACAACAGCCCCCGGTGTGTGATGTTCCCCTTCCTGTGTCCAAGTGTTCTCATTGTTCAATTCCCACCTATGAGTGAGAACATGCATTTGGTGTTTTGTCCTTGCGATAGCTTGCTGAGAATGATGGTTTCCAGCTCCATCCATGTCCCTACAAAGGACATGAACTCATCATTTTTTATGGCTGCATAGTATTCCATGGTGTATATGTGCCACGTTTGCTTAATCCAGTCTATCATCGATCGACATTTGGGTTGGTTCCAAGTCTTTGCTATTGTGAATAGTGACACAATAAACATACGTGTGCATGTGTCTTTATAGCAGCATGATTATTATAATCCTTTGGGTATATACCCAGTAATGGGATTGCTGGGTCAAACGGTATTTCTAGTTCTAGATCCTTGAGGAATCGCCACACTGTTTTCCACAATGGTTGAACTAGTTTACAGTCAGTCCCACCAACAGTGTAAAAGTGTTCCTATTTCTCCACATCCTCTCCAGCACCTGTTGTTTCCTGACTTTTTAATGATCGGGCAACACTTTTTTAAATGTCATAACAAATACTTCTACTACATATTAGTACTAAACAGAAGCTACGAAATGACAATTGACTTGACTGACAAGTATGATTTTTAAAATACCAAAAGTAACTTTCAGGTTACCTCTAATGAAATCTATGAACGCAATTTTTAACTTGAGAGTCAGGATGAGGAAAAAAATAAAAAATAAAAATAAATTTTAAAAAATCTACTTTACTATAAATCCTGCTAAAACAAGTGTCAACTAAGGGCTAAGTTATTCTTACATACTCAAAATTCTGCCAATGACAAAAACTAATGGAAATAAATGGACCACTAACTAATTGTAATTTGGAAATTTTATTAGTAAGGATTTTTATCTTAGTACTGTTTTAACAAGAGTTACAACTGAAAGTTATTCAATAATCAAAAATGAAGGTACTTTAAAAATTTTGCCAACTGAGTAATATAAACTTTATTCCCACCTAAAACACATTAGGATAATTATACCAAATTTTTTAGGTCAACATCTCAAACATTTTCTACTAATTACCTTAAAATAGCATTAAAATGAATAAAGAAACATCAGAGTTTTCAATTACTTATTACTGGAGTTCAAAACTGTAAATACAAATGTAAAATAAACAGTAAAAACGAAACACATGTTCAACACTCAGAAGAATGGTTATTCTGACTGGACAAGTTATGACTTATATAAGAGGGAAAAAAATGGCTGTAAGGTCTATCTAGTAAGAATTCTCTTTTATATTTTTGCATATATACTAAGTTATAACCTCCCAATAAAACTGTTTAAACTCCCCAAACTTCAAAATGTTTCTACTACTCCAAATTTTCTACTCTTCTGCTACACGGTTAAGATCCAATTTATACCTTCCCAAACTGAAATTTACAAACCAATAATCGGCTTTAACAAAAGTACTGTCATATGACAACATCAATGAAGAAATGGGCAGTTCAAAACATATGTTTATTATCATCTCTTATTCCATAAATCAATTTCATGGTACAGAAATAGATACCTTTAAGAAAATAAATATTTGTATTTTCCCCAGTTCATGACATATTTTGAAAATGAACCAACCAAGCTATGGGTTAAAATTAATATTCCTACTAATTCCCATTCATTCAACAAATATGTATTTGTGTCATCGTAATCATCAGTCCTAGAGTTTCTTCACCTACCAATTTTTATTTCTTGGAAAAGTGTAAACACAAAACTCTTCAGGAATATTTTTAAAGATACGTGTTAAAATTCACTAGAGAAATTTCTACACAAACTGAAGTCAGCAAATGGTTGAAAACAGATGTCACTACAGTAACCCAAAGGAACATGATGAAGGAATGTACTTACGTTTCAAAACAACGATCCACGTTGTCAGACATCAAAAGCAGCATGCATAGCTGTTCAAGGGCTATTAGTTGCATGTCCCTTTCATCTCCCTGTCCCATCTGTAGCCATTCCAGCAATGTATCTGGGTCCACATCTGCCATGGTTTTTTAAAAGTCTCTTTGCTTAAATTTGAAAAGTAAAGGGAGAAAAGTCCTTTAAATTCCGGGACTGAACAGCTTGGGCTTAAATTTTTCTTCCTTTACATCTGCTAGAACCAAATTTTCATAGTGTCCTCCTAGCAATTAAAAAAGACTCCTAAGTACGTTTGGACGTAAGAGTGCTTAATGCAGTTTTTCAACTTTCCTTATCCGCCAGGTTTAACGTACAGATATCATACCAAATGAAAACCAGTTTTGCACAAGAGTATATAAGCTGATTAGGTTGCTGCTTAACTAGAAACCAGAGCTGTCTGTGTCAAAGACAGTCAGTCAAGCTTCAGGTCCCACTACTGCTATCACTAAAGTCTATGCCAAAAGGCAAAGAACACCTAACTAAAGGTTCTGTTTTTTCCAGCAAACTTCATCCCCCTCCTTCTCTACCCAAAACTGATCTTCAGATAAGGGTTAGATTCAGTATTTTGAGGAAACTCTAAACACCTTGATCCAATCCCCCTCCAAATTGTTTCTCCTTCAAAATTACCTCCAATTTCACATATTCTGCTGACTTCTCAATTTACTTCTATTTTAAAGATATCCAAATACAAACGACAATTATATACAAGATTTATCTATGAATAAAGAGTTGGTTAGGAATTTTGGCAGTCTTGGCAACTATTCTTAAAAGTTAAAAAAATAAAAAAATTAAAAAAGGAAAGGCTAAAAGTAAATGCAATGGACCAGCAGGTTACGGATCCGAACGAATGTAGGCCAACCTAGGGCCCTCTTTCCCCAGCTTCACAAGATAGGGCAGTTGGTTAAAAAAACAAAAACAAAACCGAGAAGCAACCCCAACAGGTAAGTCATTACAAAAGCGCCCCGTAAGCGCCCTGACTGGAGGACAGCTTTGGGTCCCACGTAACGCAGCCGCAAGTGTGGGAAGCCGGCGGCGGGGCGCGGTGGGCACCCAACGGCGGCGACCAGCGGGGTTGACCCCACACCCGGGGCCCGGCCGAGCCGGGCGCTGAGAGGCGCTGGCCCCCGCGCTGTGGTTCCCCAGCACCAAACCCCGCTAAGTTAACTACCTGTGTCTACGAGGAAGGGAAGTTCTGGAGAAGCAGCAGCAAGCCTTCGTGCCCGAGAGGAGGCCGCCGGGCCAGGCAGGGCGCCGGCTCTCCCGGGAGCTGCGCCCGGAACTCGAAGGCCTGGCAGCGAACCCTTCTCAAGGGCAAAAGGAGCCGGCCTGAGGCTCTGGCGCGGGCAACCGGGCCCCGCCGCCGGCAGGGCCCCGGGAGGGGAACAAAGGGGCCAGCGGGGAAGTCGGCAGCAGCCTGGCCGACCTCACTCGGCGCCGGGGTCTCGCTTTCCGCCACTCGCCGGGCGTCCGGGATCCGCGCCCCCACGCAGGGCCCTTCCGACGGTCCGAGGCGCTCCCGCCTCCCCTTCCCGCAGGCTCTTACTCGGGCTTGTCGTTCCAAACCGCTCCGATCCAGCTCCCAACAGGCCGCCGGCAGAGCCAGGCCCGGCCGCGGCCCTAGAGTTCCCAAGAAGCCGCAGGCCGCGCAGGTCGAACCGGGCAGGCGGCACAGGAAAAGCCGCGCCTCGTCCCTCCCCTTCCTCCGCGAGGACCTGGTGACAGGGAAGCGAGAGGTTCTCGCGTGCGGCAGCAGCCAGCGGACGTCCAGTCCCCAGCACGCGGCTCCTCAGGCCCTGCAACTCAGAGGCCCGCGCGGTGCTGCGGGCGACGGCGGCGGCGGCGCGGCGGGGAGGCCCAGTCCATCGCGAACCGGGAGGGGGAGGGGAGGAGGGTCGAGGGAGAGCCAGGCGGGGAAGCTGCCGAGGGCAGCCGAGCCCGGCGGAGGCGGAGCAAATCCACTCCCCCGGCGGCGACCCCGCCGGCGGCCACCTGGGGCGCTGCGGGACGGCCGACCGCCGCGCAGGGGCGCCAAACCGGGTACGCCGCGTCGCCGTCCCTGCCCCGGAGCTCTCGCCCCCGCCGCCTCGGGCTGTGTCGTACGTTTCTGCCGCGGCTTTTCTATGGTGCGCCCTGGCCCCCTTTTCGCTTCCCTGTCAGTCCGAGCGCGCTCATGCACGCACGTCCAGCTTGCTTGGCGCCGTGGCTAACACTTTGCGCGCTCCTGCGGAGGGCGTCGCACGGCACAGCACAGCAAAGCTGCGGCCCAACCTGTCCCCGCTGAGCCTTCCGCCCAGGCCACCCGCACTCAGCCACGATCTTCCCTCCTCGCGCACGGAAGTGCGTCGCGTAAGGAAGGCGTCTCCCCCCGCTCCTGGGAGGCCGACCGCCTGGCGGTTCACCCCAAAGAAAACCCTTCAGAGCAACCCTGGGAAAGAGGTGCTGCCGACGATTATCAACGTTGTACAGATGAGACACTGAGGCTCCAGGAAAGCGCAAATGCAGGCCCAGCGCCGTGCCCGGTCGGCAGCAGCACTGAGAGTGCACTTTTGACTACGTTTCTTGTGGCTTGTGGTCACAAGTATGTCTGTGGTTATTCTTTTCAAACTTTATTTCACACGCATTCAGAATAAAGGATGCATGCTTATAGGACGTAGTTGGAGCCCGGAGACGTCCTACTGTACTCTCACTTTCAGCTTTTAAACAAAAAGAAAAATTAATACGACATGATAGTGTTTGAGACATGGTCCCTCAGGCAACCAGAGGAGCTGCTAGGTATGAGTAAAGAACAGAATTTGGGTCCGCTGCGTTTCCTGTAATCCCAGCACTTTATGATTTTACTCTCTTGAGGCCCGGAGTTCGAGACCAGCCTGAGCAACATAGACCTGGTCTCTGCAAAAAAATTAAAATTTAAAAAATAATTACCCAGATGCGGTGACGCACACCTATGGTCCCAGCTACTGGAGCGGTTGAGATGGGATGATCCCTCGAGCCCAAGAAATTGAGGCTGCAGTGAGCTTTGATAATGCCACCTCACTCCAGCCTGGGCGACTAAGCAAATTTGTCATTTCCAAAATACTGGTTCTTTTTTTTCTTTCTTTTTTACTACTTCTTTAGAAAAAGAACCAGTATTTTGGAAATGACAAATTTGTACTTCAGATAGCTATCCGCGCATGTCCCGTTGTCGCAGGTAATGGTCCGTTTAGGTATCCTGTTAACGAAACAAGAGGAAAAAGAGGATTCAACTATTTTGTCCCAAGTACAACACATGAGGATAATTATTTAGATGTCATGAGTGTGAATTGGAGCTGCCAGGAAACTTCAAGAAGGAAGTGGCATTCCCTCTGGACCTTGAAGAATGGGTACAATGTAGACACTGAAAGGAAAGGGAAGAACATAAAGCCTGATATGTTCCTAGACATAGGAAAGGTCACCTGTGCCCCCAGCAAAGAACCAACAGTAAGCAACAGAGAGAGAAATTTGGAGCTAAAGTGGGGAAGGCCTTGAATGAGGAATGCAGAAATTAGGCTGAGCTAAGTAGCAAGTTCTGGACTACAACACTGGAAAAACTAGTCTTAAGAAGACTAATTATGGAAAGTGTCTAGAACGACTAAAAGGATCTATCTAGACGAGACTAGCTGGAGGTTGTCGAAATGCTGCAATAATGGAGGAAAGAAAAGTCTAGTTATTGGCAATATGAATGGGGAAGAAATCTAAAAATAATTTTTGAAAGAAGATATATCAGAATTTAAATGATTAACTTAAAAATTTCCGTCCAGGCTCCATGGCTCACACCCGTAATCCCAGCACTTTGGGAGGCAGAGGCAGGGGGATCACTTGAGCCCAGGAGTAGGAGACCAGCCTAGGCAACATAGGGAGACCCTGTCTCTACAAATAATTTTTAAAATTAGCTGGGTGTGGTGGTGCACACCTGTAGTCCCAGCTACTCAGGAGTCAAAGGCAGGAGGATCACCTGAGCCCTCGAGGTCGAAGCTGCAGTGAGCCATGATCATGCCACTGCACTACAGCCTGGGCAATAGAGCAAGACCCTGCCAAAACAAAAAACAAAAACCCTTAACGTAGAAAGAGGACTTGGAAGCTAGGAAAATGGTGATGCTATTAACAAAAAATAGAAAAGTTAGAAAAAGGGATTATACCTTTACCAAGTTTTTTGTTGTTTTTTTTTTTTTTTTTTTGAGACGGAGTCTCGTTCTGTTGCCCAGGCTGGAGTGCAGTGGCATAATCTCGGCTCACTGCAAGCTCTGCATCCCGGGTTCATGCCATTCTGCTGCCTCAGCCTCCCGAGTAGCTGGGACTACAGGTACTGGCACCCACCACCACGCCTGGCTAATTTTTTGTATTTTTTAGTGGAGATGGGGTTTCACCATGTTAGCCAGGATGGTCTCGATCTCCTGACCTTGTGATCCGTCCGCCTTGGCCTCCCAAAGTGCTGGGATTACAGGCATGAGCCACTGCGCCTGGCCACCTTTACCAAGTTTTTAAGATATATATTTTTTTATCCTGCACTATCTCTACATGTACCACCCACCCACTTCCTGCCCGCAAGATTAATGTCTAGTGTGCTTTAAAGAAACCTTATCAAAAGAATGCTGTGACACTTATTGCACTTTTTAAAGATGTTATTATCATATTTATTTTGATTTTTATTTAGAGGCAGGGTCTTGCTCTGTGGCTCAGGCTGGAGTGCAGCAGTGTGATCCTAAATGACTGCAGCTTCCAACTCGTGGGCTCAAGGCGATTCTCCTGCCTCAGCCTCCGGAGTAGCTGGGACTACAGGCCCATGCCACTACACCCAGCTATTTTTATTTTTTTGTAGAGACAGGATCTAACTATGTTGCCCAGGCTGGTCTCCAACTCCTGGGCTCAAGCAATGCTCCAGCCTTGGCCGCCAGAAGTGCTGGGATTATAGGAATGAGCCACATGCCCGGCCCATGTTATTATTTTAAACTCAAACAGAAAAAAAGAATTCAAGCATGAGATCCCAGAACAAGAGCATTAAAGGAGAGAAATGAAGTCATGAAGACAACAAAATATCCGGATAAAGGCAACTGACCAGACTTGAATACTTATCCCAAGAAACCAGGAACTGTTTACATGTTGGTATTTCCCATTGCTTCCAAAATCCAAGAATCATAGACCATCGAGAACTGCTCTGTGCCAGGCTCAGTGTAAGGCTCAGTAGTCACAGACCTCTTCCTCAATAAAGGTAGATGTAAACACACTCCTCTGAGTCTCCTCTATCATACCGCTTATTAGGTGATATTGTCAGGTACATGCTGGGAACATTAAGGAGGTAGGAGATGGCATCTTGGAAAGCTTCAGGAATGAAGTGTGAATTAAATCTCAGATAATGAGTCACAGCTGGCCAGATAATTAGGAAAAGCATATGGACAGGCACAGAGGTACGAAGAGGGTCCCTCTTGGCAGAATGAAGCAACAGGCTGCCTTTTGACTGAGGCTCCACATTGGCGAAGGAACTTCGATGTGTACACAGTCGCTGGGATCAACTCACAGGACTATTAATAAAAAGGAAGATATTCATCATACAAATCTAAACTCATTTCATCAACTGGTATGTACTATGAATTAATTTTCTTTTCTTTCCTTTTTTTTTTTTTTTTTTTTTGTGACGGAGTTTCACTCTTGTTGCCCAGGCTGGAGTGCAATGGTGCGATCTTGGCTCACCGCAACCTCCGCCTCCTGGGTTCAAGTGATTCTCCTGCCTCAGCCTCCCGAGTAGCTGAGATTACAGGCATGCACCACCATGCCTGGCTAATTTTTTTGTGTTTTTAGTAGAGACGGGGTTTCTCCATGTTGGTCAGCTGGTCTCAAACTCCCGACCTCAGGTAATCCACCCACCTCAGCCTCCCAAAGTGCTGGGATTACAGGTGTGAGCCACCACGCCCGGCCTATGAATTAATTTTCTAGAGTTAACCTTATAGTTATGAATAGCACAACAATAAACCATTATGTTTTTTGTGTATCAGAGGCATAATTGGTAGATGAAAACCTATAAAATATGCTACAGAAAATGTTTGGACATGTCTTCAAGTTTGAACTACAAATGTAAGTGTCCCTGGCTATCCTCAACTTCTGTGAAGTTCTGGGTATGAAAGAATGTGGTCTGCAATTGGAAAGAGTGGGAAACTAAGTTTGGTTGGTACCTAGAGTGGTGTTAGTGGCTGGAAGAGATCATTGAAGTTAATTGGAGACAATTTCTTAAGGGTCTTGAACACCGTAATGAGTTTGAACTTTGTTCTTTGGGCAAGGGGAGCCTTTGGATATTTAAAACAAGAAAGTACTGAGATGGCATGTAGGTTTTAGGATTATTAACCACTTTAAAGTTAAAATCTGTTTCTATTATGCTTTACAGTTAGCAAGATATGTTATTTTATTTTATTTTTTGTTTTTTGGGGTTTTTTTTTTGTTTTTGAGACAGAGACTCGCTCTGTCATCCAGGATGGAGTGCAGTGGCACAATCTCAGCACACTGCAACCTCTGCCTCCCAGGTTCAAGCGATTCTCGTACCTCAGCGTCCTGAGTAGCTGGGATTACAGGCCTGCGCCACCATGCCTGACTAATTTTTGTATTTTTAGTAGACACAGGGTTTCACCATGTTGCCCAAGTTGATCTCCACCTCCTGGACTCAAGGGATCCATCCACCTCAGCCTCCCAAAGTGCTGAGATTACAGGGATGAGCCCCAGCGCCTGGCTACAGTTAGAAAGATACTTTAATATATATTATTATTTAGTCTTTATACATTAGTTTATTATATATATAAAATGATTAACACTTAAAATAGGTATTTTCCGTGTTTTTATTTATTTATTTATTTGAGACAGAGTCTTACTCTGTCACCCAGCTGGAGTGCAGTGGCACGATCTCAGCTCACTGCAGCCTCCACCTCCTGGGTTCAAGCGATTCTTGTGCCTCACGAATAGCTGGGACTACAGGCGCACACCACCAAGCCTGGCTAATTTTTGTATTTTTAGTAGAGACAGGGCTTCTCCATGTTGGCCAGACTGGTTTCGAACTCCTGGCCTCAAGTGATCCACCCTCTTCAGCCTCCCAAAGTGCAGGGATTACAGGCATGAACCACTGCACCCAGCCAGGAAACTGTGGTTTGGAGATGTTAAATAACTTTCCCAAATTCACCTACCTAATAAAATGGGGAACTGGGTTTCAAACATCCATCTGCCAACTCTCATATGTATACTTGGTCATACCATTTTGTAATCATTGGAGCTAGTAGATCAAAGTAAAATGCATTGCTTCATGAAGTAATAATTTCCCAACACTGGAAATATGACAGAAGAGACTGGATAACAAGTCAGGAATGGCTCAGGGGCTGTGGCATACACCTGTAATCCTTGCATTTTGGAAGGCTGAGGTGGGAGGCTCGCCTGAGTCCAGGAGTTCAAGACCAGCCTGGGTAACATAGTGAGACCTCATCACTATAAAAAGTTTTTAAAACTTAGCCTACAGTCCCAGCTAGTCCAGAGGCTGAGGTAGGAGGATCACTTCATCTTAGAAGACTGAGATTACAGTAAACCAAGATCATGCGACTCCATCCCAGCCTGGATGACAGAGTGAGATCCTATCTCCCCTCCCCCTCTTTCTGTGTCTCTGTCTCTGTCTCTCTGTCTCTCTCTCTCTCTCTCACACACACACACACATACACACACTAGTCAGGGATGGTGCACAGTACTACTCAGGTGCACAGTACTTTAGCATGAGAGAAAGTAGAGTAGATTATCTTTAATCTTCCTTCAGATTCTAAGAGCCATAGAGTTGAAGACATGGATTTGAGAATGAAACCTGTCCCTTACTAGTTGTGAGACTCCGAGGAAGTCATCTAACCTCTGAGTTTTTCCTCTTATGTAAAATAAAGGTAATACCTGGCCAAGAGCAGTGGCTCACTCCTGTAATCCCAGCACTTTGGGAGACCAAGGCGGGTGGATCATGTGAAGTCAGGAGTTCAAGACCAGCCTGGGCAACATGGTAAAACTCCGTCTCTACGAAAAATACAAAAATTAGCCGGGCATGGTGGTGTATGACTGTAGTCCCAGCTACTGGGAAGGCTGAGGCATAAGAATCGCTTGAACCTAGGAGGTGGAGGTTGCGGTGAGCAGAGATTGTGCCATTGCACTCCAGTTTGGGCAACAGAGCGAGACTCTGTCTCAAAAAAAAAAAAAAAAAAAACCCAGGCCGGGCGCGGTGGCTCACGCCTGTAATCCCAGCACTTTGGGAGGCCGAGGCGGGCGGATCACGAGGTCAGGAGATCGAGACCATCCCGGCTAAAACGGTGAAACCCCGTCTCTACTAAAAATACAAAAAATTAGCCGGGCGTAGTGGCGGGCGCCTGTAGTCCCAGCTACTCGGGAGGCTGAGGCAGGAGAATGGCGTGAACCCGGGAGGCGGAGCTTGCAGTGAGCCGAGATCCCGCCACTGCACTCCAGCCTGGGCGACACAGCGAGACTCCGTCTCAAAAAAAAAAAAAAAAAAAAAAACCCAAAAAACAAAAAAACCTTAGTTTCCTTATATATCAAATGGGATAACAATAGCTACATAATTTGATGGATATTATAAAAACTGAAGGAGATTATGTGTTCAAAGAAGGTCAATAGTTCTCCACCTTAATTGCACATTAGATTCACCTGGGGAACTTTTTAAAAAAATAGACTTTTCTTCCTTTCATGTCTTCTTCTTTTTTTTTTTTTTTTTTTGAGACAGGGTCTCCATATTGAGACCTGGAATACCTGAAATATTATTGCTTCTAGGTTTTAAAATAGATCTTCTTCCTTTTTTTCTTTTTTTTTTTTCAAGACGGAGTCTTGCTCTGTCACCAAGCTGGAGTGCAGTGGCGCAATCTCAGCACACTGCAACCTCCACCTCCCAGGTTCAAGCGACTCTTCTGCCTCAGCCTCCAGGGTAGCTGGGACTACAGGCGAATGCCACCACACCCAGCTAATTTTTATAGTTTTAGTAGAGACAAGGTTTCACCATGTTGGCCAGGATGGTCTCGATCTCTTGACCTCAAAATCCACCCGCCTTGGCCTCCTAAAGTGCTGGGATTACAGGTGTGAGCCGTCACGCCTGGCCTTTTTTTTTTTTTTTTTTTTCAGACAAGGTCTCAATACTGAGACCAGGCTGGCCCGAAACCAACCCACATTCCAGGCCAGGCCTCAAACTCCTGGACTCCAGTGATCTTCTCACTTGAGCCTCCCAAGTAGCTGCAACTACAACCACATGCCACCTTTCTCTGCTGCTCATATATTTTTAGTGCTAAATAATATCCCACTGTATAGATATACTACAGTTTATCTATTCACCTGCCAAAGGACATCTTTTGTTGCTTCCAGGTTTTGGCAATTATGAATAAAGCAGCTATAAGCATATATATGCAGGTTTTTGTGTGGACATTAGTCTTCTGCTCTTTTGGGTAAATACCAAGCAGTATGACTGCTGGATTGTAAAGTAGGAATATTTTTTTTTTTTGAGATGGCATCTTGCGCTGTCCCCCCAGCTGGAGTGCAGTGACATGATCTCAGCTCACTGCAACCTCCGCCTCCCAGGTTCAAGCAGTTCTCCTGCTTCAGCCTCCTGGAGTATTTTTAGTTTTATAAGAAACTGTCAAACTGTCTCCCAAAGTGGCTCTACCATTTCACATTCTCACCATCAAGGAATGAGAGTTCTTGCTCCATATTCTTGCCGGCATTTGGTATTGTCAGTGTTTTGGATTTTTGCCGTTCTAATAGGTGTTTAGTGTTATCTTATTGTTGTTTTAATTTGTAATTCCTTAATGATATATGATCTCAAACATCTTTTCATATGCTTATTTGTCATCCATATGTCTTCTTTAGTGAGATGTCTGTTCAGGTCTTTTGCCCATTTTTAAAATCATGGCATTCATTTTCTTCTTATAAGTTTTAAGAGTTCTTTGTAAGCCTGGGTAATATACTAAGACCGCATCTCTACAAAAAAAAAAATTTTTTTAATTAGCTGAGTGCAGTGGTGCACACTTGTGGTTCCAGCTACTTGGGAGGCTGAGGTAGAAGGATGTCTTGAGTCCAGTGGGTCTGAGACAGCAGTGAGCCATGATCACACCACTGCACTCTAGCCTGGGCAACGGATCAACAACCTATCTCAAAAAAAAAAGGTTATTTGATGATAAAAGTCCTTTATCCAATATGTCTTTCGCAAATATTTTCTCCACCTGGGGAACTTTTAAAATTCTGAGTGTCCAAGATATACCTCAGGCCACTTCAATCAGGATCTCTGAAAATAGGATCCAGGCATCAGTTTTTTTGTTTTGTTTTGTTTTGTTTCTTTTTCTGAGATGGAGTCTTGCTCCACTGACCAGGCTGGAGTGCAATGACACAGTCTTGGCCCACTGCAACCTCCACCTTCCAGGTACAAGTAATTCTCCTGCCACAGCCTTCTGAGTAGCTGGGACTACAGGTGTGTGCCACCACACCTGGCTAATTTTGTATTTTTATTAGAGAGGGGGTTTACGCAATGTTGGCAAGACTGGTCTCAAACTTCTGACCTCGTGATCTGCTTGCCTCGGCCTCCCAAAGTGTTGGATTACAGGCGTGAGCCACTGCGCCCAACCTTTTTTCTTTTTTTTTTTTTTTTTAAGCGTAGTCTCACTCTCGCCCAGGGTGGAGTGCAGTGGTGCAATCTCAGCAAACTGTAATCTCTACCTCCCGGGTTCAAGCAATTATCCTGCCTCAGCCTCCTGTATAGCTGGGATAACAGGCACCTGCCACCATGCCCAGATAATTTTTGTGTTTTTAGTAGAGATGGGTTTTCACCGTGTTGCCCAGGCTGCTCTTGAGCTCCTGGCCTCAGGTGATCTGCCCACCTTGGCCTCCCAAAGTGCTGAGATTACAGGCATGAGCCACCACACCCGGCTTTTTTCTTTTTTATTTGAGACAGAGTCTTGCTCTGTCACCCAGGCTGGAGTGCAGTGGCACGGTCTCCGCTCACTGCAACCTCCGCCTCCCGGGTTCAAGCACTCCTTTCACCTCAGCCTCCTGGGTAGCTAGGACTACAGGTACTCACCAGCACACCTGGTTAATTTTTGTATGTTTTGTAGAGACGGGGATTTTGCTATGTTGCCCACGCTGGTCTTAAACTCTTGAGCTGAAGTGATTTGCCCAGCTTGACCTCCCAAAGTGTTGGGATTACAGGCAAGCCACTGTGCCTGGCCCATATTTTTTTCTTTAAATATTCTTTTAATCAGTATTAGCATTGAAAAATATTTGACTTTCTTTTTTTTTGAGATGTAGTTTCACTCTTGTTGCCCAGACTGGAGTGCAATGGCGTGATCTCGGCTCACTGCAACCTTTGCCTCTCAGGTTCAGGTAATTCTGCCTCAGCCTCCCGAGTAGCTGGATTTAGGGGCATGCGCCAGCACACCCAGCTAATTTTGCATTTTTAGTAGAGACGGGGTTTCTCCATGTTGGTCAGGATGGTCTCAAACTCCGGACCTCAGGTGATCTGCCCGCCTTGACCTCCCAAAGTGCTGGGATTATAGGCATGAGCCACCGTACCTGGCCAGACTTTCTACATTTAATGTATCTTTCATATAATTTTAATTATATTTGAAAAACTTCGAATAATTGAATAATGTTGTTTCCCTGCTTCACTATCTCTTCCCATATCTGTGATAGCTCTTCCACTTCAAGAATGAAATCAAGGCCAGGTGCAGTAGCTCATGCCTGTAATCCCAGCACTTTGGGAGGCTGAGGTGGATGGATCACCTGAGGTCAGGAGTTCAAGACCAGCTAGGCCAACATGGCAAAACCCCATCTCTACTAAAAATACAAAAATTATCTGGGCGTTGTGGTGGGTGCCTGTAATCCCAGCTACTCGGGAGGCTGAGGCAGGAGAATCACTTGACTCAGGGAGGCAGAGGTTGCAGTGAGCCGAGATCATGCCATTGCACTCCAGCCTGGGCGACAAGAGTAAAACTTCGTCTCAAAAAAAAAAAAAGAAAAAGCCGGGCATGTTGGCTAATGCCTGTAATCCCAGCACTTTGGGAGGCCGAGGCAGGTGGATCACCTGAGGTCAGGAGTTCAAGACCAGCTTGGTCAACATGGTGAAACCCCGTCTCTACTAAAAATACAAGAATTATCTGGGCGTGGTGTTAGGTGCCTGTAATCCCAGCTACTCGGGAGGCTGAGGCAGGAGAATCACTTGAACCTGAGAGGTGGAGGTTGCAGTGAGCCAAGATTGCACCACTGCACTCCAGCCTGGGTGACAGAACAAGACTCCGTCTCAAAAAAAAAAAAAAAAAGAAAGAAATTAAAACACCTCAACATTACATTCAGTGCCCTTCACAATATGCTGCCTTTCCATTCTTCCATTCTCATCTCTTGACATCACGCCCATTGTCTCAGGCTTACTGGTTGTTGTCAGTCTGTAGACATAAGACATCGGTATATATATATATATATATATATATATATATATATTTTTTTTTTTTTTTTTTTTTTTTTTTTGAGACGGAGTCTTGCTCTGTCAACTAGGCTGGAGTGCAGTGGCACGATCTTGGCTCACTGCAAGCTCCGCCTCCTGGCTTGACGCCATTCTCCTGCCTCAGCCTCCCGAGTAGCTGGAACTACAGGTGCCCACCACCATGCCCGACTAATTTTTTTGTATTTTTAGTAGAGACGGGGTTTCACAGTGTTAGCCAGGATAGTCTCAATCTCCTGACCTCGTGAACCGCCTGCCTCGGCCTCCCAAAGTGCTGGGATTACAGGTGTGAGCCACTGCGCCCGGCGGCATCAGTACTTCTTAAAGAGCTCTAGGTCACCAATGTGTAGCCAAGGCTGAGAACCACTGACCTAGGTCAATATAATAATAATAACATATTGGCCTCAAATGATCTGCCTGCCTCTGCCTCCCAAAGTGCTGAGATTATGAGTGTGAGCCACTGCACCCAGCTTGTCTCTAATAAAACTTTAAAGAAAATCTTGCCAATGCCGTCTCGAAATTCAGTTACATCAATTATATCATCTCAATAACATTCGGGGAAGCTGGGTTAAGGGCATATAGAAAATTTTAGGCCAGGCACAGTGGCTCATGCCTGTAATCCCAGCACTTTGGGAGGCCAAGGCGAGTGGATCACGAGGTCAGGAGTTCAAGACCAGCCTGACCGATATGATGAAACCCCGTCTCTACTAAAAATACAAAAATTAGCTGGGCGTGGTGGCATTCACCTGTAGTCCCAGCTACTCGGGAGGCTGAGGCAGGACAATCGCTTGAACCCGGGAGGTGGAGGTTGCAGTGAGCCAAGATCGCCCCACTGCACTCCAGCCTTGGCGACAGAGGGAGACTCCATCTCAAAAACTAAAAAAAAAAAAAGAAAATTTTTAATTACCTTTGCAACTTTTATAACCCCAAACTTATTTCAAAATAAAAAGTTAAATAAGAAGTAAGTTTAGCTTGAGATGACTAATTCTTAGTAATGCTGTCTTCTAAGAATCACTGCTTATTTTCTAAAGATTTCAAAAATGATTATTTAAAAATAAATTCTGGAATTTGGACAATTTGTTACATGATTCACTATATCTTACCATGTCCCTTGGTAGTGAAGAAAAAAAAAATAATAGTTGTAAAATTCGTGTGCTTTATGTTTCTAGTTAGTTGTTCCATGGCTAAAAAAATCTTTCTATAATATGCTCTTTGTAAACATCCTGTCCCTTTTATCTTAAGGAAAATTATTCTTGCCAATAAATAAAATATGTATTACTCTGCATAAACTTTACTTGTATACATAATATTACTCTGCATAAACATACTTGGATACATAATAATTACTTTATAAGCCCAGTTAAAAGAAAAGTGGGATCTAATTTGTAAAAATGTATTCAATAGAAAACTTTCAAGAACCCAGGGCCAGGCAAGATGGCTCACTCCTGTAATCCTAGCACTTTGGTAGGCTGAGGCAGGAGGGTGGATCACTTGAGCCCAGGAGTTAGCGACCAGCCTGGGCAAGGTAGAGAGACCCCATCTCTTTAAGAAAAATAAATTTTTATTTTTAATCTAAAGTTTTTTTTTTTTAAAGAAAACTTTCAAGAACCTAAATTCTGTAGATAATTATATTTTCTTATTATAGATTGCAAAATGTGCACATTAGGGGAAAAAGTTATATAATTGTTGTATGATTTTGAAAACTGGGGCCAGGGGTGGCTCATGCCTGTAATCCCAGCACTGTGGGAGGCCACCGAGGTGGGTGGATTACCTGAGGTCAGGAGTTCGAGACCAGCCTGACCAACATGGTGAAACCCCATCTCTACTAAAAATACAAAATTAGCCGGGCGTGGTGGCCTATGCCTGTAATCCCAGCTACTCAGGAGGCTGAGGCAGGAGAATCGTTTGAACCAGGGAGGTGGAAGTTGCAGTGAGCCAAGATTGTGCCACTGCACTCCAGTCTGGGCAACAGAGCGAGACTCCATCTCAACGACAACAACAAAAATGTCCTAATTGCTTAGAAATTCATGCAAAATTATTTATAGGTAAAATGATATGGTAATTAGGATTACTTCAAGGTCATTTGAGTGGACAGTGAGTAGAGTACAGATGAACACAATTGGCCATATACTGAGTAGATCCATTGAATATTAATAATGGGTATATTATAGTACATAATTATACTAGTGTTTATACTTTTTGTATGTAATGAAATTTTGTAATTTTTTTTAAATATGGGAGGACTAGGAGGATAAAGGAAGCAATACTGACACAGTATTTCTAGGCAATCTGAGAGAAATATTTCTTAATAAACGTATCATTTAACCAAATTAGTATCTATGGAAAGGGAGACAGCTATAGTTATATGCTTACGCTTTTTAATTTTTTTATAATTAAAAAATTTTTAATTACTTTTAAATAAGAGACAGGGTCTTGCTGTGTTGCCCAGGCTGGTCTCAAACACCTGGGCTCAAGCAGTCAGCCCACCTCAGCCTCTTAAAGTGCTAGGATTACAGGCATGAGCTACTGCATCCAGCTTACTGAAGCTTTATAAAACTTAAAATAGTTTAAGTAAATGTGTTCCTGTATTTACTTTGTTACATAAAAAATTAAACAGGTACCATTATTCTAGGAAAAAACAAAAGGAATGACTATTTTAAAAATTAACTTAAAAAATACTTGTACAGGGCTCATTATGTACCCAGTCACCACTTCAAGTACTTTTTTTTTTTTTTTGGAGACGGAGTCTCGCTGTGTTGCCCAGGCTGGAGTGCAGTGGCACCATCTTGGCTCACTGCAGCCTCTGCCTCCCGGGTTCAAGCAATTCTCCTGTCTCAACCTCCCGAGTAGCTGGGACGACAGGTACCTGCTACCACGCCTGGCTAATTTTTGTATTTTTAGTAGAGACAGGGTTTCACCATATTGGTTAGGCTGGTCTCGATCTCCTAACCTCAGATGATCCACCTGCCTCAGCCTCCCAAAGTGCTGGGATTACAGACATGAGCCACTGTGCCCAGCCTCAAGTACTTGTACTAACTCATTTAATCCTCCTAACAATCCTTAAAAGGAGATAATGTTACTATGTCCATTTTACAGATAGGGAAACCAAGACCTGCAGAGATTAATTTGTGTAAGATTACACATCTGGTAAATGACAGGGCAGATTTTGAATTTAAAAAGTCGGTGCAGAAGCTCCTAGCTGTCTCTCTAGGTTAAATGATTTTTTTTCCCTGATGACAAGAAGTAATACACCTTGAGGAATCAAGCCTATAGAAATTATAGTGATTGCAGAAAAAGAAATATACCAGGATGTTTACTGTAGAATTTTTGTATTTGTTAAATATTGAAAACAGCCTATATGTCCTGTCAATGGCAGAGTGAACAAATAAAATATGAGACATTCATCTAATCTGTGAAGATGTTAAAAAGAAGACTGACTGGCTGGGCACGGTGGCTCACGCCTGTAATCCCAGAACTTTGGGAGGCTGAGTTGGGGGTGGTGCTGGGGTCGGGGGGAGCAGTGGATCACGAGGTCAGGAGTTTGCGACCAGCTAGTTCAAGACCAGCCTGGCCAACATGGTGAAACCCTGTCTCTACTAAAAATACAAAAATTAGTTGGTGTGGGCCAGGCACGGTGGCTCATGCCTGTAATCCCAGCACTTTGGGAGGCCGAGGCAGGCGGATCACAAGGTCAGGAGTTCGAGACCAGCCTGACGAACATGGTGAAACCCTGTCTCTACTAAAAATACAAACATTAGCCGGGCATGGTAGTACGCGCCTATAATCCCAGCTACTCAGGAGACTAAGGCAGGAGAATTGCTTGAACCCAGGAGGCGGAGGTTGCAGTGAGCCGAGATCTCACCATTGCACTCCAGCCTGGGTGACAGAGTGAGACTCCATCTCAAAAAAGAAAAAAAAAATTAGTCCGTGTGGTGGCATGCACCTGTTATCCTAGCTACTTGGGAGGCTGAGGCAGGAGAATTGCTTGAGCCTGAGGCAGAGGTTGCAGTGAGCCAAGATAGCACCACTACACTCTAGCCTGGGCCACAGAGCAAGACTGTCTCGGGAAAAAAAAGAAGACTGACTTAGAGAAATGACAAATATTTTAAACTGGAATAGAAAGTTGCAGAATCATGAACACATTAAGATCTCATTTTAAAAAAGTTAGGCCAAGCACGTGGTTCAAGCCTGTAATCCCAGCACTTTGGGAGGGCAAGGCAGGTGGATCACTTGAGGTTAGGAGTTTGAGACCAGCTTGGCCAACATGGTGAAACGTTGTCTCTACCAAAAATACAAAATTAGCCGAGCATGGTGGCAGGTGCCTGTAATCCCAGTTACTCAGGAGGCTGAGGCAGGAGAATTGCTTGAACCTGGGAGGTGGAGGTTGCGGTGAGCCAAAATGGTGTCACTGCACTCCAGCCTGGGTGACAGAGTGAGACTTTGTCTCATAAAGAAGAAAAAAAAAAAGAACATGCATCAAACTATTAAGTGATTATCTCTGAAAGGCAGATTGGAAGAAAGGGAGAGGACTTTGATCTTTTTTAAATATTCCTCTTTAGTGTTTGAATTCTTTTACAATCATTTTTGCAATAAAAACAAATTTAATGGAGCCAGGTATGGTGGCACATGACTGTAGTTCCAGCTACTCTAGAGGCTGAGGCAGGAGGATCGCTTCAGCCCAAGAGTTCAAGGTTACAGTGAGCTATGATCATGCTATGCACTCAAGCCTGGACAACAGAGTGAGACCCTATCTCTAGAAAAAAAAAATAGTGTAATGCATACAGAGAGTGGAAAAATTGGAAAATTCACAAAAGAAAAAAGAAAGAAAACAATAATCACCTTCCATTTTAAGATTATTATTATTAACATTTTGATAACATTTCTATGGTCTTTTTTCTAGACATATATATAAAAATATAAAATATATTTAACAGACTGATCATATTGTTAAACAATATGAAGTTAAACAAGTCTTAAGCCTTTTTCTTGGACATTTTATATCAACAAAGTGCAAAATTCATCTATCCATAACCATCCAAATGTATCTGTTATTCAACAAGTTGTTTTATCCCTTTTATCAGCTAACTAAAGAAGCCTGAGAGCTGGGCTTTTTTAGCTGAGCCAGGAAAAGTAGCTGCTTTATTTCAGCCATGAGGATTACACGTCTATGCTCCGAGAGCCCCCGTCTGCAGAAGCAGAGTTAAAGCAGTGAGCAGTTATCCAGCAAAGCTGCTTAGGAAAAAAAAAATCCATCTAGGTCATTCAAAATCCAAATTATCTTTTACTTCCCTGGAGGTCATTTGCCATACATTACCTGAACACTTGTCTATAAAACCAAGGTGGATAAATTAGAAAAATTCTAATTTATCCTGAGATAAATTAGAGCCTGGGGAATAGTATTATATTTACTAGGTAAATATCAATGTCTTGATAACACCTGAAGTCTATATATACCTATTATTAATGTGGGCATGTGGATGTGCTGAGGTGAAAATTTTACAGATTAAGGCAGGGTGCTTCACGACCAAGGAAATTAGCCACCAAACTTTCAAGGAACTATCTAAACTAATTTTTCTTTGAAAATTATCCCGAAATTTCTTTAAGTTTATATTCAGTTTTCTAATAGGTACATGATATATAGATAAATACACTTTTAATAAGTGCTTTATTGAAATATAACTCACATTACATGAAGTTTATACTTTGAAAGTATACATTCCAGGGGTTTTTAGTATATTAGCAAACTTGTGCATCAGTAACCACTATGAAATTCTAGGACATTTTCATCACCCTACAAAAAAAATTTAAAAACTAGAATGGGCGCAGTGGCTCACACCTGTAAGACCAGCACTTTGGGAGACCGAGGCGGGTGGATCACCTGAGGTCAGGAGTTCGAGACAAACCTGGCCAATATGGTGAAACCCCATCTCTACTAAACATACAAAAATTAGCCGGGCATGGTGGCACGTGCCTGTAATCCTAGCTACTCAGGAGACTGAGGCAGGAGAATTGCTTGAACCCAGGATGCGAAGGTTGCAATAAGCCGAGATCACACCATTGCAGCTTGGGCGACAAGAGGGAAACTTCGTCTCAAAAAAAAAAAAAAAAATTTTAAAAACTCATGCTCATTAGCAGTCACCCCACATTCTCCTCAACCCTCAGTTCCTGTAAACCACTGATTTATTTTCTGTCTTTATGGATTTGCCTACTCAGGATATTTCATATAAATGGGATGATACAACATGTGACCTTTCATATCTGGCTTCTTTCATTTAGCGTATATTCAAGGTTCATCCGTATTGTAGTTTATATCAGAGCTTCATTCCTTTTTATAGCTGAATAATAGTCCATTGCATTTATATACTACATTTTCTTTGTGTATTAGTGGACATTTGGGTGTTTCCATTTTTTTGTTATTATGAATAATGCTGGTAAAAACATTCAAGTATAAGTTTTTGGGTAGATATTTATGTTTTCAATTATTTTTGATACATACATAGGAGGGGAATTGCTGAGCCATATAGTAACAATATATTTAGCTTTTTGAGGAATTATCAAATGTTTTCCAAAGTGGCTGGACCATTTTACATTCCCACCAACAGTTTACAAGTGTTCTAATTTCTCCATATACTCACCAACACTTGTTATTATCTGACTTTTTAATTATAGCCATCCTAGTGTGTATGAAGTAGCATCTTGTTGTGATTTTGATTTGCATTTCTCTAAGGACTAATCGTTGAGCATCTTTTATGTGCTTATTTGGCTATTCATATATCATCTTTAGAGAAATGTCTATTCAAACTTCAAACCCTTTATTTTTAAACTAACTTGTTGGGTTTCTTTTTTTTTTTTTTTTTTAAACAGGGTCTCACTCTATCACCCAGGTTGCAGTGCAGTGATACAATCATAGCTCACTGCAGCCTCAAACTCCTGGGCCAAGCAATCTTCCCACCTCAGCCTCCTGAGTAGCTGGAACTATAGGCATGCGCCACTATGCTCCCCTAATATTTGTCTTTCCATTGTTGAGTTGTAACTATTCTTTATATATTGTATCCTGGATACATGTCTCTTGTGAGATAAACAATTTGCAAATGAAAAAATGGATTTTCTCCTTTTTTTTTTTTTTTTCTGAGACGGAGTTTCACTCTTGTTGCCCAGGCTGGAGTGAAATGGCGTGATCTCAGCTCACTGCAACCTCAGCCTCCCAGGTTCAAGCAATTCTCCTGCCTCAGCCTCCCGGGTAGCTGGGATTACAGGCATGCACCACCACACCCAGCTAATTTTGTATTTTTAGTAGAGACCAGGTTTCTCCATGTTGTTCAGGCTGGTCTTGAACTCCCAACCTCAGGTGATCCACCCACCTTAGCCTCCCAAAGTGCTGGGATTACAGGCGTGAGCCACTGCACCTGGCCGCCCTTTTAATTTCTTCATAGTGTCCTTTGAAGCACAAAAGTTTTTAACTTTGAATTTTAATTTTTTATTAAATTGAAGTTTTATTGAAGTTTTATTTTTTATTTTGTCACATGTGCTTTTGGCATGTAAGGAACCACTGCCTCATCCAAGAGCATGGAAATTTACATCTGTGTTTTCTGCCGAGTGTGGTGGCTCACACCTGTAATCCTAGCACTTCGGAAGTCTGAGGCGGGTGGATCACCTGAGGCCAGGAGTTCGCGACCAGCCTGGTCAACATGGCCAAACCCCATCTCTACTAAAAATAGAAAAATTGGCCAGGCATGGTGGCACGTGCCTGTAATCCCAGCTACTCGGGAAGCTGAGGCAGAAAAATCGCTTGAACCCAGGAGCCGGAGGTTGCAGTGAGCCGAGATCATGCCACCGCACTCCAGCCTGGGTGACAGAGTGAGACTCCATCTCAAAAAATACATCTGTGTTTTCTTCTGAGTTTTATCATTTTAGATTGTACATTTAGGCTTAGGATCCATTTTGAATTAATTTTTGTTTATGTTGTAAGGCAGGAATCCAACTTTATTATCCTTTTTTGGATTAAAGAAATGAATAAATGGATACCTGATCATTTCAGCACCATTTGTTGAAATGACTCTTCTTACCTCATGAATTTCCATGGCGCTCTTGTTGAAACTCAGGTGCCCATAAATGTAAAGGTTTATCAGGATTCTCAATTTGGTTTCATTGATCTGTATTTCCATCCATATGCCAGTAGCTCCATGACTTGATTACTGTGGCTTTGTAGTGTGTTTTGAAATCAGGCAGTGTGAATCCTCCAACATTTTTTCTTTTTTTCTCCTTTTAAAAATTATCATGGGCTGGGCGTGGTGGTTCATGCCTGTAATCCCAGCACTTTGGGAGGCTGAGGCAGGCAGATCACGAGGTCAGGAGTTCGAGACCACCCTGGCCAACATGGTGAAACCCCGGCTCGACTAAAAATACAAAAAATTAGCCGGGTGTGGTGGCAGGTGCCTGTAATCCCAGCTATTCAGGAGGCTGAGTCAGGAGAATTGCTTGAACCTGGGAGGCAGAGGTTGCAGTGAGCCACTGCACTCCAACCTGGGCAACAGAGCAAGACTCCATCTCAAAAAAAAAAAAAATATGGCCAGGCGTGGTGGCTCATGCCTGTAATCCCAGCAATTTGAGAGGCTGAGGAGTGTGGATCACCTGAGGTCAGGAGTTTGAGACCAGCCTGGTCGACATGGTGAAAACCCGACTCTGCCAAAAATACAAAAATTAGCCAGGCATGGTAGCAGGCACCTGTAATCCCAGCTACTCGGGAGGCTGAGGCAGGAGAATCACTTGAACCCGGGAGATGGAAGTTGCAGTGAGCCGAGTTCACACCATTGCACTCCAACCTGGGCAACAAGAGCAAAACTGCATCTCAAAAAATAAAATAAAATAAAAATTACTGTGGCCATTCTGGGTTTCTTACGTTTCTATATAAATTTTAAGATTAGGCCGGGCGCAGTGGTTCACGCCTGTAATCCCAGCACTTTGGGAGGCTGAGGCAGGAGAATTGCTTGAACCCAGGAGGCAGAGGTTGTAGTGAACTGAGATTGCGCCAGTGCATTCCAGCCTGGGTGACACAGCAAGACTCTGTCTTAAAAAATAAATAAATAGGCCAGGCGCAGTGGCTCACACCTGTAATCCCAGCACTTTGGGAGGCCGAGGCGGGCGGATCATGAGGTCAGGAGATCGAGACTATCCTGACAAACACGGTGAAACCCCATCTCTTCTAAAAATACAAAAAAAAAAAAAAAAAATTAGCCAGGCGTGGTGGCGGGTGCCTGTAGTCCCAGCTACTGGGGAGGCTGAGGCAGGAGAATGGTGTGAACCTGGGAGGCGGAGCTTGCAGTGAGCCGAGATGGCGCCACTGCACTCCAGCCTGGGCAACAGAGTGAGACACGGTATCAAAATAAATAAATAAATAAATAAAATAAAATAAAAATAAAATAAATTTTAAGATTAGCATGTTAGTTATAAAACAAGACAGCTGATTTTTATAGGGCTTGCATTCAGTTTATAGATCAATTTCAAAAGTATTAAGGTTTTAATAATATCAGATTTTCTAATTTATAAACATAGAATGTGTTCCCATTTATTTAGTCTGCCCACCTCGGCCTCCCAAAGTGCTGGGATTACAGGTGTAAGCCACCACACCCAGCCCTGGATATACATTTTTAAGAGACAGGACCACCATCATTTAAAGTATGTAACTCAGCCAGGCACAGTGGCTCACACCTGTAATCCCAGCACTTTGGGAGGCCAAGGTGGGCGGATCACTTGAGTTCAGGAGTTCAAGACCAGCCTGGCCAACATGGTGAATCCCCATCTCTGCTAAAAATACAAAAATTAGATGGGTGTGGTAGCGCACGCCTGTAGTCCCAGCTACTCGGGAGGCTAAGGCAGGAGAATCACTTGAACCTGGGAGGCAGAGGTTGTAGTGAGCCGAGATGGTGCCACTGCACTCCAGCCTGGGTGACAGAGCGAGACTCCCTCTCAATCAATCAATCAATAAATAGTATGTAACTCAATGATCTATACAGTCTATTTTACCCATTTTCCCTGGTCCCATTAAAAAAAAACAACCACCTGGTAAAATGAGGTTGAAAAAGATTTCTGTATACCTAGGTGCCAAAGGTGAAATTCTTCATCATAAACATTTAAGGATTGAATATTAGCAGGGCTATCAGTTACACTTAGAACACTAAAGTAGTTGTTGGTGATTCATTATAGGTGAGTTTTGGCCTTTTGCTCCTGTCCAAGTTGGAAACACCTTCCACACTCAGGTTTTGTTGGTTAATAAAGTTTTGACCACAGTAATTCCTGAATATTAATGAAAAGAGTGAGTCAAAGTAGTAAATGACCTGGTTAATATGTACTGGTATGATTCAAACTTACTATACAAAGATACTCATTCTAAGGAACTTACTTTGTCCTTCTCAATCTTGAGGAAAGTTAGCTATATTGAGTGTTCTGCAATCTCACTAACCATTGCATAATTTTCCTTATGATATCCTACTTTATCAAGGGGTGGTTAGCCTTTGCCTTACTCTCTTCCAGCTTTTTAAAAACACATTCTTTGTAACCAAATAAAAATGAAATCTGTTTTATTCTTCTTTCACACTCAAAACAAGCTTTTGATATTCTTGGAGTTTTTGTTTTGTTTAGCAAAATCAACCTATGTCCTTTCATTAATGGTCTGGAATCTTATTAGCAAACAAAATTTGCAGGTGGCTTTTATGTTACTGTTAGTATCACACTGTGTACAGAGGGGACATGGAAGACACTAAAAATAACTAATCTAACCTCAGTAAATGTACTGCACTATATGGGCTGAATATTCTCACAGACTTAAAGCTCTGAGTAAGATAGTATTCATTCCTAGAACAAATGATAATTGAAATCTTTATTCTCTTCTCTTTTAGGGTTCCCCACTTCCTCTTTCCCCCTAACCTGGGCATAGCTACAGGGTTTGTGTGTGTGTGTGTGTGTGTGTGTGTGTGTAAAGAAATGACTTGTAGTCTCAAAAAACTAAGCACAGAACCTTCTTTGCATAGTGATTTCTTCTATCATATACATTCTATATTGTCACATTCATGAAATTACAACAGAATTTGTAATAATACAGCAATGGCTGTTCTCCATTTGAACTATTTTAGTCACTGAAAAAAGTGTGGTGCCTCTGTCAAAGATTTACTTATATATTACCAATGGATTAATAGAAATATATTGAATGTTGATTAATTTGTTTCTTCTAGTTCTTTAATTCTAATATTAAGTTTATTTGAAGCTACAACCCATAAGTGTCCAGCTTTTCATTTCTTTCATAAATAAAGCTGGAAGTGATTATAAGTTCATATCCTCATTTGCTTCTGATTGATGCTTCCTTATAGGCTCTTTCTCCCCACCCCTCTGCTCCTCCCCAGTGTTACACAACACTACGGAGCCAGGAACACAATGTCAACTGTCAACGTCTTTCTAAAGGCAGTGGGTGATATTTACACACGTAAGCTGCTGGCACTAACAAGGTGACTGGAGTCAAATGTAAACCACGGGTTTATCATTCCCAGTCAAATATATTGTGCAATGGGGTAGCAATAGGCACTGTGTGAAAGGTTGCCTAACAAGCCGCCAGCCTTAGGATTAGTCAGCTCCTTGCTGTGAGATGTGTGTGAGCGAGATACTGGAGGTCTCTGGTGATAGAAAAGCACGCTGGCCAATGGCAAGAACCAAAAGGAGGGGAAACTCAATTTTTTGGCAAACAATTTGAATCTTAGCAAAAGACCTTTGTTCTCTGAGGTGCAGAGGCTGAGAGGTTACTGAGAAACATCCAAGAAAAGGACGTTCTCTGTGAAAACTTCCCCTCCTATACAAAACTTTATAAACTGGTACGATTTCTGGCCATTTAAATTTATAGTGAAATCAAAACATGTTTCTGGGGAAATCTTTTTTTTCTTTTCGTAATAAAAGTTGTAATTATTATTTTTTTAAGACAGAGCCTCGATCTGTCGCCCAGGCTGGAGTGCAGTGGCACTATCTCGGCTCACTGCCACCTCCACCTCCCAGGTTCAAGTGATTCTCCTGTCTCAGCCTTCTGAGTAGCTGGGATTACAGGTGTGCACCACCACGCCCAGCTAATTTTTTTTATTTTTAGTAGAGACGGGGTTTCACCATGTTGGCAGGCTGGTCTCGAACTCCTGACCTCAAGTGATCTACCCACCTTGACCTCCCAAAGTTCTGGGAATACAGGCGTGAGCAACCGTGTCTGGCCCAAAAATTTTAATTATTAAAAACAACATAAACAGACTATAGGAAATTAGAAAAACAAAGCAAGGAGAAAAACACTCATAATCCCTTTTGCTAAAACCCAACTATATCACAGTAGCATACATTCTTATTATCTGAACTGTTTTTCATGGTTGTAATCACATGGTTATTTTTGTCATGTGATCATTTTTGGTAACTTGTAAGATTATTTCTTTCTATAGGGTGCTACCTAACAATATTTTAAATAACTGAATAATATTCCATTCACCATATGGTTGAACTAACATTCACTTTATTCCAACAAATAGGCTATTTCCATTTTATGTTTTTATTATAAATAACACTGACATAAACATAACTTGAAATACAGCTTTTCTTACGAAAAATTGTTTTAATTTAAGGTGATTTATATTAAGTATAAAGCTTGCATAAAGCATATAAGAAAAGCTTAAAGAAAAATAATAAAATGGTGAAACCTCATCTCTACTATAAATACAAAAATTAGCCAGGCATTGTGGCACACACTTGTAGTCCCAGCTACTCGGAAGGCTGAAGCACGACAATGGCTTGAACCTGGGAGGCGGAGGTTGCAGTGAGCTGAGATTGCACCACTGCACTCCAGCCTGGGCAACGGAGTGAGTCTCCATCTCAAAAAAAAAAAAAAAAAAAAAAAAAAGAAAGAAAGAAGAAAGAAAGAAAAATAATAAAATGGTCCAGGTGCAGTGGCTAATGCCTGTAATCCCAGCACTTTGGGAGGCTGAGACAGGATTGCTGGAGCCCAGGAGTTCCAAGACCAGCCTGGGCAAAATAGTGAGACCTCATCTCTACAAAAAATTTTAAAAATTAGCTGAGCATGGTGGCATGCGCCTGTAGTCCCAGCTACTCAGGAGGCTGACGTAGGAGTATTACTTGAGCCTGGGAATTTGAGGCTGCAGTGAGCTGTGATCAATGCCACTGCACTCCAGCAGTGACTGTACTGCACTCTTGGGTGACAGAGCAAGACTGTCTCAAAAAAATAATAATAATAACAAGAAGAAAAAATAAGAAATAGGTAAATAAAATGAACAGCTGAGTACCCACTTCCAACTTGAAATATAACATATTGCTTGTAATTTAGAAGTCCCCTCTGTGCTTCTCTTTGGTTGCAGCCAGCTCTCTTCCCTCACAGGAATAATCACTAGCCTAAATATTTTGTTTATTGCATTTTTTCATGTTTTAAATTTTTTCTAAGGATAGATTCTTCCTAGGAAAAAAAACATTTTAATTTTGAGACAAGGTCTCACTTTGTCACCCAGGCTGGAGTGCAGTGGTGCGATCATGTCTCACAGCAGCCTCCCAGGTACAAGCGATCCTCCTACCTCAGCCTCGTAAGTAGCTGGGACTATAGGCATGAACCACTATGCCTGGATAATTTTTTTATTTTTTTGTAGAAATGGAGTCTTGCTATGTCGCCCAGGCTGGTCTTGAGATCCTGGGCTCAAGCAGTCCTCCCACCTCGGCCTCCCAAAGTGGCCAGGGGCCACTACACCTGGCCCTTTCTGGGAAAATTTAATAATTAAGGTGAGTTGCGGTGTTATCAAGGCTAGTTTCTGATGTTCAGCTTATGTTTCTACTCCAGAAATTATCAGGCTTGACACACCCAACTGGGCAGGGCTGGCCCACAGACCAGAGAAACATTTGCTTAGTGAGGAGTTATACTCTGATGGCTTTCTGCAGCATGATGGTATTAGGGGTTAGGCAAGAGAATCTTTACCCTGAAGAGGGATGACTCTGGTTTACCTATGTAAGGGTTACCCTCCCACTTCATAGTCCTCCCTCCTTCTCCCCAGTTATTTGGTTTTTGGTTTGTTGTTTGTGTGTTATTGTTGTTTTAATCACTCGTTCATTTAAAAATGGGCAATTGGCCGGGTGTGGTGGATCATGCCTATAATCCCAGCACTTTGGGAGGCCAAGGCGGGTGGATCACCTGAGGTCAGGAGTTCGAGACCAGCCTGACTAATATGATGAAACCCCATCTCTACTAAAAATACAAAAATTAGCCGGGCCTGGTGGCATGCATCTGTAATACCAGCTACTCTGGAGGCAGAGACAAGAGAATCGCTTGAACTGGGTAGGCGGAGGTTGCAGTGAGCTGAGATTGTGCCACTGCACTCCAGCCTGGGCGACAGAATGAGATTCTGTCTCAAAAAAAAAAAAAAAAAAATATATATATATATATATATATATATAATAAAAATAAAAATGGGCAATTCTCTTTACTGAGCATATTGATGTCTGTCTCTGGAACAAATGTCAACATAATCATTTTCATCTTTACCTAACCCCAAAGAATCAGATTGACCAGATTTATTTGTTTAGTTTTGAAAATGGAGAAACTAAAACAGTTTAAAAATAATTGGCCAATAATAGAACCAATAAGGATGGTCGGCTTCCAAGTACTAGTAAAACCACCTCACTAGGGTGTCTGACCAGATTGACCAGATTTATTTGTTTAGTTTTGAAAATGGAGAAACTAAAACAGTTTAAAAATAATTGGCCAATAAGAGAACCAATAAGGATGGTCGGCTTCCAAGTACTAGTAAAACCACCTCACTAGGGTTTCTGACCACCTGCATCAGAATCAGTTCTGATGTTTCCAAAACTCAGAGATTCCTGGACCCCACTTGAGATCTACTGAATCAGATCCTCTGGATGTGAGGTCCAGGAATCTGCAGTTTAATAAGAAGCCCAGATAACTCCTCAGTATCCTAAACTTGGGAAGCATTATGGTAAAGCAGGAACAGCAACCTAAGAGAAATGATACAGCAAATATTCCTGTATTCTTTAGTGTGTTTATATTTAGGTAGCTTTGAAGTGTGGGGCAGACATCCACTTACTGATCCTGTGTATGGGACCCACTGTGATGTGTATTGCTGGAAGACAATAGAAAGACCAAGTTCTTTACTTCACTACTACTTTAAAATGGTAATACTTGAGGAAGAAGTCACACTTAAAGTGGGGTCTAGGGACCACCTCAATTATCTGTATTAAACTAGCAGTAAATTTTCACTGATTATTGACTAAAAGCAAAAATTAGATATGTAACGGGTGCAGGTGAAGGCAAAATGCCTTCAGCACACTGGGGTTCGGTTATGGTTTGTGCCAAGTGTAGACTGTTTTCTTCTCAGTTTTGAGTAGTGCCCTTGTCTGTGACCTTCATACTCAAAATTGTTTTGCGTGCAACTATTGGCCTGCATAGCACAGACTTTACAATAATTATCTTTGAAGCAGCAATCTCACCAAGCCTAGAGCTGTTCATAAAGAATAAAAGTAGGGGGAAATGATTGGTTGAAAAGAAAAGCTGAAAGATGAGGATTGGAGAAACAATAAAAAGGTAGAAATAGAAAGCCAAGTGGAGTCACGAAAGATATAGCCCAAGTAGTCTGGGAGATACTGCCCTTATTCAAATTCACCCTCGATTAATATCACTTGGGAGATTGCTAAGCAAAACCACCCTTCTGAAAAATGAACCTGAGACCCTGATTGATGCTAGCCTGCTGTCTGGAAGAGTGAAGGAATTCCCTCTAGGTGAAATCAATTGCTCAATGAAAACAATCGTTACTAAAATAGTATTGCTGGCAGGGCACAGTGGCTCACTCCTGAAATTCCAACCCTTTGGGAGGCCGAGATGGGTGGATCACCTGACATCGTCAGGAGTTCGAGACCAGCCTGACCAACATGGTGAAACCCCATCTGTACTAAAAATACAAACAATTAGCTGGACATAATGGCAGGCCCCTGTAATCCCAGCTACTTGGGAGGCTGAGGCAGAGGAATCGCTTGAACCCGGGAGGCAGAGGTTGCAGTGAGCCGAGATAGCACCACTACACTCCAGCCTGAGTGATAGGGCAAGACTCCCTCTCAAAAAACAAACAAAAAAAAAGTATTGCTGAAGCTACATGATATTTGACAGAGTTTTTCTGGCTTCTTTCATCTCCTTTTTCTACCCAGCTATCAGAAATGTGCAATGTTTAAGAACCAAGCAGTGATAATTAGAAATATTATACATTTCAATAATTAATGTTTATATTCTCTCACAATTTGAACATGATATTTAACCCAGAGAAAACGAAGTGAAGATGAGCTAATTGGCAAAATGTCAAAATAGTTGCAAATACAATTGAACTAGGATTGCAAATACAATTGAATGTTCAATCGTTCAATGTAGCAATAAGAATAATAGTGAGGGCCAGGCATGGTGGCTCATGCCTGTAATCCCAACACTTTGGGAGGCTGAGGTGGGCGAATCACCTGAGGTTGGGAGTTCGAGACCAGCCTGACCAACATGGAGAAACACTGTCTCTACTAAAAATACAAAATTAGCCGGGTGTGGTGGTGCATGCCTGTAATCCCAGCTCCTCAGGAGGCTGAGGCAGGAGAATCGCTTGAACCCGGGAGGCAGAGGTTATGGCGAGCCGAGATCGCGCCACTGCACTCCAGCCTGGGTAACAAGAGTGAAATTCCGTCTCAAAAAAAAAAAAAAAGAATAATAGTAACAATATGAATAAGGAGAAAGAACCGTATAATAAACAATCTGTATCTTGGCATTTTATGGAGGCTGTGAAAATAACATTTTAAATCAAAATTGCATAGTCAAGATATATTTTTAGGCCGGGTACAGTGGCTCACATCTGTAATCCCAGCACTTTGGGAGGCTAAAGCGGAAGGATCCCTAGAGGCCAGGAGTTCAAGACCAGGACCAGCCCAGGCAACATGGGGAAACCCTGTCTTTACAAAAAAAAAAGAGAAAAAGTTAGCCAGGTTTGGTGGCACGCTTCTGTGGTCCCAGCTACTTGGGAGCCTGAGACAGGAGGATTGTTTGAGCCTGGGGGTCACAGCTGCTAGTGAGCCATAATGATGCCACTGCACTCCAGCCTAAGCGACAGAACAGGACAGATCCTGTCTCAAAAAAAAAAAAAAAGAAAAGAAAAAGAAAGAAAAAAGATAATTACGTCAGCATTGGATTACTACAATGAAATGGAAACTTTTGCATATTATTTATGGGAATGCACTCTTTGGTGAGCAATTTGTAACAAAATACTGACTAATATACATATCTTTGATTTAATCATCTCTCCACTGACATTTATTCTAATGAAAAATTGGGGACATGAACAAAGGTATACAGGAGTGCTCATGACAGCTTTTCATACAATACTGAAAAATTTAAATAACCAAAATTAAGACGATGATTAAATATAGTATGTATATTCATAGGCTAGTATACTGAATAACTGTCAAAAATCATGTTTTGCTTACAAAATGTTAAAAGTGGGAACACATCTCGGTGCATTGGCTCACGCCTGCAATCCCAGCACTTTGGGAGGCCAAGGTGGGAGGATTTCTTGAGGCCAGGAGTTTGAGACCAGCCTAGGCAACACTACAAAACCCCATCTCTACAAAAAATACAAAAATTAGCCGGGCATAGTGGCTCATGCCTGTAATTCCAGCTACCTGGAAGGCTGAGGTGGAAGGCTTTCTTGAACCCAGGGAGGCAGAGATTGCAGCATGCCACTGCACTCCAGCCTGGCGACAGAGGGAGACCCTGTCTCAAATAACAATAATAAATATAAATAAAAGTAGGAAAAGCACATTAAAATAGTAAGTAAATCTCAATTTTGAAAAGTATTTAGATATCCATAGAAAAAAATTTGGAAGACTATACACTAAAATGTTAACGTTTTCTTGAGGTGGTAAAATTATAGGTTATTTTTATTTTATGTTTTTCTAAATTTCCTACAACAAACACATATAACTTTTTTGTTTTTTTTCTTTTTTCTGAAACAGAGTCTCACCCTGTCGCCCAGGCTGGAGTGCAATGGCGCCATCTCGGCTCACTGCAACCCCCACCTCCCGGGTTCAAGCTGTTCTCCTGCCTCAGGCTCTTGAGTAGCTGGGATTACAGGCACCCACCACCACGATCTGCTAAGTTTTGTATCTTTAGTAGAGACAGGGTTTCACCATGTTGGCCAGGCTGGTCTCAAACGCCTGACCTCATGATCCACCCACCGTGGTCTCCCAAAGTGCTGGGATTACAGGCATGAGCCACCGCACCCGGCCAACACATATAACTTTTTAAATCATAAGCAAAACATTTTAAGTTAGGCCAGGCGAGGCGGCTCACACCTGTAATCCCAGCACTTTGGGAGGCTGAGGCGGGTGGATCACCTGAGGTCAGGAGTTCGAGACCAGCCTGGCCAGCATGGTGAAACCCTGTCTCTACTAAAAATACAAAAATTAGCTGGGAGTGATGGTGCACACCTGTAGTCCCAGCTACTCAGGAGGCTGAAGCAGGAGAATTGCTTGAACCCAGGAGGCTGAGGTTGCAGTGAGCCGAGCTCGCTCCATTGCATTCCAGCCTGGGGGACAAGAGTGAGACTTCGCCAGAAAGAAAGAGAGAGAGAGAGAGGAAAGAAAAAGGAAGGAAGGAAGGAATCAAAAGAAAGAAAGGAAAAGAAAGAAAGAAAAAGAAAAAGAAAGAAAGAAAGAAACTGGCTACTCCATAGGCAGAGCAGCCACAAGGGCTGCTGGTTGCCCATTTTTATGGTTATTTCTTGATGATATGATAAACAAGGGGTGGATTATTCATGCCTTCCCTTTTTAGACCTCCATACAGGGTAACTTCCTGATGTTGCCATGGCATTTGTAAACTGTCATGGAGCTGGTGGGAGTGTATCAGTGAGGATGACCAGAGATCACTCTTGTGGCCACCTGGATTATGGTGAGTTTTAGCTGGCTTCTTTACTGCAATCTGTTTCATCAGCAAGGTCTTTATGACCTGTATCTTGTGCCGACATCCTATCTCATCCAGTGACTTAGAATGCCTTAACCATCTGGGAATGCAGTCCAGTAGGTTGCAGCCTCATTTTACCCAGCTCCTATTCAATATGGAGTTGCTCTGGTTCAAACACCTCTGACAATGTGACCAGGATGCGTTAGACTTATTAAATAAAATTTATGGGAGGCCATTGACTTGGACTGAGCTCCTGCACTAGATCCAACAGAGAAAACCAAAATGGAGTTACTCGAACTAAAGTTCCACATCACCAAACTCAAATGATCTTGTTGATCTGACTTCCTTAGAAATCAAGAAGGAGAGAGAAAATAGCCAAATCCCCAAACAGGCCAGTTTCAGCCTGCATGGTTAGGAAGTCCCCTCTGCTTTAACCCCTACAAAGAAAGTAACCTGAAGTAAACCTCATGTTAACCAATCCACTTTTTATATTATACTGTTTCCTTGTTACTGTTCAAGGTACTTTATAAAAACCAACTATCCTAACATGCCCAGCATAGCACTCCTCTATTTTTAGATGAAATGTTGTCTAATTCATGAATAAAAGCCAGTTCGATAATTTTAAATTTTTTGAAATTTTGTCTTTTGACAGATTCAGTAATAAAGAAATAGAAGAAATGTAGGAGGGATTTTGGTGCCTTGATTTTCACTGTGATTAAATATATTATAATATATATTCATTGGATACATAGATGCCAGTCTATAACCAAGTTTTCTCTGGTCTCTAGGGAAAACGTCTGAGTAAGCTTCACAACTGTCATTTTTTTGGAATTACTATGTCTCTTATGAAATAATGGTGATAATAAGCGTTTGTATAATTTTTAAAGTTCTTATTTGTCAAAATTAAAAATTGGCAACCCTGTTTTCTCCTACCACTTCCAATTTTTCTTTTTTATTTTTTTAGACGGAATATTGCTCTGTCGCCCAGGCTGGAGTGTAATGGCACGATCTCGGCTCACTGCAACCTCCGCCTCCCAGGTTCAAACGATTCTCCTGCCTCAGCCTCCCGCGTAGCTGGGATTATAGGCATGTGCCACCGCGCCCGGCTAATTTTGTATTTTTAGTAGAGATGGGGTTTCACCGTGTTAGCCAGGCTTGTCTCGATCTCCTGACCTCGTGATCCGCCCACTTCGACCTCCCAAAGTGCAGGGATTACAGGCGTGAGCGACCTCACCTGCCCCAGATCAGTATTAAATAGTTAGTGTCTCATAAAAAATTCTTACATGTATGTTTATCATCATTTCTATTTGTCTATGTAGATTTCTATGTAGATTTCTAGCCCTGGCTTCAAGTACTGACCCTGCTACTTAAAATCTATATGATCTTTGGCAAATCAATTAATTTATCTGAGCCTATTTCCTTATCTATAAAGCAGGAGTAATTAGATTGGCGTAATCTATCTCACAGAGTAGTTGTAAATGTAAGATGAGAAAGTATAGATAGAAACTATCTGTAAATTGTAAAATGCAATATGAATGTGTTATTAAAAGTGTAGACAAAAAATATTAAATCATTGTTTCTAATCATTATACTTATTAAAATGCAAATGAAGTCTTAAACTATCTCTACCTCTTTGAGCTTCGTGGTTAAAATTAGGTAATAACTGGCCAGGCGCGTTGGCTCACGCCTGTAATCCCAGCACTTTGGGAGGCTGATGGGGGAGGATCACGAGGTCAGGAGTTTGAGACCAGCCTAACCAACATGATGAAACCCGGTCTGTACTAAAAATACAAAAAAATTAGCCAGGCGTGGTGGTGCACACCTATAATCCCAGCTACTCAAGAGGCTGAAGCAAGAATCGCTTGAACCCCGGAGGCAGAGGTTGCAGTGAGCCGAGATCGTGCCACTGCACTCCAGCCTGAGTGACAGAGTGAGACTCCATCTCAAAAAATAAATAAATAAATAAAAATAAATAGTTAATAACCTTCTGGGACTAATGACCACCTCAACTGATTTGGAAAATAATGTAGTCATCTTCAGAAAATCTTCTTTTAAAGTATTCTGCATCACACAGCACAGTTCAAGCAAATTGAGGAATTGCCCTTCTTAATACATCAAAATGGTAAGAAATCATCAATTCCAGATGATTCAATTAATACTAATGTTAGTGGCAGAGGATCCCTAGGGGGACTGCAGCAACCTCAGTCCTTGCCTACTTGGAAGGAAGAATTCGACCGAGGGGCATAAGGCAGAGGAAAAGACTGAGACAAGTTTCAGATCAGAAGTGAAAGTTTATGAAAAAGCATTAAGCAGAAAGGAAAGGAAGTAAAGTATACTTGAAAGAGGCCCAAGTGAGTGACTTGAGAGATTAAGTACCCTGTTTGACTTTTGACTCAGGGTCTTATACATTGGCATGCCTCTGGTTGCTTCTGGTCTCTTCTCCCTGATTCTTCCCGTGGGGTGGGCTGTCCACATGTGCAGTGGCCTGTCCGCACTTGGGAGGGGCCGCATGCGCAGTGTGTTACTGAAGTTGTGCACATGCTCATTTGAGGCGTTTTTCCCTTACCAGTAGAGTGTTTAAACTCTGCCATTTTGCCTCTTAGTGTGCATGCTTGAGCCCACTCTCCCGGCTCTTGAAATCTTATCAGGAGGCTGCTGATCACCAGTTTTAAGTTTTTTCTATTGGGAGACTGCCTTTCCTTGGTGCTGGCTGCAACCAATTATTGTTTTAGAGAGACAGTTTAACAACTGCCTGACCATAACCTGATGGTCACCTGGTGGGGGTTGGGGGGCCTCTCTCCTGCCCTGCTCATGTCTGACTAGCTACCTACTGTAACACCAATGCATCAATCTATACAGGTGTTGGGGCTCAGAAACCAAGGACCCCAAAACATGGCATTTTGACATGTTGAACTGAAGAAGCCTCAAGGTATCTCTGCCCTCCTCGCCCCTCCCCACCATCTCTCCCAAGGAAGTTGAAATTTCTTTATCTGCCTAAAATCCAGATGCACCAAAGCGAACAATTGTTTTTACTTCCTCTCCCTGTGAGACCAAGATTGTAACCATACCTGAGCAGACCCTTTTGCTGTCCAAGAGAACTGTTTACAAGTAAATCTCTATTCCCAGATCCATTGATTCTCCCTAGTAATCCCCTCAGTAGAATCCACTCCCCATCTCATAACCTGTTTGGCCAGGATCCAAGCCCCATTCTTCTTTTTTTTTTTTCTTTTTTTTGAGACGGAGTCTCACTCTGTCGCCCAGGCTGGAGTGCAGTGGCGCGATCTCAGCTCACTGAAACCTCCATCTCCCGGGTTCAAGTGATTCTCCTGCCTCAGCCTCCTGAGTAGCTGGGACTACAGGCGCCCGCCACCACGCCCAGATAATTTTTTATTTTTAGTAGAGACGGGGTTTCACCATGTTGACCAGGCTGGTCTTGAACTCCTGACCTCAGGTGATCCACCTGCCATGGCCTCCCAAAGTGTTGGGATTACAGATGTGGGCCACTGCACCCGGCCCAATCCCCCTTTCTTTTTGTAACCTTAAGATGGTATATAAGCTCCTCATCAAGGGGGTAGCATCTTCATTCTGAAAGCTTCCATGTATACACATTGATTACATTTGCATACCTTTTCTCCTATTAATCAGTCTGGCTTGTGTCAGTGATTTTTCAGTGAATCTTTAGGGGCCAAAACCTTTGTCTGCCACACAGGCAAAATCCAAAAAGGATTCACGACCCATTAGAAATCTCTGGGGCTTCTTGTCAAGATCTCAAGAGTCCCTCTATCTCTACGTGGCATTCAAATTTCTAGGAGCTAGGTGAGTGTTGCCTTTCTTATCCTACAAATTAAAGAACTAAGATACAGATTTGCATTTCTAGCATATAGTCAAGGCAGCACAGGACTCATTTTGATTATATCTAGGACCTGTTCAGGGCCTCCTCACATAAATGGTTGGGCAGTAGAAGTTTGTGTTCTGCTGGTTCCTCAAACTTATTATCATATTTCCAACTAGTTCTTTCTCCAGACCTTTCTCAAACCAAGACTCTAAACCTGAAACTCAGCTCCCTCTTCTTTTCCACTTTCCATCTTTATTTAATCCATTCCACCTCCCCAGTGTCTCTCCCATTCATTTGTTCTCTCATTTCCTAGTTCAGATCCTTTCAAGTCAACTTGAACAATTGCAAACTTCAAACTGGTCTTCCTGTCTCCAGGCTTGATTTAGCTTTCTACTTACCAGCTGAAGAATGATGAGGTTCATATATTTGGAAAGCAGAGCTTTATCTCTTCTAAAGGGTTTCAGCCTGCAGTGTGGTCATTTTGACAGGCTGGGAAGTGTAGCCTCTGGCCAAAGGCCAGAAACAGGCACTTCAAGGGAGGGGCAGAGGGAACAGAAATTTATACTTAGCAGGGTGGCCAAATATACATGTTCAATAAGCTACAAGAAGAGTCACGAATATTTATGAAAGGAGAAACATGTGCATATGCAACTGGGCCTCATGTACAAAAAAGGGCAGCATAACTTGAGGGTGGAGTTTTCATCCCTCTGACCTCAAAAGGTGAGGCAGAGGACAGGAAGAACCCTCTCTGTGCATCCTCTGTAGAGTGGTCAGAACCACTGCATGGTCTGGTCTCTTTTCAGGAAAGAATGCTGGTCTAATGTGTGTTGTGTCAAACCCCAAAAACGAGGGACAGCAATCATGTGGTTGATTGAGATCAGGAGTGGAGTCTTTTGAAAGGGCTAATTTCTATTTAGCCCTTAGGAGAGAAAGCCTAATGGTAATTAGCAAGTTGGGGGGCTGGGGCGCAGTTATAACCAGGCAGGTCCTACTGCTATAGGACAGGGATCCGGATCCAGATCCCAAGAGAGGGTTCTTGGATCTCGTACAGGAAAGAATTCAGAGCGAGTCTGCTGTGCAAAGTGAAAGCAAGTTTAATAAGAAAGTAAAGGAATAAAAGAATGTCTACTCCATATATGGGCAGAGAAGCCCCAAGGTCTGCTGGTTGCCCTTTTTTATGGTTATTTATTGATGATATGCTAAACAAGGGGTGGATTATTTATGCATCCCCTTTTTAGACCATATAGGGTAACTTCCTGGCGTTGCTATGGCATTTGTAAACTGTCATGGAGCTGGTGGGAGTGTAGCAGTGAGGACGACCAGAGGTCACTGTCGTGGTCATTTTGGTTTTGGTGGGTTTGGGCTGGCTCCTTTACTGCAACATGTTTTATCAGCAAGGTCTTTATGATCTGTAGTTTGTGCTGACCTCATATCTCATCCTGTGACTTAGAATGCCTTAGCCATCTGGGAATGCAGCCCAGTAGGTTTCAGCCTCATTTTACCCAGCCCCTATTTAAGATGGAGTTGCTCTGGTTCACAGGCCTCTGACACTACCTCCCATCTGTTTTGGCCGGAACCCACTTCCAAGGTTTCTCTGAGGTCCCCTTGTCCAAGACGAAGTCCGTTCAGTCAGTTGGGGGCTTAAAATTTTATTTTATTTTTCAACTTTATTTTAATTTATTAATTTATTTTTGAGACAGTCTCGCTTTGTTGCCCAGGCTGGAGTGCAGTGTTACAATCTTGGCTCACTGCAAACTCTGCCTCCCAGGTTCAAGTGATTCTCCTGCCTCAGCCGCCCCAGTAGCTGGGATCACAGGCATGCACCATACCCGGCTAATTTTATTTTGTATTTTTAGCAGAGATGGGGTTTCACCGTGTTGGCCAGGCTGGTCTTGAACTCCTAACCTGAGGTGATCCACCTGCCTGGCCTCCCAAAGTGTTGGGTTACAAGCATGAGCCACTGTGCCCGGCCCTCAACTTTATTTTAGATTCAGGGGGTACATGTGCAGGCTTGTTACCTGGGCATATAGCGTGATGCTGAGGTTTGGGGTACAAATGAACCACCCATGTCTGAGCATAGCATCCAATAGTTTTTCAACCCTTGCCCTCCTTCTACCTTCCCCCTCTGGTAGTCCCCACTTTCTATTGTTGCCATTTTTATATCCCTGAGTACCCAATGTTTAGCTCCCACTTATAAGTGAGAACATGCAGTATTTGGTTTTCTGTTCCTGCATTAATCCACTTAGGATAATTTTTTTTTATATATATATATACGGGGTCTCACTTTGTTACCCAGGCTGCAGTGCAGTGGCATGATCTTGGCTGACTGCAACCTCTACCTCCTGGGTTCAAGCAATTCTCCTGCCTCAGCTTCCTGAGTAGCTGGGATCACAAGCACATGCCACCACGCCCGACTAATTTTTTATATCTTTAGTAGATACCGGGTTTCACCATGTTGGCCAGCTTAGTGTCGAACTCCTGACTTCAGGTGATCTGCCTGCCTCGGCCTCCCAAAGTGCTGAGATTACACACGTAAGTCACTGTGCCTGGACTTTTTTTTCCTTCTTTTTGAGATGGGAGTTTCACTCTTGTTGCCTAGGCTGGAGTGCAATAGCACTGTTATAAACAAAGTTTCAGTGCTGCAAAAGAAACAGCACTCGAATATAAAATTTTCTTTTTAATTCTCAGCAAGGCAAGGTACTTCTATAGAAGGGTGCGTCCTTAGAGATGGAACAATGGTGAGCGCACACCAAGACAAGGAAGAAGGGGTTCTTATCCCTGACACACGTGGCCCCTTGCTGCTGTGTCATTCCCCTGTTGGCTAGGGTTAGACCTCACAGGCTAAACTAATTGCAATTGGCTAATTTAAAGAGAGTGACGGGGTGAGTGGTTTGGCAGGAAAAAATGGTGATTCAGCGTGGAGAATGAGTCGGGGCGGAGCAGGTAGCAGGTAATCGGAATGAGTCAGGGTGGAGGTGATTGAAATGAATCAGGTTGGAGCAGGTGATTGAAATGAGTCAGGGTGGAGCAGGTAATGGAAAAAGGCTGCTTTATGAGGAAGTGAGGTTTAAAAGCAGAAGGCAAAGAATTGAACATACTGACATATTGATTCTTTGAAAAGAAATTTAGAACTCATATCTAACAGCGCGATCCCGGCCCACTGCAACCTCTGCCTCCCAGGTTCAAGCGATTCTCCTGCCTCAGCCTTCTGAGTAGCTGGGATTACAGGTGCCTACCACGATGCCCAGCTAATTTTTGTATGTTTAGTGGAGAGGGGGTTTCACCGTGTTGGCCATGCTTGTCTCAAACTCTTGGCATCAGGTGATCTACCCACCTCGGCCTCCCATAGTGCTGGGATTACTGGCATGAACCACCACGCCTGTCAAGGACAAATTTTTATTTTTATTTCTCAGTAGGAAACATGAAAGGTTGTTCATTGAACCCTTTCCTTGTCCTGTTATTGTAGTAATGGAGAAACTTTTCCTTTACCCTCTTAAATTCAGTATCTGAGACCTGTGAATTAAACTGACAAAAGACAAATTAGCAAGAAAAAGGCAAGATTTTATTGGCTGGTTCGAATGCAGTGGTGTTTACAACAATGGATAACAACCAGTTACAGATATTTTTGTTCCTTCTCCACTCCCACTGCTTCGCTTGACTAGCCTTTTAAAGAAAACAAAACAAAGAGTTTATTTACATGCATACACATGGGAGTGCTCAGTGGTAACTCAAAAGAATAGTTAGAATTTGGGGCTTATACACCTAACTTAATAGGGGAAAGGTAACAAGGAGAAAAGACTCGTATAGGAAGAAAAAATAAGTCTTCCTGGGCGCAGTGGCTCACGCCTGTAATCCTAACACTCTTGGAGGCTGAGGTGGGAGGATCACTTGAGCCCAGGAGTTAGAGACCAGCCTGGGCAACATGGTGAGACCCCATCTCTACAAAAAATTTAAAAATGAGCTGGGTATGGACCGGGCGTGGTGACTTATGCCTGTAATCCCAGCAGTTTGGGAGGCTGAGGTGGGTGGATCACCTGAGGTCAGGAGTTCGAGATCAGCCTGGCCAACCTGGTGAATACCTGTCTCTACTAAAAATACAAAAATTAACCAGGTGTGGTGGCACACACCTGTAGTCCCAGCTACTCAGGAGGCTGAGGCAGGAGAATCACTTGAACCTGGGAGGCAGAGGATGCAGTGAGCAGAGACTGCGCCATTGCACTCCAGCCTGGGTGACAGAGTGAGACTCCGTCTCAAAACAAACAAACAAACAAACAAAAAATTAGCTGGGCTTCATGGCAGGCACCTGTAATCCCAGCTACTCGGGAGGCTGAGGCAGGAGAATCGCTTGAACCTGGGAGGTGGAGTTTGCAGTGAGGTGAGATCGTGCCATTGCACTCCAGCCTGGGCGACAGAGCGAGACTCTATCTCAAAAAAAAAAACAGCTGGGTATGGTGGTGTGTGCCTGTAGCCCCAGCTACTCAGGAAGCTGAGGTGGAGGATCACTTGATCCTGGGAGGTTGAGGCTGCAGTGAGCTATGATTGCACTATTGCCCTCCAGCCTGAGCAATAGAACAAGACCTTGTCTCTAAAAATAGATAGATAAATTTAAGTGGTATTCCTTGAAAAAAAGCAGCTAGTTCAGCTCACAATTCAGTAGCTCAACTGCTTTGTACTGCATTTCCCATTTCACCACACAGAGTACTTAAAAGATGTGTACACAGGGATCACGATTTATTAAAACAGGCCAGGTGCAGTGGCTTATACCTGTAATCCCAGCACTTTGGGAGGCCGAGGCGGGCAGATCACCTGAGGTTAGGAGTTCAAGACCAGCCTGGCCAACATAGTGAAACCGTGTCTCTACAGAAAATACAAAAATTAGCCAAGTGTGGTGGTGGGCGCCTGTAATCCCAGCTACTTGGGAGACTGAGGCAGGAGAATTGCGTGAACCTGGGAGGCAGAGGTTACCGTGAGCTGAGATGGCGCCACTGCACTCCAGCCTGGGCAACAAAGCAAGACTCTGTCTCAAAAATAAACAAACAAATAAACAAAATTAAAGATTTATTAAAACATACTTTTTACTGCTTCATGAAGGGCAATTTTTTTTTTTTTTTGGAGACAGGGTCTCACTCTGTCACCCAGTCTGGAGTGAGGTGGCACGATCATGGCTCTTTCATGTGCGTCCGTGTGAAGAGACCACCAAACAGGCTTTGTGTGAGCAACATGGCTGTTTATTTCACCTGGGTGCAGGCAGGCTGAGTCCGAAAAGACAGTCAGCGAAGGGAGATAGGGGTGGGGCCATTTTATAGGATTTGGGAAGGTAATGGAAAATTACAGTCAAAGGGGGTTGTTCTCTGGTGGGCAGGGGTGGATCTCACAAAGTACATTCTCAAGGGTGGGGAGAATTACAAAGAACCTTCTTAAGGGTGGGGGAGACTACAAAGTACCTTAAGGGTGGGGGATATTACAAAGTACATTGATCAGTTAGGGTGGGGCAGGAACAAATCACAATGGTGGAATGTCATCAGTTAAGGCTGTTTTTACTTCTTTTATGGATCTTCAGTTACTTCAGGCCATCTGGATGTATACGTGCAAGTCACAGGGGATGCGATGGCCTGGCCTGGGCTCAGAGGCCTGACATTCCTGCCTTCTTATATTAATAAGACAAATAAAACAAAATAGTGTTGAAGTGTTGGAGCGGCGAAAATTTTTGGGGGGTGGTATGGAGAGAGAATGGGCGATGTTTCTCAGGGCTGCTTCAAGTGGGATTGGGGCGGCGTGGGAACATAAAGTGGGAGAGATTAAGCTGAAGGGAAGTCTTGTGGTAAGGGATGATATTGTGGGGATGTTAGAAGAAACATTTGTCATATAGAATGATTGGTGATGGCCTGGATACAGTTTTGGATGAACTGAGAAGCTAAATGGAAGATACAAGGTCTGAATAAAAGGAGGAGAAAAATGGGTATTAAAGGACTAAGAATTGGGAGGACCCAGGACATCCAATTAGAGAGTGCCCAAGGGGGTTCAGCGTAATTACTTGCTTGGTTGGCAAGTTTTTGGGCTCTATCCTTGAGTTTTTTTATGTTGTCATACACCAGGCCAGACTGATTTAGGTAAAAACAACACTCCTCATTTAAGAATATGCAGAGTCCTCCTTTTTCAGCAGTAAGTAAGTCAAGGCCTCGGCGGTTTTGGAGGACAACTGCAGCTAAAGAGTCAACTTGGGCCTGGAGGACTGATAAAGTTTGTGATTTTGAGGGCCTCTAAAAGTATTAAAGCAGCAGCAGCTGCTGCACGCAGACATGAGGGCTAGGCTAAAACAGTAAGGTCAAGTTGTTTGGACAGAAAGGCTACAGGGTGTGGTCCTGGCTCTTGTGTAAGAATTCCGACCACGCTAACCATGCCTAGGAAGGAAAAGAGTTGTTGTTTTGTAGAAGGTGCTGGGGTTTGAGAGATCAGTCGGACACGATTGGCAGGGAAAGCACGTGTGCTTTTACGAGAATTACGCCGAGATAGGTAACAGATGAGGAAGAAATCTGGGCTTGACTGAAGTAATGGGGGCTGTCTGTGAAGCTTTGCAGCAGTACAGCCCAGGTAATTTGCTGAGCCTAATGGGGTGTCAGGGTCAGTCTAAGTGAAAGCAAAGAGAGGCTGGGACGAGGGGTGCAGGGGAATAGTGAAAAAAGCATCTTTAAGATGGAGAACAGAATAGTGAGTTGTGGAGGAACGTATTGAGGACAAAAGAGTGTACGGGTTGGGCACCACAGGGTGGATAGGCAAAACAATTTGGTTGATAAGACGCAGATCCTGAACTAATCTGTAAGACTTATCCGGTTTTTGGACAGGTAAAATGGGGGAATTGTAAGAGTTTATAGGTTTTAGAAGCCCATGCTGTAGCAGGCGAGTGATAACAGGCTTTAATCCTTTTAAAGCATGCTGTGGGATGGGATATTGGCGTTGAGCGGGGTAAGGGTGATGGAAGGAGTAGAGATGTCCCATACTTGTGGGTTAAGGTGGGGGGATATAAGAGGAAGACGCGAAGGAGGCTTTGAGTTGGGGAGAAGGTCGGCAATGAGATGCGGCTGTAGTCCAGGAATAGTCAGGGAAGCAGATAATTTGGTTAAAATATCTCGGCCTAATAAGGGAACTGGGCAGGTGGGAATAACTAAAAAAGAGTGCATAAAGGAGTGTTGTCCAAGTTGGCACCAGAGTGGGGGAGTTTTAAGAGGTTTAGAAGCCTGGCTGTCAATACCCACAGTTATGGAGGCAAGGGAAACAGGCCCTTGAAAAGAAGGTAATGTGGAGCGGGTAGCCTCCGTATTGATTAAGAAGGGGACGGGCTTACCTTCCACTGTGAGAGTTACCGGAAGCTCGGCGTCCGTGATGGTCTACGGGGCTTCCGAGGCGATCGGGCAGCATCAGTCTTCAGCCGCTAAGCCGAGAAGGAGTCAGTCAGAGAGCCTTGGGCCAGAGTTCCAGGGACTCTGGGAGTGGCTGCCAGGTGAGTTGAACAGTCCAATTTCCAGTGGGGTCCCGCACAGATGGGACACGGCTTAGGAGGAATCCTGGGCTGCATGCATTCCTTGGCCTGGTGGTCAGATTTCTGGCACTTGTAGCAAGCTCCTGGGGAAGGAGGTTCTGGAGGAACGCCTGGCCGCTGTGGTTCAGGCGTTTGGAAGTTCTTGTGTGCTGGAGATGTGGCTGGGGTTTGTCTCACAGTGGAGGCAAGGAATTGCAACTTTTTCTATTATTGTACACCTTGAAGGTGAAGTTAATTAAATTCTGTTGTGGGGTTTGAGGGCCGGAATTTAATTTTTGGAGATTTAATGTCGGGAGCAGATTGGGTAATAAAATGTATATTGAGAATAATATTGCCTTTTGACCTTTTAGGGTCTAGGGCTGTGAAGCATCTCAGGGTTATATTTGATGAAAAAGAGCCTAAACGCTATCTGATTTGGGATAAAGAAAAAGGAGCATTAACCTTGACTATGCCTTTGGCTCCAGCCACCTTTTTAAGAGTAAATTGCTGGGCAGGTGGGGGAGGGCTAGTCACGGAACGAAACTGTAAGCCCGACCAGGTGTGAGGAGGGGAGGCGATAAAAAGATTACAGGGTGCAGGAGCAGAGGCTGAGGAAGAATTGGGACCTAGCTTGGGCTGGCGAGGAGGGGAGAGGTCAGATGGGTCTGTAGAAAAGGAAGATCAGAAAGACTCAGCGACACTTGGGGTTGGGACTGAGGGGACAGGCGGGAGGGAAAGAAGAAAGATTTGGGACGAGTTGCACTGGGCACAGAGACTAGGAAGGGACTGATGTGTAAAGGAATGCCTGGACTTCAGGTACCTCAGACCATTTGCCCATTTTACGACAAGAATTATTTAGATCTTGTAGGATGGAAAAATTGAAAGTGCCGTTTTCCGGCTATTTGGAACTACTGTCGAGCTTGTATTGGAGTCAAGCGGCATTGCAGAAGAAAGTAAGGCATTTAGGTTTTAGGTCAGGTGTGAGTTGAAGAGGTTTTAAGTTTTTGAGAACACAGGCTAAGGGAGAAGAAGGAGGAATGGAAGGTGGAAGCTTACCCATAGTGAAGGAGGCAAGCCCAGAGAAAAGAGTAGCAACACAGAGAAGGGGTGGGGGGTTCTTGCCCTCCAGAAAAGCAGAGAAGGGGTTGGGGCATGGAAATAAGAGGTCAGGGTGCGGAAATAAGGGATTGGGGCACAGAGATAAGAGGTTGGGGTGTGGAAATAAGTGATTGGGGGGTTCTTGCCCCCTAGGAAAGCGGGACTTGCTGCTAAGGATGAAGGAGAAGGGGTTGAGGGGTACTTGCCCCTGCCCCAGGAAAGCAGGACTTGCCGCTGAGGGTGAAGGGGAAGGGGTACTTGCCCCTGCCCCAGGAAAGCAGGACTTGCCGCTGAGGGTGAAGGGGAAGGGGTTGAGGGGTACTTGCCCCTGCCCCAGGAAAGCAGGACTTGCCGCTGAGGGTGAAGGGGAAGGGGTTGAGGGGTACTTGCCCCTGCCCCAGGAAAGTGGGACTTGCCGCTAAGGGTGAAGGACCAAGGCAGGCGTCCCTGCGTGGTCTGACACCCTTGAAACGTGAGTGTATAATCAGAGAGGCATCCCTGCAATGATTAAACACCAAGGGAAGGCTGCCTTCCCAGTCCGTGACCGGCGCCAGAGTTTTGGGTTCACGGATAAAACATGTCTCTTTTGTCTCTACCAGAAAATGAAAGGAATTGAAATTAAGAGAAGGGAGAGATTGAAGTGTGGCTCCAAGATTGAAAGGAGAAAGAGGTTGAGGGATAGTGAGGGAGGTTGGAGAAGAGTAGAGGCCGCTTACCGGATTTGAAATTGGTGAGATGTTTCTTGGGCTGGTCGGTCTGAGGACCTGAGGTCGTAGGTGGATCTTTCTCATGGAGCAAAGAGCAGGAGGACGGGGGATTGATCTCCCAAGGGAGGTCCCCCGATCCGAGTCACGGCACCAAATTTCATGCGTGTCCCTGTGAAGAGACCACCAAACAGGCTTTGTGTGAGCAACATGGCTGTTTATTTCACCTGGGTGCAGGCAGGCTGAGTCCGAAAAGACAGTCAGCGAAGGGAGATAGGGGTGGGGCCATTTTATAGGATTTGGGAAGGTAATGGAAAATTACAGTCAAAGGGGGTTGTTCTCTGGTGGGCAGGGGTGGATCTCACAAAGTACATTCTCAAGGGTGGGGAGAATTACAAAGAACCTTCTTAAGGGTGGGGGAGACTACAAAGTACCTTAAGGGTGGGGGATATTACAAAGTACATTGATCAGTTAGGGTGGGGCAGGAACAAATCACAATGGTGGAATGTCATCAGTTAAGGCTGTTTTTACTTCTTTTGTGGATCTTCAGTTACTTCAGGCCGTCTGGATGTATACGTGCAAGTCACAGGGGGTGCGATGGCCTGGCCTGGGCTCAGAGGCCTGACAGGCTCACTGCAGCCTTGACCTCTGGGGCTCAAGTGATCCTCCCCCTCAGCCTCCTGAGTAGCTGGGACTACAGGTACATGCCACCATGCCTGGCTAATTTTTAAACTTTTTAGTAGAGACAAGGTCTTGCTATGTTGCCCAGGCTTGTCTAGAACTCCTGAGCTCAAGTGAGCCTCCCACCTCCACCTCCCAAAGTGTTAGGATTATAGGCGTGAGCCACTGTGCCTGAACCCATTCATTAACTTGATAAACATTTATATAGCATCTTCTTTGTACCTTGACAGTCCTACCATATTTCTCTTCCTTTCCCTAATGCCAGTGATTTTGTTCTGAGGCTTGAGGATGGAGTTAAGTACTGAAAAACAAACGCAAACTGCCATAAAGGTATAATAGTGCTTCAATCCCTGTAGTGTCCCCAGACTGGCAATTACTCAGGAGCTTAAGAGTAAGTCTCCCACACTCCGGTGTAAGTCATTTCTGGGACTGCTGAGCCATGTGCCGCCATGACAGTGCTTCTCCAGCTGAGGAGGTGATTTGACTGGGAGCCTGAGCTGGGCTCGTTGAAATGGCAGCAGGCCCAGGGTGTGGCAGTGGCTTTGGGTAAGGGTGAGGCTCATGCCTTGTTATGTCGATAGTGGCTGCTGCAGGAAATGGCAAAAGAATAGATACTTAAGGAAGAGATGCAGGAGAATTTATAACAACAGGAAGAAGAAGGAAAAGAGGAAAAGGAAGCGTATAGGAGGAAGAAATGAAGAATGGGAAGACAGGACTATGACAGCAACAGGAGATAGCCAGTAGAGACCAGGTTTCTCCATGTTGTTCAGGCTGGTCTTGAACTCCCAGCCTCAGGTGATCCTCCCCCCTCGGCCTCCCAAGGTGCTGGGATTACAGGCATGAGCCACCACTCCTGGCCACACACATTCTTTAGAGGGAAAATATATATATATTTTTCAAACTCACTGGTTTCCTGAACTGTCCTGTATTTGTCTGTTTCTTGTTACACTTATTTTTGGAATAGTATGTATAACAAGAGTGGTGAGAAAGTTGTTCTTTGGGAAAGAAAAAAAATTCTAAATTTCATAGTCAAAATCCAACAGATTTGGGGGATGTTGTGTCTAAAGCCAGTGGGGATGCCAGAGAGAGAGAAACCCTTTGGGGGCACTCCCTCCTTCTGACTTTTGAGTGTGTGCATAAGACTCAGCCCCTCACATATGCTTAAAAGAAAAGGATATCCTGACTTAAATAATAGAGGCAGCACTGTGAGACCTCCAGATGAGGGTCCCAGTTACTTTTCTTGTTACCCAAAATAACAACTCTGTTCAAAAATAAGATCCAGGTTAGGATTCTCTGGTATCCTCAAAAGATAGATTTAAAAAAGCCAGTCTGAGGCCGGGCATGGTGGCTCACGCCTGTAATCCCAGCACTTTGGGAGGCCGAGGCGGGTGGATCATGAGGTCAGGGGTTCGAGACCAGCCTGACCAACATGGTGAAACCCCATCTCTACTAAAAAAACAAAAATTAGCTGGGTGTGGTGGTGGGTGCCTGTGGTCCCAGCTACTCAGGAGGCTGAGGCAGGAGAATGGCTTGAACCCGGGAGGTGGAGGTTGCAGTGAGCCGAGATCCTGCCACTACACTCCAGCCTGGGCGACAGAGCGAGACTCCATCTCAAAAAAAAAAAAAAAAAAAAAAAAAAAGCCAGTCTGATGGGTGGACAGTGGCCTGGTGCCAACTTTGAGCTTGGTGCAGAGGGGCTTGGTTCATGACCACGGCTCAGTGGCTCCATGGACAGGTGTGTGGTTTTGTTACATCCTATTGGGTGGCTTTGCCCAGTAGCCTCCAGGATCCAAGGTAGGGGCAGATTTAGCTGTCTGTGCTGAGCTTTCCTCCCTCACCCAAACTTCTCTGAGTTATGAGTTTGTGCTCCTTGGCTTTCTGGATGCCAGTGCCTACTCTCTGCAAACATGAGCCTGGCTCTGAGCTTGTGTTCACTGGCAGCTGGAGGACAGAGCTTGAGCCTCTTCCCCTGATGGTGGCACTTAAATCAGTAGGGTTCCCAGGGCCCAGTGAACACACTTACATAATGCAAATAACTGTTATCATTATATAAATAACCAATGATGAAAACATAATTCTAGGACAGAAGAAATTGATGCCTTAGAAATAAGAAGATATATTTAAAAGGATTCAACAAAGTGGAAAAACTTCCCCAGTAGTCCCCAGTCCTTCTGATTCAGTCTCTCAGTGGTTAGCTGAAAGCAAATGGGGTAATTAGAAAATGCTAGAGCCGGCTGGGCACGGTGGCTCACACCTGTAATCCCAGCATTTTGGGAGGTGGATCACGAGGTCAGGAGTTTGAGACCAGCCTGGCCAAGATGGTGAAACCCCATCTCTACTAAAAATACAAACATTAGCCAGGTGCGGTGGCAGGCACCTGTAATCCCAGCTACTTGGGAGGCTGAGGCAGAAGAATTGCTCGAACCAGGGAGGTGGAGGTTGCAGTGAGCCAAGATTGCGCCACCGCAATCTAGCCTGGGCGACAGAGCAAGACTCCATCTCAAAAAAAGAAAAAAAAAAAGAAAAGAAGATGCTAGAGTCACCTAGGGACCTAACTGCCCTCTTTCCTGTAAGAAACAGAGACCCAGAAGGATCTTCTGACTTGATTATCCCAGGCCTTGAAAACATCTAAACTAAAGTACAGTGTTGGGTATGTATATGGTGGTTTATACAGCACCACAGACACATTCTCATTTCCAGACATGAGGATTACACTGATTTACTCAAATACAGAAGCTAGTAGAAAGGCTTAATGCGCTAATGCTTCTTGTTGGGGGTTCAGTAGCCTGAAAGACTAATCCGGATTCAAAAGTTGCCATCACAAGGCAGAGTTTTTTTTTTTTTTTTTTTTTTTTGAGGTGGAGTTTTGCTCCTGTTGCCCAAGCTGGAGTGCAATGGTGCGATCTCAGCTCACTGCAACCTCTGCCTCCCAGGTACAAGCGATTCTCCTGTCTCAGCCTCCCAAGTAGTTTGGATTACAGGCATGCACCACCATGCCTGGCTGATTGTTTTGTATTTAGTAGAGATGGGGTTTCACCATGTTAGTCAGGCTGGTCGCGAACTCCTGACCTCAGGTGATCCACGGGCCTCAGCCTTCCAACGTGCTGGGATTACAGGCGTGTACCACCACACCTGGCCTCAGTTTTATTAAATACATCCAGCTCTGGGATTCTTGATTTTCAATATTAGGAAGCCTGATTATGTTTCCAGACTGAACTAATGGATAATGTAGACTTTCAAGTACATGAAATTTTTTTTGTTAGTATTTTATTTTATTTTTCTGAGATAGGGTCTCACTCTATCACCCAAGCTGGAGTGCAGTGGCACGATCACAGCTCACTGCAGCCTTGACCTTTTGGGCTCAAGCCATCCTCCCTCCTCAGCCTCCCAATTAGCTGGGACCACAGGCACATGCCACCATGCCCAGCTAATTTTTTTATTTTTATTTTTAGTAGAGACGAGGTCTTACTGTGTCACCCAGGATGGTCTCGAGCTCCTGGGCTCAAGTGATCTGCCTGCCTTGGCTTCTCAAAGTGCTGGGATTACAGGCATGAGCCACCTCGCCCAGCCTAATTGGTATATTAAGTGATGACATTTCTGCTTATGTAAGGAAATTCAATAATAAGGTGATTTCTTGGTCCCTGTTCTTAACCACCATTAATAATTTCAGATATATTCTTCTAGAAAATTCCTATGTTTAGAAAAGCATATGCTTCAACATACAAATAAATATATATGTATAATCTGTTTTTAAAAATCATAAATAAGAGTATAATATGCATTCTATTCTGCAACTTTAAAAAATACAATTAAGACCAGGCGTGGTGGCTCTCGCCTGTAATCCACCAAGGCGGGTGGATCACTTGAGGTCAGGAGTTCGAGACCAGCCTGGCCAACATGTTGAAACCCCATCTCTACTAAAAATACAAAAATTAGCCGGGAGTAGGTTGCAGTAAGCTGAGATTGTGCCACTGCACTCCAGCCTGGACAACAGAGTAAGAATCCGTCTCAAAAAATAAAAAAAATGGGTCAGGCGCAGTGGCTCACTGCTGTAATCCCAGCACTTTGGGAGGCCGTGGTGGGTGGATCACTTGAGGTCAGGAGTTTGAGACTAGCCTGGCTAGCATGGCAAAGCCCCATCTCTACTAAAAATACAAACATTAGCCAGGCATGGTGGCTTGCACCTATAATCCCAGCTACTCGGGAAGCTGAGACAGGAGAATCATTTGAACTCAGAAGGCAGAGGTTGCAGTGAGCTGAGACTGAGCCACTGCACTCCAGCCTGGGATACAGAGCAAGACTCCATCTCAAAAATAAATAAATAAAATAAAACAAAAATACAATTAAGTGTATGTTGGGCATTTTCACATATCCGTACAATCAATCTGCTACCTTTTAAAAAGGAATTGCATATTATTCCAATGTTTGCATTACTCTTTTTTTTTTTTTTTTTTTTTGAGAAAAGAGTCTTGCTTTGTCACCCAGGCTGGGGTGTAGTAGCATGATCTGGGCTCACTGCAGCCTCCACCTCCTGGGCTCAAGCAATTAGCCCCCACCTTAGCCTCCCAAGTAATTGGGACCACAGGTGGGCACCACCACGCCCAGATGATTTTTGTATTTTTGGTAGAGATGAGGTCTTGCCCCATTGCCCAGGCTGGTCTCAAATTTGCAAGCTCAAGCGATCTGCCTGCCCCAGCTTCCCAAAGTGCTGGGATTACAGGCATGAGCCACTGTGCCTGGCCCTGGATTACTGATTTAACCAGAGCCATAACAGTGTATATTTAGCTTGCTTATAGGCCTTTTTTTTGGTATTACTTAATTGGCTTCCATTATGTTGTAGCAATTTACACTCTTACCAGTGGCATATATGAGTGCCAGTTTCTGAACACCTTCACTGTCGCTGAGGATTATCAAAACTTTTCTTTTTCTTTTTCTCTTTTTTTTTTTTTTGAAATGGAGTCTCACTCTGTCACCCAGGCTGGAGTACAGTGGTGTGATCTCAGCTCACTGCAACCTCTGCCTCCTGGGTTCAGACGATTCTCCTGCCTCAGCCTCCTGAGTAGCTGGGATTACAGGCACTTGCCACCATGCCCGGCTAATTTTTGTATTTTTAGTAGAGACGAGATTTCACCATATTGGTCAAGCTGGTCTCGAACTCCTGACCTTGTGATCTGCCTGCCTTGGCTTCCCAAAGTGCTGGGATTACAGGCGTGAGCCACCGCACCCGGCCTATCGAAACTTTTCTAAATAAATTTTGAAATTTATGTAAATTAATCCTTTGAGGTAGAAATGTATATATAGTGGACAGTGCATAAAGTGAGCACATTTACCTCAGCAAACAAACTGTAGATTCTCAGGTCAGTTTAAGAGTAAGGGTAGGGGCCAGGTTGGGTGCGGTGTTTCATGCATGTAATCAGAGCACTTTGGGAGGCCGAGGCTGGCGGATCACTTGAGGCCAGGAGTCTGAGAACAGCCAGGGTGACATAGCAAGACCTTGTCACAACAACAACAAAAAATTAAACTTAGCTGGGCATTGTGGTGCATGCCTGTAGTCCCAGCTACTTGGGAGGCTGAGCCAGGAGGATCTCCTTGCAAGGCTGCAGTGAGCCATTTTGTCACTGTGCTCCAGCCTGGGAGACAGAGTGAGACCCTGTCTCCAAAAAAGAAAAAAAAAGAGTAAAGGTACTAGGGAGTCATTTATTTGTGATTCTCTGCTTTACTTTTCTAAGATTTAGGGTTTGGAAAGCATTTTCTTAGACAGTCTTCCAAGTTGTGGTTGGGTTTTAAGTGGGTTCACAAGCTGGACCGCAATGCTGCACTATAGACTGTGTTAGGCATGTGCTTCCAGCTTCTGGTATATTAATACTTGCACTTAACATCCCCAAAGTATAAAGCTGTACTGATAGTTTGAGACTAATTATTGTGTGTAAGCATATTTTCTGGGAAAAGACATGGACACATCCAACTTGGGAGGCCAGAAACATGTGTTCTCTCTATTGCAGTGCTACAGGGTGCACCCACCATCTCAGCTCTCCAACCTTCCTCACGTTGGAGACCAGTCTTCTCCGAAGTCTTGGATCTTGGCAGGAGGTCACTCTACTTTACACATTGCCCTTGAATGAATAAAAGGCAAGCTTAGAAGCAGAGACTACTCAATGGGAGAAGGGGAAAGAGCAGTGGGAGAGAGGTGATAAAAATCCCCTTTGGCTGTGGAGGAAAGGCAGAAGGTTTCAGTTCTCTTATGGGAAGCAAAGAGAGGGTGGAGCCCCATGAACAGACTCAAAATGTGATCCTGGCAGGGCATACCAGACTTGTGAGATTGATCAGAAAAACTTCTAGCTTATGAGGTCTCCAGTGACTTCTCTCAGCCATCAACTGGAATGCCAAAGGCAAGGCATTTTTCCAGTTAATTGATACTTGACACAGTTTCACTCCGTCACCCAGGCTGGAGTGCAATGGCGTGATCTCAGCTCACCGCAACCTCTGTCTCATGGGTTCAAGCAATTCTTGTGCCTCAGCCTCCCAAGTAGCTGAGATTACAGGTACGCACCACCATGCCCAGTTAATTTTTGTATTTTCAGTAGAGACAGTGTTTCACCATGTTGGCCAGGCTGGTCTCAAACTCTTGACCTCAAGTTATCCGCCCATCTCCTTTTCCCAAAGTGCTGGGATTACAGGCGTGAGCCACTGTGCCCGGCTAAAGGAATTTAATTGAGCAACGAACACATTCCCTAATTGGGCAGCCCCCAGAATCACAGCAGATTCACAGAGACTCTGGCGCAGCCACGTGGTGGAAGAGGATTTATAGACCAAAAAAAGGGAAATGACTCCAGAAATTGGAAGTGAGGTACAGAATGGCTGGATTGGTTACAGCTTGGCGTTTGCCATATTTGAACACAATTTGAACACTCAGTAGTGTATGAATGGTAGAAGTACCGCCGCTGGGATTGGCCAAGACTTAGCTATTGTTACAGGTGCATACTCCTAAATTAGGTTTTCAATCTTGTCTAATTATTAAGCTAGGTTACAGTTCATCCACAAGGACTCAAATATAGAAGTACGAAGTCCTTTCCAGGGCATATTTAGTTTGCTTTAGCACAAGTAAACACAGTCCACTTCAGCATTCAGGATGCTTGGGTGCACAAAACGCAGCGTACACTCTCATCCCTATGTGTGCAACAGTATTTATTTCTGGCACTTAGAAACAGCATTCAATGAATCCAGAGACACTTCGTTCTTGTACAATGGTTATTGTTTTCTACAAATTTTTACCTTAAGACTTTCTGTTTTAATGTTTAACAGTATTAAAACAGTATTAACTGTTTTTCTGTGTGTTTGGTTTTTCATTAATTAACTTATTTATTTTATTTTTTGGCTAATTTTTAAATTTTTTGTAGAGAAGCCATAACTTATTTTAAAGGCTAGTCAAGTGAAGCAGTGGGAGTTGAGAAGGAACAAAGAAATCTGTAACTAGTTGTGATCAATTAGTTGTAAACACCACTGCACTCAGACCAGCCTATTAGCTGTTTTTAAAACTTGAAATCACAACTTTTGGGCCAGGCGTGGTGGCTCACACCTGTAATCCTAGCACTTTGGGAGGCTGAGGTGGGTGGACTGCTTGAGCTCTTGAGTTAGAGACCAGCCTGGGTAACATGGCGAAACCCTGTCTCTACAAAAAAATACAAAAATTAGCCAGAGGTGGTGGCACATGCTTGTGGTCCCAGCTACTACGGGAGACTGAGGTGGGAGGATGGCCTCAGCCTGGGAGGTGGAGGTTGCAGTGAGCTGAGATCATGCCACTTTACTCCAGCTTGGACAATAAAACCAGACCTTGTCTGGAAAAAATAAATAAATTAATAAAATAAAATAAAATCACAACTTTTTGTTGCAGGTTTTCAAAAAAATTAATGAATTAAAGCTAAGTATTAAAGAAATTCAGAGGCTGGGTGTGGTGGCTCAAGCCTGTAATCCCAGCACTTTGGGAGGCCGAGGTGGGCGGATTACCTGAGGTTGGGAGTTCAAGACCAGCCTGGCCAACATGGTGAAACCCCATTTCTATTTTTTCTTTTTTTTTTTTTTTTGAGATAGAGTCTTGCTCTGTCACCCAGGCTGGAGTAAAGTGGCGCAATCTTGGCTCACTGCAACCTCTGCCTCCTGGGTTCAAGAGATTCTCCTGTCTCAGCCTCCTGAGTAGCTGGGATTACAGGAATGTACCACCACACTCGGCTAATTTTTGTATTTTTAGTAGAGATGGGGTTTCACCTTGTTGGTCAGGCTGATCTCGAACTCCTGATCTCACGGTCTGCCTACCTCAGCCTCCCAAAGTGCTGGGATTACAGGCATAAGCCACCGCACCTGTCCGAAACCCCAACTCTACTAAAGAAAAATAGAAAAATTAGCCAGACATGGTGGCATGGGCCTGTAATCCCAGCTACTCAGGAGGCTGAGGCAGGAGAATCGCTTGAACCTGAGAGGCAAACGTTGCAGTGAGCTGAGATCGTGGCACTGCACTCCAGCCTGCGTGACAGAGTGAGACTCCGTCTCAAAAAAAAAAAAAAAAGCAAGAACTCTCAGCAAACTTAGAGTAGGATGGAGGTTCTTCAGTTTGCTAAAGATTTTATACCAACTTTGTAGACACATTCTTTTAAAGATTGGAAACATATCACTATAATTTAACAGTGCTATAATAAAGGAAAATGTTATCGTTATCAGATCCATATGTACTATAATACTGTATTTTGGATATTTGACCCTCCGTACCTCATGTGCAATTTGATCCCAGTGATAGTGGTGGGTGGGGCTTAGTGGGAGGTGTTTGGGTCATGGAGTGGATCCCTCATGAATGGCTTACTGCTGTCCTCATGGTAATGACTGAGTTCTCACTCTATTAGTTATTGCAAAAGCTCCCCCTTGACTTCTGCCTGAGGCCCTCACCAGAGGCAGATGCTGGCACCGTGCTTCTTGTACAGCCTACAGAACTGTGAACAAAATAAACCTCTTTTTAAAAATAAGTACCTAGCCTCAGATATTCCTTTATGGCAACACAGATTAGGACATATAAGTTCTTTGAAACTGGGCATAGTGGCTCACGCTTGCAATTCCAGCACTTTGGGAGGCCGAGGCCAGAGGATCACTTCAGCCCAGAAGATCAAGACCAGCCTGGACAATACAGTGAGACCTTGTCTCTACGAAAAATTAAAACATTAACCGAGCATGGTGGCACATGCCTATAGTCCCAGCTACTCAAGAGGATGAGGTGAGAGGATCGCTTGAGCCCAGGAGGTGGCAGTTGCAGTGAGCTGAGATTGCACCATTGCACTCCAGCCTGGGCAACAAAATGAGACCCTGTCTCCTTCCCATGTGACAGAAAAAAAAAAAAAAGGTCTTCAAAGATGATTGGTAAAGTGGTAAAAAGCATACAAAGGGAAACAATTATTGCGGGCTTTTGCCATTTTGTGTGTATGTGTGTGTGTGTGTGTGCGTGTGTGTGTGTGTGTGTGTGTGTATGTGTCAACTGGGTTTTTGTTTTGAAATTGGGTCTATTTCTGTCACCCCAGGCTGGAGTGCAGCGGCACAGTCATGGCTCACTGCAGTCTTTACCTCCCAAGCTCAAGTGATCCTCCCACCTCAGCCTCCCAAGTAGCTAGGACCACCACCACATCCAGCTAATAAAAAAATTTTTTTTTGTAGAGATGAGGTCTCACTATGTTGTTCAGTCTGGCCTCAAGTGATGTTCCTGCCTCAGCCTCCCAAAGTGCTGGGATTACAGGCATGAGCCACCATGCATGGCCTGTCATTTTTTTGGTTGTGTAATTTCCATTTCTTCTCCCTATAGAGGATAAACGTTTTATTGTTTATCATGTAGGTGAAATGCAATGCTATGCTGCCCACAATGGAAGCTTAAGTGGGGACATCTTTCCTCTTCTTGAACTGGCGCTCTAAGGTTTTTGGTGGCAACAGAAATTCCACATGACATGTCCTAGAATGTGTGGGTCCCATACACTCTGTGCAAATGCCATTTTTCTAGTCTGGATAGATCCCGACTTCCTTGCCCCTAGTCGGCATAACCTTGAATCTTATTTTTTTTTCTCTCTACAGAATGGTGCCTTAGATTTTCATTAGATTTAGAGTGGAACAAAGTAGGGGGTGCAAATTAATATCAGGATGAATAACTTAAGGAAACAAAAATTCCTGCTTTCAGAGAACTAGAATGAGATAGCAAACAGAACCCCTGAGGACCAGGATCGGTTTAAAATACCTAGCTTTACCATTAAAACACAACTCGAGCCCAGGAGGTTGAGACCAATTGGAACAACATAGTGAGATCCTGTATCTACAAAACACACAAGAAATTAGCCAGGCATGGGGGCTTGTGCCTGTAGTACCAGCTACTCAGGAAGCTGAGGCAGGAGGATCGCTTGAGCCCAGGAGTTCAAGCTGCAGTGAGCTATGATCACGCCACTGCACTCCAGCCTAGGCGCCAGAGCAAGCCCTGTCTCAAAAACAAAAACAAAAACAAAAAAACCCCCACACTAATTAACAACAAAAAAGTGGGGGTGGTGGGGAGATGAGAGGAAGAGTAAAATGAAACACAAAACACAAGACCATCCCTGACAAAAGCAAGCCTTTCACATGAACTCACTACATCTACAAACTCTCCATCTTGTCTTACAGGAAAAAACAGTGGGGAGGGGTTTGTTCAGGGTCAGAGCTGATGGTCCCCAGCACACAGTGGGTGCCCAGAGAATGGGTCTTGTGTGGGCAGCACTGCTGGCTGGCTCGCACAGGGCAAGCCCAACCAAGAGTTTGGTGATTCTGATTGACAGCTTTGATTGGATCTCTTTGGTGTCATCTGACCTTTAGTCAGAAACTGTCTCAGGAAGGATTTAAAGAAGTCAAAGTCTCCCCCCTGCCCCATGAATGAGGACTTAACAAATTCAAAGGCCAGGGGATAGGGCAGGTGGCTCAATCTTGCCTATTATGAGAATCTTGGCTGCCTGCCTGGGTGCACAAAGCAAACGACATTTTTAAATTTCTTCACAGTCCATTAGGTAACATGTAATACCCTTCAACTGAAAGAATTTCAAGTCACGTGCCTAGAGCCTTCTTATTTAGGGTGTCTCTCCCATGGTGACCATGCAGCACCAAAAATATCTTCTGTAGATATTCATGTGACTAGATCTTGGTTATATGTAAACAGGAATTTTCATTTGAGTCATAATTAGTCTCCAGATAATTAACTCATGAGCTTTTGGCTAAGTTTCCTTTGCTAATATTCTCAGGTTGTACTAAAGTTGAGCTAGCAGAAAAGGGTTAGGAGTAAATTCGGTTGGGGAAATTGTTAGTATTTGACACAATACTTCTTAAACCAGTTGAACTTGATTTGTGCTGTAGCCCTTGAATAACTGCTGTCTTCTTAATTTGCTGAATTGGAGAAGTTCCTTGATTTGTTCCTTAATTCCTTAAATAGCTTGTGTTCATCCAGCTCTTTCGACTCCGTCCATGAACACTCTATCTCCTCTCAACAATGATTTGGGCTGTGTTTTGGATCCAGCTGCTTAAGAAGGAATGACTGAGGAGAAGTCAATTGGGCCAAAATTATTCTAGGAGGTGAGATTGAAATGAGTTGACTTAAGCATAAAGCCAAAATGAAACCAGTCACACAGAAAATGTACAAGGTGATTATGAAGTTTGCCTCTAAATTAAACAGAAATCTGTGACAAACTGCATCTCTTGCAGAGTCAGTTCTGGGTCAGCTGGCAGCAACTGCACTCCCTTGCAGATCTGCTCAAGACCTTGTGTCAAGCTGTCTCCCACTTGATCCAAGTCATCCTAGGATCCTTTTCTTGAAAGTCATAAAAATAGGACAACAGATTCATTGTCAACACCAGCCATGACAGTCACTCACTCTGTCTTTTTTTTTTTTTTTTTTTTGAGATGGAGTCTTGCTCAGTCACCCAGGCTGGAGTGCAATGGTGTGATCTCGGCTCACTGCAACTTCTGCCTCCTAGGTTCAAGCGATTCTCCTGCCTCAGCCTCCCAAGTAGCTGAAATTACAGGTGCGTGCCACCATGCCCGGCTAATTTTTGCGGGTTTTTTTTTTAGTAGAGGTGGGGTTTTAGGTTGGTCTGGAACTCCTGACCTCAGGTGATCTACCTGCCTCGGCCTCCCAAAATGTCGGGATTACAGGCATGAGCCACCACACCCAGCAATGTTTTTTGTTTTTTGAGGCCTTTATTAGAAAGCTGATTTAATGTGATTTCATGCTGAAATAAATCTGTATCTGAGGATGCTAAAAGTCTTACTGCCAAGCCAGATCTCAATACAGTCTAAACTGGGAAAGGAGCCTTCATTGGGATGATGGCCAAGAAACTAGTCAGTTGTAGATGTAGCTTAAAAGGTCATTGGCTCACTTGCAAGAATACTGGCAGCTTCAACATTTGCTACACATTCCTCTCATTAGTCAATTGTTTTTAAATGTCTTTTACACTGGAAAACCCAAGAATGTCTCCTGCCTGAATGTACCATTCTCAGCTGATCTCTTCCTGTGAGATGTTAGGAATGAGGTCCTGCAGCATCCCATGTGAGTCACAGGTCAGGAGGCAGGATGCCTCCAGCTTCTTTGCATACAGCCACTCCACTCCCTCCCTGTGACTCAGTCCACACTCTCCGAGAGCATACACAGCATGCCTTGAGTAGAACCTGAAGCATAGACCCAAAAGAATCAGAGCCAGAAAGGATCTCAGATAGCCTGTCCAGTGGGGGGTCTGACCATGTGGCTTACCTGGTACTGAGAAGTTTCACATGGCACAGAACTTTCACTGGTAAAACTGTGGATCTTGTGCCAGCTGAAGCAGGTGGTTGCAATGTGCCCAACTACTCTTCAGAGAAGAAACTGAGGCCAAGGAGGCCGACTTGCCCAAGCTAACAAAATCTGTCAGTGGCAGGTCTAGGATTAGAATCCAGATCTAATGGCGCTAAAGTGTAGTGCTCTTTCGAAGCTGGAATTTTCTTGTATTGCCACAGTGCATTGCACACAATAGGTGCTGAAATTTCTGTTGTGGTTGTTTTTTGAGTTCGAAGGATACGCTTTTCACAGATATGATTGTTCCTAATTAGCAATGGATCTCACTCAAGGTCATTGTGAATCAATGGTGAAATCAGTTCTCTACTTCTAGATTCTGAACAGAACAGTGAGAATGAAGGGGAGGGAAGCTTTGTGAGTAATAACACAAGTGGTTAAGCAAACAGAAGGACTGTGCAAAGATGAAGAGACCCTTGTGTGTAGGTTAACCGAGCAACACAGTAGCAGAGAACACAAAGAAATATGGTATAGGTGTAAACACCAAAAAGTAGGAAGTCTTTTCCTGTCCTTAGAGAAAGAGTATGGTAGAAAAAAAGCATTATAGTTCTGGCAAGGGAAGGTAACCATGGAGATACACACACCCCATGTGGCAATGACCACGTGATGAAAAATAATATCACCTGACATTTGTGGTTGTATGTTTTTCAGGGTCAAAAGAACCTAACTCCCGGCAGTATTCTTTGTCCTTCCAGATCTGAGATCTACCCTGTTTTCCCTGCCAGTTTTCTCTCCTGGATCCTGAGTGTTTTGTTTTGTTTTGTTTTGTTTTTTTGAGACAGAGTCTCGCTGTGTCGCCCAGGCTGGAATGCAGCGGCCAGATTCGGCTCACTGCAAGCTCCACCTCCCGGGTTCACACCATTCTCCTGCCTCAGCCTCCCCAGTAGCTGGGACTACAGGCGCCCGCCACTACGCCCGGCTAATTTTTTTTTTTTTTTTTTTTTTTTGTATTTTTAGTAGAGACGGGGTTTCACCGTGTTAGCCAGGATGGTCTCAATCTCCTGACCTCGTGATCCGCCCGCCTCGGCTTCCCAAAGTGCTGGGATTACAGGCGTGAGCCACTGCGCCCGGCCGATCCTGAGTTTTTTATAAACTTGCACAAATTACCAGGGATCATTAGTCTGTGATGCATAGATCTTTATGATCACTTAACTAAACAGTGCTGTATCCTCTTCAATGCTACAGTCTTCTCACCTACAAGAGGCACCAATGTTATATGTATAAGAGAACAGACAAAGCATTAGGGATGTGACTTGCTGAGGATCAAGACTGGAGAAATGGGCCAGGCGCCGTGGCTCACATCTCTAATCCCAGCACTTTGGGAGGCCGAGGCGGGCAGATCACGAGGTGAAGAGATTGAGACCAGCCTAGCCAACATGGTGAAACCCCGTCTCTACTAAAAGTATAAAAATTAGACGGGCATGGTGGCGGGCGCCTTTAGTCCCAGCTACTCGGGAGGCTGAGGCAGGAGAATGGCCTGAACCCGGGAGGCGGAGCTTGCAGTGAGCCGAGATCGCGCCACTGCACTCCAGCCTGGCGACAGAGCGAGACTCTGTCTCAAGAAAAAATAAAAAATAAAAAAGATTGGAGAAATGTCTATTGGAAACAGGAGCTCAGGAACAACCTATTTATCGTGGAAGTCTTCAGCAACTCATTTTGTGAGGTAGTGCTTTGGCACTTGATTTCTTTTATCTGGGATGGAGCCCAAGGAAGTGGTACTTGGAGAGGGAGCAGCATAAACAAAATAGAAGTGACTAAGCTGTTTTGACACCCATTAAGATGGGTGTTACTCCCCAAATGGAAACCAGCTATCTGCTTTTCTATTTGACCACGCCTTTTCCTGCTGGTGATCTGAAACAGGGTTACCTGTTCCTCTGACTAATCCCTAAAAACGCAGGTGAACAGAGGCTGCGATGACCTACTTTGCAAATACCTGTTACAGTGTTAATCAGTGAACTTTGTGGCCAGACGTCCTCACAGTTGTTCTACTTTACACTGAAGGCCAGGTAGGGAGCAGACTTTGGAATGGGCTTGTGGCCATCCATCAGAAGCAAGGGAGTTGGGAAACAAGTGCTGATTAGAAATGCAAATTATTGGCTGGGTCTGGTGCTGTGTGCCTGTAGTCCCAGCTACTCAGGAAGCTAGGCAGGAAGATTGCTTGAGCTCAGGAGTTCGAGGATCTAGTGCACAATCACAGATCACACCTCTGAATAGCCACTGCACTCCAGCCTGGGCAACATAGCGAGCCTCCGTCTCTAGAAAAAGAAAATGCAAATTATTGGACCTTACCTTAGTGTCGTGATTCAGAATTTCTTTTTGTTTTTAATAAAGATTAACATTTAGAATAGTTTTAGATTTACAGAAAAATTGTGAAGATAGTACAGAGTTTCCATATAACACACACCCAGTCTCCCGTTATTAACATCTTACACTACTAGTATGGTACATTTGTCACAAGTGTTGAACCAATATTGATACTTTCTTGTTAACTAAAGTTCATATTTTATTCACATTTTCTTAGTTCTTACCTAATCTCCTTTTTCTGTTCCAGGATCCCATCTAGGATACCATGCTACATTTAGTCATCGTGCCTTCTTAGGCTTCTCTCTGTTATGACAGTTTTTTAGACTTGCCTTGTTTTTGTCATAAGTCTTTTGTTGTTGTTTTTTGAAATAGGGTCTCCTTCTGTTGCCCAGGCTGAAGTGCAGTGATGTAATCATGGCTCACTGTAACCTCGAACTCCTGGACTCAAGCAATCCTTTCACCTCAGCCTCTGGAGTAGCTGGGACTACAGGCGTGTGCCACCATGCCAGGAGAATCTTTTTTTTTTTTTTTTTTCTTTTTGAGATGGAGTCTTGCTGTGTCTCCCAGGCTGCAGTGCGGTGGCACGATCTCAGCTCACTGCACCTCTGCCTCCCAGGTTCAAGAGGTTCTCCTGTCTCAGCCTCCAGAGTAGCTGGGACTACAGCTGCCTGCCACCATGCCCGGCTAATTTTGTAGTTTTAGTAGAGACCGGGTTTCACCATGTTGGCCAGGCTGGTCTTGAACTCTGACTTCAAGTGATCCACCCGCCTCAGCCTCCCAGAGTGCTGGGATTACAGGCATGAGCCACCCAGACCAACAACCCAGGAGAATCTTTTGATTGTAGAGGTGAGATCTTGTTATATTGCCCAGACTAGTCTTGAACTCCTGGCCTTAAGCGACCCTCCTGTCTTGGCCTCCCGAAGTGTTGGAATTACAGGCGTGAGCCACCGTGTCTGGTCCCAGACTTTCCTTGTTTTTTATGACCTTAACAGTTTTGAAAAGTACTGGTCAGGTTTTTTGTTTTTGTTTTAGAGACAGAGTTTTGCTCTTGTTGCCCAGGCTGGAGTGCAGTGGCGCGATGGCTCACCCCAACCTCTGCTTCCCAGGTTCAGGCTATTCTGCTGCCTCAGCCTCCCGAGTAGCTGGGATTACAGGCATGTGCCACCATGCCTGGCTAATTTTGTATTTTTTTTTTTTTTTTTTTTTAGTAGAGACAGGGTTTCTCCATGTTGGTCAGGCTGGTCTTGAACTCCCGACCTCAGGTGATGCGCCCGCCTCGGCCACCCAAAGTGCTGGGATTACAGGTGTGAGCCACTGCGCCCAGCCTGGTCAGGTATTTTTTATAGAATGCCCTTCAACTTGGGTTTGTCTGATGTTCTTCTCGTGATTAGATCGGGGTTATGGGTTTTTGGGAAAAAGACCACAAAGTGCCACTCTTATCATGTAACAAGTGTACACTAAGGTAGTTCTGTCATTTCCCCACAGTATTCTTTTTCCTCTCCCCTTTCCATATGTATTCTTTGGCAGGGGAAATCACCATGTGCAACCCACACATAAGGGGTGGGGAGTTCAGTTTCACCTCCTTGAGGGTAGAATATTTACATAAATTATTTGGAATTCTGCATGGGAGATTGGTCCATTTCCATCATTTATTCATTTATTTATTTATATCAGGAGAGACTTATAGACGTTTATTTTACATTTCGAGTTATAATCCAATAATCTCATTTTCCAGTTTTGGCCTTTTGGGCACTCTTGTGGCCCTGTTGTCCACTTGACACAACCCCACTGTTTGTTTGTTTTAACACTTCGTTACTTTCTGGCATTTAATTTTTTCTTCCAGGCACTTGTTTTTAATTTCCTGCCACTTCTCTTTTTTGACAAGCTTTTCAGATGTTTCTCCCACACTACATTTGAACAGCTATTGACGGGGAAGAGCTCTCTATTTTTGAGATCATAAGAGTCACATTGGGCCCTTGTTAACAATAAGAGTTTCATGCCTCTTCTCTGAAGATTCCAATTTAGTAGTTCTGGAGTGAGCCCTAAGGGTCTGGAATTTATAATAAGTATCTCCAGATGGTTCTTACAATCAGGAATGTTTGGTAAACAGCGCCTTAAGGTCATTTTAATTAAGACTTCTTTGTCAAGCTTAATTTAGATAGATAACCACAATCCGTAGTATTGGAAGAGTGAGTCTCTGTAGTTGGAATTCCAAGTGTTTTCAAATACACTATTTCATTTAATCCTCATTATTCAAATATGAAGTAGGAAGAACATTTTGTAGGTGAGGAAATTTAAACCCCAGATAAGAAGGTGGCTTTCCTAAGATCACACAGTGGAATGCATCGCCATACCATGATCAATAGGCAGAGACAAAAAGTAACACAAAATCTCTTGTGTTTTGGGATTTGGAATAGCATTACTAAGTAAGATGACTAAAAAGATAGGATGTCAGTCTGTTGATAGGACTGATTTTTTAGCAATAAAGATTTATAATCTAATAGTAAAATTGATCTACCTAAGCAAGCCACCGTTTCCAGTACCTTTCCTTCCATCAAAGTGTACCATGTTCACATTTTTTGAGTGACAACTATGTGCCAAGTATAGCCTGCTCTCCTAACTTCTTTTCAACTGGTTCCTTTTTCAAAACTTTAGACATAAGCCAGGTGTGGTGGCTTATGCCTGCAATCCCAGCACTTTGGAAGGCCAGGGTAGATGGATCACTTAAGGTAGGGAGTTCGAGACCAGCCTGCCAACATGGTGAGACCCCGTCTCTACAAAAATTAGCTGGGCATAGTGGCACATGCTTGTAATCCCAACTACTCAGTTGGCTGAGGCAGGAGAATCACTTGAACCCGGGAGGCAGAGGTTGCAGTGAGCCAAGATAGCACTACTGCACTCCAGCCTGGATGACAGAGAGAGACTGTCTCTAAAAAAAAATAAAATAAAATTGAGATATAAATCTCCATGAGTTTCCCACAGCTGCCATAACTAAGTACCACAAACTAACTTGCTTTAGGCAACAGAAATTTATTCCCTCACAGTGCTGAAAGCTAAAAGTCCAAAATCAAGGTGTTGGCAAGACCATGCTCCTCCCCAAACCTCTAAGGGAGGATGTTTCCTTGCTTCTTCCAGCTTCTGCTAGCCCCAGACATTCCTCTGCTTATGGCAACATAACTGCAATCTCTGCTTCTTCTTCACACAGCTGTCTTCTCTCTGTGTTGTGTTTCTGTATCTTCACATTGGGGGCTCCTCTTTTTATAAGAACTCGAGTCAGATTCGATTAAGGGCCCACTCTACTCCAGTATGATTTCATCTTAACTATTTATGTCTGACTCCCCATATCCATTAGCAATCACCTCCCATGCCCCCCTTTTCCAACCCCTAGCAACCACAAATCTACTTCCTGTCTGTATGGATTTGCCTATTCACAGGCATTTCCTATAAATAGACATTTCATGTAAATAGAATCATAATAAGAAGGCTTTTCTGTTTGGCTTCTTCTGTTTTCAAAGTTCATCTACACTGTAGTGATAGCAGCAGGAGGCAGACAAATGCCTAGGCAGTTAGGGGCGGGTCCTTGGTGAAACCCCACCTTCAAGCCCAACATAGTCTGAAGGCTGAAAGATTGGACTCCTGGTTACAGATGAAACCTGCGACCCTGAGTGAGAACTTCTGTTCCTGTTTGCCCACCCTTTCCTGATTGGTTCTTTCTGAATAATGCTTTTAAACCAATCAAATGTTACCTTTTCCAATACTACCTATGGCCCTCCCCTTCCCCATCCTGTGCCTATGAAAACCCCCAGATTCAGCCACACTGGGGAGATGACCCAACCTTCCTGTCCCCTCTCTGCTGAGAGCTGTTTTGTCGCTCAATAAAATTCTCCGCCCTCATCACCCTTCAATTGTCAGCATGACCTCATTCTTCTTGGATGTGGGACAAGAATTCAGGACCCACCAAGCACAGGTACTCAGAAGGCTGTAAACATTGTGGCCCTCTTCCCTCCACCAGCAGAGGGCAGCCTCCCAATGTCACAGGAAGCAATGGTAGGGCCAAGCCAGCCCTGGAGCCAAGGGCCAGAGCTGGGCAAGGGCCTGTCCAAGCTGTTAACACACTGCTGTCCATCAGGCTGCAGATGGTGGGACTAAATGAGCTAATTAGCACGTTGTAACACTGCTTCTGGGGCTTCAGGGTTGTAGGCACCCTTGCCTGGGCACCACTGCATCCCCTTGGGATGTGGCAGGACACACCTCGTCCAGCTGCAAGCACTGCATGGAGCCCACTCCTGTGCTGAAGTTTGGAATGGCTGGTCAGATCCCATACTCACTCACACACACATCCTCTCCTGCCAGGGGCTGAGCATGTAGTCACAGCAGCAGCAGCAGGAGCCATGGGCTGGAGTGCAAGCCAGACATGGCCCGGTGGGCCAAGCAGATGGGATGTCTGCTGCTTCAAACCTGGCAAAGGGGCCAAGAAAAATCCTGCATTAGTAGCATGTATCAATGCTTCATTCATTTTTATGGCTGAGTAATATTCCACTGTTTGGATATAACACATTTTGTTAATACACTCATCAGTTGATGGACACTTGTGTTGTTTCCACTTTTTGGCTATTATAAATAATGCTGCTATAAATGTTCATGTACAAGTTTGTGTGTGAACATTTCAATTTTTTCATACCTAGGAGTGGAATTGCTGGATCATATCATAATTATGTTTAATTTCTTACCATTTAGAGACCTATTATACAGCATGGAGACTACAGTTAATGACAATATAGTGTACTAAAAAAATGCAAATAGAGTGTTCAGATGTCATGGTGCACACCTGTTGTCCCTGCTACTCAGGAGGCTGAGGTGGAAGGATTGCTTCAGCCCAGGGAGTTTGAGGCTGCAGTGAGCTATGATCATACCAGTGCACTACAGCCTGGGTAACAGAGCAAGACCTTGTCTGAAAAAAGAAAAAAGGTAAATGGAGAGGATGATAAGTGTTCTCACCACAAAAGTGATAATTATGTGAGGTAACACATTTGTTAATTAGCTAGATTTAACTATTCCACAATGTATATATACTTCAAAACATTGTGTTCTACACAATACATAAAATTTTCTCTGTTAATTAAAAAAAAATCAGCAATGTACAGAGGTTGTAATTTTTCTACATCCTCCCCAATTCTTTGTATTGTCTGTATTTTTTTTATCATAGCTATGAAAGGAAAATAAATCTTGGGGCCTCAAAATCACTAAGTTAAAGGGTAAAGTCAAGCTGGGAACTGCTTAGGGCAAACCTGCCTCCCATTCTATTCAAAATCACCTGCTCACTGAGATAAATGCATATCTGCTTGCCTCTTTGGAGAGGCCAATCAGAAACTCAAAAGAATGCAACCGTTTTTCTCTTATCTACCTATGACCTAGAAGCCCCCTCCCTGCTTCGAGTGGCCCCGCCTTTGCTTTGAGTTGTCCTCTTTTCCAGGCTGAACCAATGTTCATCTTACATATGCTGATTGATGTCTCATGTCTCCCTAAAATGATAAAACTAAACTGTGCTCTGACCACCTTGGGCACATGTCGTCCGGACCTCCTGAGGCTGTGTCATGGGTGTGTGCCCTCAACCTTGGCAAAATAAACTATCTAAATTAACTGAGGCCGGTCTCACATATGCCGGGTTCACATTTTGGTAACCACGAAGGGATTCTGAGTGGAGGTGCACCTGATCTTTGACGAAGTTCCTATCGGTGCTTGGTACCAGCATGACCTAACCTTATGGCTTAAACCAACAGGACAAATTGCTGAGGTTTGGGAGCACACCCTCCAGAGGACCCCTGATCTCCCAAAATTTGGTTGAGATCTAAAGTTTATTTTGCTGTACAACTCCCCCCAACACCTTTTTTTTTTTTTTTTTTTTGTTTTACTTGCTTCCAACAAGGAATGCAAGATTTCTTGCTGATGTTGGAAGGCAGGCTCCTTTATGGAGTTTGAGCTCGCTCCCAGCAGGGAAGACGAGTTCAAGTGTTTCCTGCTTCAAGGATGGTAGAGAGCAGTCTTCAGCCTGAGACTCATCCCTAGGTAAGTAGCTGAATTGTCTTGGCTAAAGTTTAACAACCAGCTGGTCTTAATTTCTCCTTACCATTAGAGCACTCAGTGACCAAGTCTACCTGACTTCCTCAAATCCAAGAGGGACTTCCAAAGCCTCTCTAATTTGGCTAAAATTCCTTGCAGCTACAAAAGAGGAAAAAAAAACAACCCATGTGTTTGGTTTCTGTGTTTGCTTCCTCCTTAAAAAATGAAATGTTCTTTCATTTACTTTTCTTCCGCCCTGTACCTCCTTCCCTCTTTGCCACCTGTAGTATCAGAAAATCTAGAGAAGGCTTCTAATAACTTGAACCCCTTTAAAGAATTCAGAACAAAGTCATCACTCATCCCTTTTGGGGTGTTCTGTTTTCCTTGTGGTGTTTCAAGAGTCCTGGGCAGATTCTTCTTAGGTCTAAAGCTCTGTTTTCCTGTATTACATGAGCTGACCTCTTTGGCTTTGCAGGTAACCAGAGATGACCTTGTACTGTGAGAGGATTTGACCCTGGCATGTGAAATGGCAGATGAGAGCTAGAAAGGTAAGGGTGGCTGAGCACAGTTTACAGGAAGTGGTCTTCGCTGTTGTTGTTGTTGTTTTTTGACACAGAGTTTCGCTCTTGTTGCCCAGGCTGGAATACAATGGCGTGATCTCAGCTCACTGCAACCTCTGCCTCCTGGATTCAAGCAATTTTCCTGCCTCAGTCTCCTGAGAAGCTGGGATTACAGACATGTGCCACCATGCCTGGCTAATTTTGTATTTTTAGTAGAGACAGGGTTTCTCCATGTTGGTCAGGCTGGTCTTGAACTCCTGACCTCAGGTGATCCTCCCACCTCAGCCTCCCAAAGTGATGGGATTACAGGCGTGAGCCACTGTGCCTGGCTGTTTTTTTTTTTTTTCCTCCTAGGAAGTCGTTGTTTAAGGATCCTAATTCTAGTTTGGAGATGCATTCTAAAGGATCTTCTCTATCCCAAAACTAATTTCGATTTGGCTTGTCTGTGAACAATTGCATGAGGAACTGAACTGTTGTTTTCATAGGTAAATGAGAAACTGAGTTTTCTCAGTTTGAAAGAGAAAGGCATTTTGCTCCTCCCAGACAAATGGTGCCCCTGGGTGACCGGGGGGCTCATGGGAGTGTCTGGGTGATTGACCCCCCAGATGATGTGTAGCAGCCCTACAGGGAAATCCCCAACAAAAATTAATTTTGAAAAAGGCAGCCGGGTGTGGTGGCTCACACCTGTAATCCCAGCGCTTTGGGAGGCCAAGGAGGGCGGATCACCTGAGGTCAGGAGTTTGAGACCAACCTGGCCAACATGGTGAAACCCTGTCTCTACTAAAAATACAAAAGTTAGCTGGGTGTGGTGGCAGGTACCTGTAATCCCAGCTACTCAGGAGGCTGAGGCAGGAGAATCACTTGAATGTGGGAGGTGGAGGTTGCAGTGAGCTGAGATCATGCCACTGCACTCCAGCATGGGTGACAGAGCAAGACTCTGCCTCAAAAAAAAAAAAAAAAAAAAAGAAAAAGAAAAAGCTTGTCCAGGAAATGCATATGAGGGCTGATCACCCAGTGTTTTGAGCTCTCTCAGAGGTCATAGAACTCTGGAGAGAGAAACTGAGATACATAAGAGGGTGGAAATGACTCAGTGGTGACACACTGTGGAGTCCTGCCCACAAGCAGTACACATCAATCTACCACTCAAAAACCTTAGGCTACAGCTCAGTTCCTCCTTTTAGGAAAATAAGTAGGAAACAAATCATCTAAGAATGAGGAGAAAACAAGGAGAATGGCCCCCTTTCAAGTAATCCATAGGTTTTATGGCACCTCTACTTGCCAGAGTTTATGTAAAATAGAACTAATATGGTCTTTGTGCATATTTACATTAAGGAAAAAGAGCTCTAAAATCTGTTTGGGAAAGGACTGTTAATGTCGTTTCAAAGCTAAACTATAAACTAGGTTCCTCCCAAAGTTAGTTTGGCCTATACCCAGGAATGAACAAGGACAGCTTGGAGGTTAGAAGCAAGATGAAGTCAATTAGGTCAGATCTTTTTCACTGTCTCAGTTATAATTTTGCAGTTCCATAGTTATGGTTCCATAACTTTAAATGATGACTATCACAGTTTTCATAAGTAATCTAGGTAAATAATGAAAATAAAATAATTAGGTAAATACAATGGGATAGTTGTAGACAAACTTGTCATAACTTAGAATCTAAAGTTATATTAAATTAAATAATATGGCTGGGCATGGTGGCTCATGCCTGTAATCCCAGCACTTTGGGAGGCTGAGGTGGGCGGTCAGGGGTTCAAGACCTGCTTGGCCAACATAGTGAAATCTTGTCTGTACTAAAAATAATAATAAAAAAAAATTAGCCAGGCATGATGGTGGGTGCCTGTAGTCCCAGCTACTTGGGAGGCTGAGACAGGAGAATTGTTTGAACCTGGGAGGCAGCGGTGGCAGTGAGCTGAGATTGCACCACTGCACTCCAGCCTGGGTGACAGAGGGAGACTCTGTCTCAAAATAATAATAATAAATAATAGGTATTTTATTATTTGGGTATTTTCCAATAAAATTATATTGTAGAAAAACATTCTTTCTGAAAAAATGTGTGTCCTTTTAAAAAGGTGAAAAAGTTTTGTCTGATTCAAAGCTTATTTAAAGGTTATATATAAAGCAAGGTAAAAAGGGGTTGGGCATGGTGGCTCACGCCTGTGATCCCAGAACTTTGGGAGGCTGAGGTGGGCAGATCACCTGAGGTCGGGAGTTCAAGACCAACCTGACTAACATGGAGAAACTCTGTCTCTATTAAAAATACAAAATTAGCTGGGCGTGATGGTGCATGCCTGTAATCCCAGCTACTCGGGAGGCTGGGGCAGGAGAATTGCTTGAACCTGGGAGGTGGAGGTTGTGGTGAGCCAAGATCATGCCATTTCACTCCAGCCTGGGCAACAAGAGCAAAACTCCATCTCAAAAAAAAAAAAAAAAAAAAAGCCAAGCTAAAAAGAATCATGAAATAAGAGAGATGTAAATAAAGTTATAAAAATAAGCCAGGCATGGTGGCTCACAACTGTAATACCAGAACCAGAACTTTGGGAGGCCGAGGCAGACGGGTCACCTGAGGTCAAGAGTTTCAGACCAGCCTGGCCAACATGGTGAAACCCCATCTCTACTAAAAATATGAAAATTAGCCAGGTGTGGTGGTGGACGACTGTAATCCCAAATACTTCGGAGGCTGAGGCAGGAAAATCACTTGAACCCAGGAGGTGGAGGTTGTAGTGTGTTGAGATTGTGCCACTGCACTCCAACCTGGATGACAGAATGAGACTCCATCTTGAAAAAAAAGGAAAAAAAAAAGTTATAAAAATAAAGAGGTTTTTTAGTTTTTTTTGGTAAGAAAACATAAAGAAAAATAATTTCATATGAGAAAGAATCTTGTGTGGCAAATTTAGTCCTAGAATAAAATGACTGTTTAAGAAAGAAGGATGTTCAGGACAAACCAGAAAGTCAAAGCATGTCATGAACAGTCTATGTAAGTCACAATAAGAAGATTTATTAAAAAAAACTTTTATATGATCAAGTTGTCTATAATTAAAGTGAAATTATAATGGTCTTTTCAGAGACTGGGCTTGATGTATAAAAAATCTTATACACTATATAATTGGTTACAACAATGAAATTTTCTTAAGGGATTGATTTACTCTTAATAAATTATGAGAGATTTTAATTTATTTTTTATTTTTATTTTTATTTACTTTTTTGAGACAGAGTCTCACACTGTCACTGAGGCTGGAGTGCAGTGGCACGATCTCGGCTCACTGCAAGCTCCGCCTGCCGGGTTCATGCCATTCTTCTGCCTCAGCCTCCGGAGTAGCTGGGACTACAGGCACCCACCACTACACCCAGCTAATTTTTTGTATTTTTAGTAGAGACGAGGTTTCGCTGTGTTAGCCAGGATGGTCTCGATCTCCTGATCTTATGATCTGCCCACTTTGGTCTCCCAAAGCGTTGGGATTACAGGCATGAGCCACTGTGCCCGGCCAAGAGATTTTAATTTTTTTTAACTCAACGTTCACCTTTATTGGATCTCACCATTTTCATTTTCTGTCCCCTTTTAACCCTTTTAAAGGGCGCAAAATAGTAACACTCTCCTTCAACTCATTTCCAGCTCATATAAGTTTATTTCCTTGAGTTGTGTTTGCTGTTGTGGCCTGATGATAACAATGTTTTTTCTTTCTTTCTTTTTCTTTCTTTCTTTCTTTCTTTCTTTCTTCCTTCCTTCCTTCCTTCCTTCCTTCCTTTCCTTCCTTCCTTCCTTCCTTCCTTCCTTCCTTCCTTCCTTCTTTCTTTCTTTCTTTCTTTCTTTTCTTTCGACAGAATTTTGTTCTTATAGCCCAAGGTGGAGTTCAATGGCACGATCTCAGCTCACTGCAACATCCGCCTCCTGGGTTCAAGCGATTCTCCTGCCTCAGCCTACTGAGTAGCTGGGACTACAGGCGCACGTCACCATGCCCAGCTAATTTTTGTATTTTTAGTAGAGACGGGGCTTCACCATGTTGACCAGGCTGGTCTTGAACTCCTGACCTCAGGCAATCCGCTTGCCTCCTGACCTCAGGCAATCCGCCTGCTTCAGCCTCCAAAAGTGCTGGGATTACAGGTGTGGGCCACCACACCCAGCCCTCGTATGTGCTTTTAAAGTCCTTGTGACAGTGAGTTACAAGGCTTTGACTCCTAGGTCTAAAAAGGACACCAAGTCCTGAGAAATCCTAAACTCTGACAGCAATTAAAGGCTCATCTTCAGGCCTGCTGGAAGATGCCAATCAAAATAAACTGCATTTCCTGTGACACAGGGTCAGAATTTAAAGCTATTCAACTCCACAAGGCCCAGGGACTATTGTGGAAGAGGTGGGTGTGTGACACTGTAAGGGCCAATTTTCAGGAATAAAATAAGTTCAGTTTCTCTATAAGTTAATCAATAATGTGAAAGGCACACTGATGCAAGACCAGCATATGGGCCCCTGTGTCAGATCAACAAGGTTTCTTGAAGCATTAAGTGACTCCTTAATAAAGGTTACAATGTTTATAAAAGGCTTATGGAAGTTATATCTTATGGTCAAGATTAAAATTTTATAGATTGTTTATAAAAATTAAGTCTCCTCAATGAATGAAGGTTTTCACTTTTTTTTTTAATCCCCGAGTTATCACTTTGGTCAAATGAATGAGTTATTTTACAATGAGTGTGATACCAAGTGTTTTAAACCTTTGATATTTGACAACCCAGAATCAAATTATAAATTATGTATTGGCCAGGTGCGATGGCTTATGCCTGTAATCCCAGCACTTTGGGAGGCCAAGGCAGTGAATCACCTGAGGTCAAGAGTTTGGGACCAGCCTGGCCAACATAGTGAAACCCCATCTTTACTAAAAATACAAAAATTAACTGGGTGTGTTGGCACATGCCTGTAGTCCCAGCTACTTGGGAGGCTGAGGCAGAAGAATTGCTTGAACCCAGGAGCCAGAGGTGGCAGTGAGCCACGATCGCACCACTGCACTCCAGCCTGGGTGACAGAGGGAGACTTTGTCTCAAAAAAAAAAAAAAAAAAAAAAAAAAAATATATATATATATATATATATATATATATATACACACACACACACATATATATGTGTGTGTGTGTGTTATGTCTTTTTCTGACCTAATTAATCCTTTAAGATATTAGGTTCCCTAAAGTCCAAAAATGACATAATTTGTCTTATTTGGTATAAAAATTATACAGGAAGCACTGTCAAATATGAAATGGTGTTTGGTTTTCTTTGGGCTGTATTTGTATAAATATGTTATTGGTATGTGTTCCAAAATTATGGGAAACTCCTATAATTCTGATATGACTTAGTATACATTATCAGTGATAATTGTAATCATTATGTTAAATTATTGTCTGCCACAGAGGCAAAAAATTTCCTTGTCAGTTGTGTTTTTTACTATGGCTGCCCTAAAACTTTTTGTCATCCACAGACAATTGTTTTCTTGGTTTGGTCCTCTTTATAAGGTGGCTTTATAATCAATAAAACTCTAACAAGTGCTAACAGGTGCTCTTTTTTTTTTTTTTTTTTTTGAGACAGGCTGGAGTGCAATGGCACAATCTTGGCTCACTGCAACCTCCACCTCCCGGGTTCAAACAATTCTCCTGCCTCAGCCTCCTGAGTAGCTGGGATTACAGGTGCCCACCACCACACCTGGCTAATTTTTATATTTTTAGTAGAGACAGGGTTTCACCATGTTGGCTGGGCTGTTCTCAAACTCCTGACCTCAGGTGATCCACCCACCTCGGCCTCCCCAAAGTGCTGAGATTACAGGCATGAGCCACTGTACCCAGCCTAAAAGGTGCTCTTGAATGCAGGTTTCTGATAACTTTGGAGACTGTGACATCAGAATTGAGGGAAAACTTTCAGGACTCATGGAGAGCTGAAATATTCATGAAAATGAAGTAGACCAGGAATTAACTGCATGGACTGAACTGATAGAGGACTGAAGTAGTCTTTTTGACACTTTGATTAAAACATTTCTGATCCTTTGTTTTGTTTTTTCAGAGTCAAGGAAACATTTCTTTTGAGCTATTGTCAACTTTTAACAAGGAAGTATACTCCTATGAACAAAATTTGGAGCATATTTGTTTCTTTCTACCTGATTTCTCCAGAATTTGGGAACTATTTGTGAGTATTCTTAACTTTTGGCAATATGGTTATTTGCATAAGTTCAATAAGAATCTGTGTTCATTTGTAGTAGGACACAATTGGAGAAACTGGTTATTTTATCAAGGCTTTGACTGAAATGGTGTACTTTCCTTTAAGGAATCAAACGACTAATAGAGCCAATAAAAACCCCTTGGGAAAAGTGGCCTCATACCTTTGTCTACACAGTCCATGTACCGGGTTCCTGACCAGTGAAACAATGTTCCATCGAAGCCAATTTAAAAGACTATGTAAAAAAATTATGGCTGGGCGTGGTGGCTCACGCCTGTAATCCTAGCACTTTGGGAGGCCAAGGTGGGTGGATCACTTGAGGTCGGGAGCTCGAGACCAGCCTGACCAACATGGAGAAACCCTGTCTCTACTAAAAATACAAAATTAGCCAGGTGTGGTGGTGCATGCCTGTAATCCCAGCTGCTCAGGAGGGTGAGGCAGGAGAACTGCTTGAATCTGGGAGGCAGAGGTTGTGGTGAGCCAAGTTTGCATCATTGCACTCTAGCCTGGGCAACAAGAGTGAAATTCCATCTCAAAAAAAAAAATATTCTTGCTGCACTGTATACAAATAATCAGGCCAAGTATAATAAAGCAAATCAGTCCCACTATGATTTGTCTTTAGCAAAAATGGGAAACTGGAGAGAGAAAATTTATGTTTCAAAAACTATAGTTCACCTGTTGTTAGATTCTAGTCTTGCCTAATGTTTTTCAATTTTTATTATTTTCTACAGTTTGGACTGATTTTTTTTTTTTTTTTTGGCTAGAAGTCTTCAAAATAATGTTTTCAATTTTTTTCATTCTTTTTTCCCCCATTTTTCCTAATTTGGAGTCACCAAAAATTAAGCTGTGCTTTCTTAAAGCCCTGTGAACTGAAGCTAGACAACTTAAACTTCAGAAGAAAATAACAGCAACCTATTTACATATATCAGCCACTTTCATACCTGCTACTGATGTATGAACTTCAGAGTAATGTGGCTTATATTGATTTTCCAGGATTCTTCTTTTGTTTCTTGTTGTTTTCCTCCCTTCCTCCTCTTACTTTCTCTTCATAGGACAGGAAACTTCACAACCTGCTAAAAATGAGCTTTCCTAATATCTCTGGACCTACCTGTCTAGGAATCAGATGAAGCCTGAAACCAGAGACTCATTTTCTTCTAAAATGCTTTCTCCAAAAGATTTTTTTAAAAGAGAAGGCGGAAATGTGAAAGGAAACTAAATCTTGGGGCCCCAAAATCACTAAGCTAAAGTGAAAAGTCAAGCTGGTGACTGTTTAGGGCAAACCTGCCTCGCATTCTATTCAAACTCACCCCTCTGTTCACTGAGATAGCCTCTCCAAAGGAGAGGCTAATCAGATAAATGCCTCCTTTGGAGAGGCTAATCAGGTAACTCAAAAGAATGCAAACATTTGTCTCTTATCTACCTATGACCTGGAATCCCCCTCCACACTTTGAGTTATCCCGCCTTTCTGAACCAATATTTATCTTACATATGTTGATTGATGTCTCATGTCTCCCTAAAATGTATAAAACCAAACTGTGCTCTGACCACCTTGGGCACATGTTGTCAGGACCTCCTGAGGTTGTGTCACCAGTGTGTATCCTCAACCTTGGCAAAATAAACTTTCTAAATTAACCGAGGCCTGTCTCAGATACTGGTGTTCACACAGCCATCCTGGTGGATGTGAAGTGGCATCTCATTGTGGTTTTGCATTTCCCTAATGATTAATGATGTTGAGCATCTTTTCATTTGCTTATTGAGCATCTATTATATTCCTTGAAGAAATGTCTATTTAAATCCTTTACCCATTTTTAAATTGGATTGTCTTTTCAGTATTGAGTTTTCTTTTCTTTTATTTTCTTTAAAATAGAGGCAGGGTCTCACCATGTTGCCGAGGCTGGTGTTGAATTCTTGGAGCTCAAGTGATCCTCCCGCCTCAGCCTCTTGGAGTTCTGGGATTACAGGCATGAGTCACCACCCCCGGCCTTCAGTGTTGAGTTTTAAGAGTTCTTGATATATTCTGGATATTAGACTTTTATTAGATATGTGATTTGCCAAGTTCTCCCTCTCATTCTGTGTGTTGCCTTTTCACTTTCTTGATGGTGTCTTTTGAAGTACAAAAGTTTTTAATTTTGAAGTCCAATTTATCTCCTTTTTCTCTGGTCACTTGTGCTTTATGTGTTATATCTAAGAAACCATTACCAAATCCAAGTCACGGAAATTTACGTCTATATTTTCTTCTAAGAGGTTTACAGTTTTAGCTTATATTTAGGTCTTTGATTCATTTTCGTGTAACTTTAGTATATGTGTGAGGTAAAGGTCCAATTTCATTTTTTTTGCATGTGCCTTTCCAGTTGTCTCAGCATGTAACTGACTTCTTGATAAGTAGCTTGGTTGAAATCTGCTTGAGCAAGTGAAAATAAATAATGTATTTGATGAATAAGAGCTACTGCTGTATTCATTGCAATGCTGAGTCTGGAATTCAGGAATTTGGGGCACTGTAGTGGGTAGAATGACGGCCCCTAAGGAGGTATGTCCGTGTTCCAGAACCTGTGAATGTGATTTAATTTGGAAAAGTAGGCTTTTGTAGGTATAATAATTAAGGAACTAGAGAGGAGATTATTTAGGGCCCATCCTGAATTATTCTGGTGGGCCCTAAATCCAATTAAAATTGTCCTTATGAGAGACACATAGAAGAGAGACAGATGGAGGAAACCTTGTGAAGATGGAGGCAGAGACTTGGAGTTATGGCGCTAGAAGCCAGGGAATACCTGGAACACTAGAAGCTAGAAGAGGCAAGAAAGAATTCTTCCCTAGGGCCTTTGAAGTGAGCCTAGGCCTTGATTTCAGACTTCTGGCCTCCAGAATGGGGAGAAAACAAAATTTTGATTGCATAAAGCCATTGGATTTATGGTAGTTTGTTACAGCAGTCCTAGGAAACTAAAACAGACACTTTTAAATGCTTATAGAAAAGATGATTATGGGCCAGGCATGGTGGCTCATGCCTAGCACTTTGGGAGGTGGAGGTGGCTAATCACTTCAGGTCAGGAGTTTGAGATCAGCCTGCCAACATGGTGAAACCCCTCTCTAAAAATACAAAATACAAAATTAGATGGGCATGGTAGTGCACGCCTGTAGTCCCAGCTACTCAGGAGGCTGAGGCAGGAGAATCACTTGAACCTGGGAGGTGGAGGTTGCAGTGAGCCGAGATGGTGCCACTGCACTCCAGCCTGGGCAACAAAGCGAGACTCAGTCCCCCGCCCCCCCCAAAAAATCCAGCCGTTCCTGAAGTCGTCACATGCCCTATCATACCTCAAAAGAAATTGCTTTGATTGGACGCGGCGTCTCACACCTGTAATCCCAGCACTTTGGGAGGCCGAGGCGGGCGAATCACCTGAGGTCAGGAGTTTGAGACCAGCCTGGCCAACATGGTGAAACGCCATCTCTACTAAAAATACAAAAATTAGCTGGGTGTGGTGGTGCATGCCTGTAATCCCAGGTACTCGGGAGGCTGAGGCAGGAGTATCACTTCAACCCAGGAGGCGGAGGTTGCAGTGAGCTGAGATCGTGCCACTGCACTCCAGCCTGGGCAACAGAGTGAGACTCCGTCTCAAAAAAAAAAAAAAAGAATTCATAACTACTCCATTATTCACACAATGAGATACGCTAAATAGGTTATCAAGAAAAAACAATGAAAACTTCCAATCTTTTAGAATAGAATGGGCTGGGCGAGGTGGCTTACACCTGTAATCCTAGCACTTTGGGAGGCCGAGGCCTGCAGATGGCTTGAGCCCAGGAGTTTGAGACCAGCCTGGGTAACACGGTGAACATTAGCCACCATGCCTGGCTAATTTTTATACTTTTAGTAGAGACAGTGTTTTGCCATGTTGGCCAGGGTGGTCTCAACTCCTGGTCTCAAGCAATCCACCCGCCTCAGCCTTCCAAAGTGCTGGCATTACAGGCATGAGCCACCATGCCCAGCCTATGGCTTCTTATTTGCTCAAAAAATACAGAATTCTTGAAATAGTAAGAATCATTTTTAAAATGTTTTTTTGAAATATGCTGTCTGCTTAAAGGGTGATATGTGCCCATCTCTACAAAAAATTAGCTAGACATGGTGATGCACGCCTGTAGTCCCAGCTACTCAGGAGGCTGAGGTGAGAGGATCACTTGAGCCTAGGGAGGTCAAGTCTGCAGTGAGCCATCATCATGCCACTGCACTCCAGCCTGGGCAACAGAGTGAGATCCTGTCTAAAAAAAAAAAAGAATTGTTCTAAATGGTTTAGGCATGTGCTTTCCTAGAGACAGGATCTAGGGTGATTTCTGGAAGTCCCAGTACTGTTAAGAATATAAATCTATCAACTAAGGGAACATATTCATTGTAGAAAATTCTACAAATTTTTTATACATCATTGAGAATCACAATGATCACACTATTATTGAAAAGAGAAAGCATCTGCAATGAAAACTGTAGCAAATGATGATAACTACAGCTGACTGCAGAATAGGAAGTGGAGAATAGGAACCACTTCTCATCTGATGTTGACTCACAATTGATCTGTTGACCACTGAAACAAAAGCATTTCCATAATTTAGAAAATCTATTTTTAAGGAGCTTTTGTGTTTAAACAAAGATCTAGATGATGTGTTTCTAGTACTTGACACCACTAGAGAGGGAAAGGATGTGGGAAGCCCAGTTACCCTGGCAATTCAGAGAGTGGTGAGCACTCCTCCAGCATTTGAATATAAAACAGAAGGCCCAAAACTTTCCCAAGAAAGCAGTAATTAACAGAGAAAACAGTGGGACTTATAGAGTTCATTGTTCAGCCGAGGCCATCAGTTTTGGTTGCACATGCACGTTTTCTTTCTGGGGCCACTTGTACTTCCTCCAATAATAGCACTAGCAAAGCTGCTTTTGCTGTGTCACCGGCATACTTTGCTGTTAAAAAATCTCATTTGTTTTGTTCTTTCTTGGAATATTTTATAAAGCAGTCTGCTATTTCTGACATGTGTGTGTGTTTCTGTGTCTTGTGTCTGTTTTTCTGCTTATAAAGTTTTTTGGCCTGTAGGTATTTTTCCAGGAAAAAGATTAAATTTTGATCCAATTAAGCAAAAACATTGTCAACAGCACTTTTTCATTGGCAGCAATGACCTCTTTTTTCATTTTTATGTTTTCATTTTTTTGACACAGTCTTGCTCTGTCTCCCAGTGGCGCGATCTCAGCTCACTGCAACCTCCACCTCCCAGGTTCAAGTGATGCTCCTGCCTCAGCCTCCTGAGTAGCTGGGACTACAGGCATGCACCACCTCGTCAGGTTAATTTTTGTATTTTTTTGTAGAGACAGAGTTTCACCATGTTGGCCAGGCTGGTCTTAAACTCTTGGCCTCAAGTAATCCACCCACCTCGGCCTCCCGAAGTGTTGGGATTACAGGCGTGAGCCACCGTGCCCAGCCTATGACTTCTTACTATCTCAAAAAATACAGAATACTTGGAATAGTAAGAATCATTTTAAAAATGTTAATTTTTTGAAATACACTCTCTACTTAAAGGATGATATGTGGACACAGGAATTTTCCTCAAGTAGACTGTGGAATTATAATTTTATAATGCCCCAGTTGATAGCGCAGGAGTCCTAACAAAAGAGAAAAACAATTAAAGGAAGCTACACTTTTCAATTTATGCAACCTGGATTGTATTTGTGGTCTATACTGGATATGTTCCAGTTCTATATCACAATACAAAATTTCCTCAAAGCTAACTAGCCCAGACATCAATTAAATAGGCTGGTAAACAGATAGGCCAACATGGGTATAATTCATTAATTGATCACTGCCAGCCAGCCAGCCGTTAGATAACTATATTTCTAGCAAACAGAGATAATTTCTCCTGAATAATTGAGGTCTTGCAAGAGTTAACAAATTAGGCTGGGTGTGGTGGCTCATGCCTGTGATCCCAGCACTTTCGGAGGCCTAGGCGGGTGGATCACTTGAGGTCAGCAGTTCGAGACCAGCCTGGCCAACATGGTGAAACCCCGTCTCTACTAAAAATACAAAAATTAGCTGGGCGTGGTGATGGGCACCTGTAACCCAGCTACTTGGAAGGCTGAGGCAGGAGAATTGCTTGAACCCAGGAGGCTGAGGTTGCAGTGAGCCAAGATTATACCACTGCACTCTAGCCTGGATGACAGCGTGAGATTCTGTCTCAAAAAAAAAGAAAAAAAAGAGCTAACAAATTATTTGTAAAGAGGAAAGTATATTCAATTGATGGAGAAGATGCAATATATATAATTACCTTGATTTTATAGTTATAAATAGTAATGGGCTCTGGAAAGATACATACACAAAATCATTAAACCACCAGAAATGACAGAATGCAAGGCAATCATTAAACTACCAGAACCGACAAGTTTTTTTTTTTTTTTTTTTTTGAGACCGAGTCTCACTCTGTTGCCTAGGCTGGAGTGCAGTGGTGCAATCTTAGCTCATTGCAACTTCCACCTCCTGGGTTCAAGCAATTCACCTGCCTCAGCCTCCCGAGTAGCTGGGATTACAGGTGTGGGCCACCACACATGGCTAATTTTTATTTTTTTAGTAGAAACAAGGTTTCACCATGTTGGCCAGGCTGGTCTCGAACTCCTGGCCTCAAGTGATTGGCCTGCCTCGGCCTCCCAAAATGCTGGCATTACAGGCGTAAGCCACCATGCCCGGCCAAAATGACAACATTTTAGTATTGTACTTTTTTTCAAGAATATACAGTTATTTCAAATATTTTCAATTTTGCATTAACATTATCATAGTTTAGTGGGTTTTTTAATAGTTCAGTAGTTTGAGGGCTGAATTTTTTCCCTCGTAATGAAAAATCTTATAATAAAGATAAAGGGAATTCTTTAGGATGCTGCAAAAAAGATAATTCTTCTCTTAAAATTAATGTTACAAGACTCTTGGTTGCTGTTGACATCCAGATCAACAGACACATGATGATCTTCGGAGAAAACATGTTCAAACTCTGAAAAGCACGATCCATGGCCACCAGGTGCTTTAGAGATCACTTCTTTGATGGGGGTACTGTGACGTTACTCCTCCAAAAATAGTGCAAATACCAGCAGAAGGTGGTGCTACACTTTTTTTATTTGTTTTATTTTTGAGACAGGGTCTCACTCTGTCACCCAGGCTGGCATGCACTGGTGCAATCATTACTCACTGCAGCCTCCATCTCCCAGGTTCAAGTCATTCTCCCACCTCAGCTTCCTAAGTAGCTTGGACTATGGGCATGTACCACCATGCCTAGCAGATTTTCTTTTTTCAGTAGAGACCAGGTCTCACTATGTTACCCAGACTGGTGTTACACTCTTCAAACGACTATTTGGGGGAAGAGGCTTCTTTTTTTTTTTTTTTTTGAGAGAGAGAGTGTCTTGCTTTGTCACCCAGGCTGTAGTGCAGTGGCGTGATATCAGCCTCCCAGGTTCAAGCGATTCTTGTGCCTCAGACTCCCAAGTAATGGGGATTACAGACATGTGCCACTACACCTGGCTCATTTTTGTGTTTTTAGTAGTGATGGGGTTTTGCCATGTTTTCCAGGCTGGTCTTGAAGCGGGATATTTCCCTGACCTCTTCGTGGGATTGGCAACAGGGGTGCCTCATTTACTCAGCCTATAGCTCTCGACTCCTCATGGGAGGGAGCATGTGAGTGAACAAGGTGGGAACCGGAGTGCACGAGTGCTGGAACCTGCTGTTCACTTTGGTGCCAGCAGGGGCAAACTCCACTCACTTGGACCTGCTGCATTCCTCCCCATGTGGGAGGGAGTGCACAGGTGAGCATGTGCAGGAGCTGGGGTGAGCACTTTTGAGGCCCCATAGCATGACTGGGGAGGTGGTGCCCACAACCCTTGAAGCCCCAGAGGGCATGTTACAGTGCTCTTTTAGCTCTGCTGTCCATGGACAGCTCAGGTGTTAACAGGTCCGTGGGCCCTTTTGTTTCCGCGCCTGTGGTTCCCAAGCTCTTGTCCAGCATCCAGGAAAAATGAGGTCGCACAAACAAATTGAAGGATGGTAAGTGTGGGGGATTTTATTGCTGATGAAGTGGCTCTCAGTGGGAAGGGGAGATTAAAGGGGATGGGGGTAGGTAATCTTCCCCTGAAGTCCAGCTGTCTTTGGCCAGATTCTTCTTCAAAGTTATGTCACCAAGCTGTTACTCTGAAGTTAAGCCACTTCTCTCCGATGTCCAGCTGTAGTCTCCTATGTCCAGCTGCTTCTCCTCTCTGCCGGCTGAGTCTGGGGTATTTATAGGCACAGGATGGGGGGTGGACCATGGATGGTTTAGGAAAAGGCAACATTTGAGTGGGAAAACAGGGATAGAAGTTCTCACTTTGGGCCATGGCTTTTCCACGAGGGTGGGGCTTCATCAGGGACCTGCTGTTGTCTGCCTAGAGTTTCTCTACCTCCTGTTGTTACCAATCTCAAACTCCTGGGCTCAAGCAATCCACCTGCCTTGGCCTCCCAAAGTGCTGGGATTACAGGAGTGAGCCACTGTGCCCAGCCCATGAAGAGACATTTTTGACTTAGTTCTCTTAGTTGTACCAGGAGACATGCATTCCAGCCCTAGATGTTTTTTTGTATTGCACAGTCATACAGGGCAGAGCATCCAGAATTTGAAGGCACTTGGCTGAATACACTCATGTGGAAGCTGGGTGCCCTTTTCTGACCTTTGAGGGCCTCCTGAACTGATTGGAGGGCTTGGTTTGTGATGTGGTAGTCTTTAAGTCACTGGCAATGAATATATAACCTGAACCCTTACTTTAAGCCCACCAAACGGCCTTTTAAACAGATGCTATGGTGTGGCTAAAACACAATATAAAGAAAAGATATGGAACTTCCTGGGAATTTGGAGAAAAAGTCCCAAAAGCTCCTGAGACTGATGACAACACCATTAATGAACCAATCTTGCTGTGTTGATTTCCTGTGATCAAGTCCTTCTATATGCACTGACATCCTGAGCATTCCTGTCTTACTGAATCTGTCAGTGTGTTGATGCTGAATGTTGGTGAGACTGTGGGAGGATCAATGCATATCTGGGATAATGAAGAAATGCCTGCAGGTTTATAAAAAGGAAGGGATTGACCCTACTCCCTATTACTGGAATACAGATCAGAGAAAATATGGTATATGTCATCATGGAGGATATGACTTGGGCCTAGAATGATTCTTCTTAAAAAATTATGTTTTTAAGATAGGGTCTCACTTGGTAGCTCAGGCTGCAGTGCAGTGGCACAATTATAGCTTACTGTAACTTCAAACTCCTCAGCTCAGGAGATCCTCTCGCCTTGGCCTCCCAAATTGCTGTGATTACAAGTGTGAGCCACTGTGTCCAGCCCTTGGGATGATTCTTCTCTTGGATTCTGAAGTTATCACATCTAAGATGCATGCTTATACCATTGATTTGTCCAGTGCTGCAGGCCATAACTGATTACTTCTGAAGCATAAAAGAAACAATATGGTTCAGGAAAGAAACAGGCTGCCTCTTTAAAAATAAACAAAAACAAAAAACCCCCAAATATAAAAAGCCAGAATCTTCCCTTTCTTGTTCCACTGGGGTAAAACTGTTTCCATTTTCTCTTTTTTATTCCTAATACCATAAAAAGTAGCCCAGGCTGGGTGTGGTGGCTCAGCCCTGTAATCTTAGCACTTTGGGAGGCCGTGGCCAGCAGATCACTTAAGGTCAGGAGTTTGAGACCAGCCTGGCCAACACGGTGAACCACCATCTCTATTAAAAAAAAAAATTACAAAAATTAGCCAGGCATGGTGGGGCACGCCTGTAATGCTAGCCACTTGGGAGGCTGAGGCAGGAGAATTGCTTGAACCTGAGAGGTGGAGGTTGAAGTGAGCTGAGATCACGCCACTGCATTCCAGCCTGGGCGACAGAGCAAGACTCCATCTCAGAAAACAAACAAAAAACAAAGTTTTGGGGAAATATGTGGTACATAATTCTGTAGTTAGGAATACATTTCAGCATTTTATCTAATAATGGGCCATAATTTTGGGATTATATATATATAATTAAACAATTTTAAATATTGGTTAAAAAAAGTACTCTTGAGTTATGTATCTATTCCATTAAGTCCTATTCTCTAGGCCTGTATCATATGATACTTTCCATAAAGTTGATCTTGGAAGCTCCAGTTTTCTTCTCTGGGCTCCCTTAGCGCTATACTCATAGCTTTTTTTTTTTTTTTTTTTGAGACAGAGTCTCGCTCTGTCACCCAGGCTGGAGTGCAATGGTGCAATCTTGACTCAGTGCAACCTCCGCCTCCCGGGTTCAAGCAATTCTCCGGCCTCAGCCTCCCAAGTAGCTGGAATCACAGGCACCCGCAACCATGCCCGGCTAATTTTTTGTATTTTTAGTAAAGATGGGGTTTCACCGTGTTAGCCAGGATGATCTTGATCTCCTGACCTTGTGATCCACCCGCCTCGGCCTCCCAAAGTGCTGGGATTATAGGCGTGAGCCACCATGCCCGGCCAACTTTTTTTTTAAATAAATAAATTTTAAGCCCAAACCTCACCATCATACCTCTTTTATAGTAGTTACTTATATCTTTTCAAGGGCCTTAATGTTCCCTTAAGTTGACGGTGAAGTTTGTTTTATATAAAATTTAGACTCAATATTTTATTAACAGAAAGGTGTTATATCCAGTGTTATTTTACATAAGCTTTTAAGCAATGGGCTAAATAGAATGACTTAACTAGTAGCTTTGTCTCTATTTCTCCTCTTAGAAAAAAAATTAAGCTCAAGACAAATATTATACCATTTTGATGGTTTCATCCAAGTTGCTAATCAACATTTTTAATTTGTAACGTTACCAAGCTAATTAATATGCAACTGCTTTATTACAACTAGACTCATTAATATCTAAGCATATAATCTATTCCCATAGAAACTGTAGAGGGCAGGCCAGGTACAGTGGCTCATGCCTGTAATCCCAGCACTTTGGGAGGCCGAGGCGGGCGGATCACCTGAGGTCAGGAGTTCAAGACCAGTCTGACCAACATGGACAAACCCCGTCTCCCCTAAAAATACAAAATTAGCCAGATGTGGTGGCACATGCCTATAATCCCGGCTACTTGGGAAGGCTGAGGCAGTAGAATCACTTGAACCTGGGAAGCAGAGGCCATTGCACTCCAGCCTGGGCAACAAGAGCGAAACTCCATCTCAAAAAAAAAAAAAAAAAAAAAAGAAACTGCTGTAGAAAATAATTAAAAAAAAACTTTTTCCCCTATTCTATTAGCGAAAGACTTTTTAGTTGTAATTTGGAGAAATGTAATTGAAAATATCTTCAACAAAGAGTGAGGAAGGCTCCTGAGGGAGCCCGGAGCGCTGAAAGAGGAGAAAAGCTATACCTTGATGGAATCGGGATTGCCAGTTTTCCTGTCTCCAGCATGAATGCTTGGGATCAGAAAGATGAGTTCAAACCCCAGCTGTTAAGCCTTAATTTCATTATCAGTAAAGATACATTTAATAGTTCAGGGTTGTATTAAATAAGGCGATTTAAGGAGATACATTTAAGAGTAGCTCAAATTTCCTAATTCCATTACACTGGACATAAAAGGTTTTTTTCCTAATTACTGACGTTCATATAAGCACCTTTAATCCAAATAATTCAGGATACTAGAGTACTGAGTAGAAATCTTAATGTGTAAGAGCAAACTAAATGAAACAGCTAAAACAGACAAAACACTTTTTTAAAATCCCTAAGTCAAATTAATTAGTTACATCCTGAGAACAACCTAGTTCAGCATTTGCCTTGGCAAAGAAGTTATGAGTCCTCATCCATCCTGTACCAGTGCAATTCAATAGCTATTAAGTGAGCCAAGTTACAGAAGACATAATTTCTCCCTATGAAGTGGTACAGTCTAAGAGGGAGACAAGATAATATTAAAATGCAATGTGAGCTGGGTGTGGTGGCTCACACCTATAATCCTAGCACTTTGGGAGGCCAAGGTGGGAGGACAGCTTGAGCTCAGGAGTTTGAGACTAGACTGGGCAGCATATGAGTGAGACCTCATATCTACAAAAAAAATTTTTAAATTAGGCTTGGAGACACACATCTGTAGTTCCTGCTACTTGGGGGGCTGAGGCAGGAGGATCACTTGAGCATAGTAGGTCAAGGCTGCACTGAGCTGTGTTCACACCATTGCATTCCAGCCTGGGCAACAGAACAAGACCTTGGCTTAAACAAACAAACAAACCACAAATTGCAATGTGATTTTTTATGCATACAAGAATGTATTAAGCACTATGGAAACACAGATGAGGAAGCAGTTAAATTGGTGTAAGAGGAAGTTAAGAAGTGTTAAGGAGAGTTACCAAGGAAAGGTGATATTTAAGCCAGGCCTAAAAGGAGTGGGCAATCACCAGACAGAAGACAGGAGAGAAAAGGACATTTTAGGTAAAGGGAACAATAAATATACACTCAATGCCTAGAGACACTTAGGAAGAGACAGAGAATCTAAACCATCACAAATAATGCTCCAAAGAAAGGGCTCTTCTGAGAAAAAAGGCTGATTTTCTGGAATCCATGTGAGAGAAACCAACCTGCCATCTTTTGTTGGTAAAATAATTTAAAAATACAAGAATGATAATGAAAATTAGCTTTATTTATGTAATTTAGAAAAAATGATTGTAGTGTTAGAGTTTGTCAAATGTTTTCACTCTGAACAATTTACAATAGTATTTATATACAAACATAATAAAATAGGTACATCACATTGTTCTTGCTTCAAAATGTCTTCTCAATTCTGACATGCTTCTATCACTTCGGTTTGTAATTTTTAAGAGGGAAATGCTCTGTTTTGACACAGTGCTTGATTCACACAGTATAACACTGAAGTAGAAGGAGAATCAACAATCATGAACACAGTTAAAAAATATTTTTCAACCAATATGACTTTATCATTAATCTTTTTTCTATAATAAAATGTTTCCTGTTAAAAAAAATACTTGTATTCACCTGATGACCTAAATTTGTTGTACTAAATTTGGCATTTATATAAACCCATAGTTGATCTAAATACAATGTAGATATGAACCTAGGTTAAAACTCATTGATACAAATGTTTGCCACAAATGAAAATGAACAAAATTGGTAAGAACAGAGGTAAACAGAAAAATCCATTTGAAAAATAGTGGAAATGGCTTATTCTATTTAAAATGAGTAAGACTCAATTTCTGAACCCAATATAAACTAAACCAAAAGATGGTGGAAAACCATGATATAGACACCAAATCTTATGTTGCACTGTAAGGCTGTAAGTAATTTGTACTATTGTATACTGGATAATCCTAGACCAGGTTTCCTAAATAGCTCTCCAATCATTTTATCTTCTTGGAGAAATCAGAGAAAGTTTAATACAATTACTGAATAAGGCAGAATTTTTTTTTTTTTTTTTTAGATGGAGTCTCACTCTGTCGCCCAGGCTGGAGTGCAGTGGCACAATCTTGGCTCACTGCAACCTCTGCCTGCCAGGTTCAAGCGATTTTCCTGCCTCGGCCTCCTGAGTAGCTGGGATTACAGGTGTGTGCCACCACACCCGGCTAATTTTTGTATTTTTAGTAGAGACGGGGTTTCACCATGTTGGTCAGGCTGGTCTCAAACTCCCGACTTCGTGATCCGCCCGCCTTGGCCTTCCAAAGTGCTGGAATTACAGGGATGAGCCACTGTGCCGGGCCAAAGCAGAATTTTAAATCAGCAATTGGGATACAATATTAGTGCAGATAATTTACACTAGAGTCATATTTATATCTGTCACAGTATTAAGTATACCACATATGTATGGACTGTTAGAAGAAATTCATTTCATTTTTAAAGCAGTGGATTGTTTAGTAAGTTTAGTTCTTTAGCACTTTCTTAAAATTCCTGGCAAGTTAGCTCCATTGTCTTTTTAAATAGAAAAACAAAACAAAACAAAACACAAACCCCACGCACACACACAAAAATGTTAAGTATGCTGTTACTTTGAAGAGTCACAGCTATTTAAGGTAAAACAATCAACTAGACCTCTAAGGGCACTTGTGTCTACAATGTCCCTTTTGTCACCAAAGGCAATGATCAAGTATTTATTATATTAAGGTGCTTACTATTCCAAAAAAAAAATCAGAGGAAACTGGTCTTTAATTGGATGCTTGAGTTTTTTCCAGGACTCTTAGTATATTTAGATGTTGGTATCTTGACTTTGACACTTTCCTGATTGCCCTTTATAGCAGCCTCAAGGCGGGCTTTTAGGGCTGGAGAAGAAGCCACTAAACTTTTAAAAACAGATGAATACTGAGGTCCAATTTGCATGAGATTTTGTAGAGCAAAGTCATGTAAATTTCTCATTATGGAAGTTGCTGATCCCAGAGAATTTTCATCCAAAAGGAAGGAAATGAGGATGGGCAAAAGACAGGCCACCAGCTGAGCGCCTAGAAAGTAAACAAATAATATAAGTTCAGTGACATAAATGTTTCTAACAAAAGCCTGCAAATGCACTTGATCTGTATACATTTTTCCCCACTAAAGAAAACAATTCGTCCAATCTCTTCTAAATTAATACTAAATAATATCAATACTTGGGATTAACATAACACCTTTCAATGAATGTGAAATACAGATATAATGTGACTGATTGTTTTGCAATTTAAATAACAGTAAAATTCTGATTTTTGTTGAGACTGAGTATGAATTTAGTGCTGACACTTACGATGGTGTTCTTCAGCAACAGTAACCAGTGTTTCTAAGACCTTTATGCCTTCTTGGAAGATCTCAAGCTCAGCAGTGTTTTCAGGTTTTCTCTTGTCTATTTCCTGCAGTTTTTCCATGATACAGGATGCTAAAGAGTAAATGTATGGGTAGGAAACAGCTGGATTTGGATACTGAAAGATGGAATGTAGGAGCTGGTAGGTCTTGATTTGTACCTAATAAGGTAAGAGAAAAGAATAGCAAATACTATAAATAAATTTTTAAAAAGTCCCTGAGGACTCTTTGCTTTTTAAAGTAGTGAAGGTATTTAAATTTATTTCTAATTTGTGTTTAATTTTGAAAGTCCAAGGGCCAACAGGTAATCAAACATCTATGCTAACAGTGGTTGTGACAGTTTGGAATGGGAAAGAGGCATATAGGTAAACAGGGAAGCAAAGCTGAGTGTTAATTTTTCTTCTTTTCTCTAATTCCCATTTTCCCCCTCATGTCTTTCTCTATAATGTAAAAAACAAAAACACCACCAAAACCCCTCCTGTAACATTTTTTTTTTTTTTTGAGTGCCCAGGCTGGAGTGCAGTGGTGTGATCTCAGCTCACTGCAACCTCTGCCTCCTGTGTTCAAGTGATTCTCCTGTTTCAACCTCCCGAGTCGCTGGGACTACAGGCGTGCACCTCCACACCCAGCTAATTTTTTGTATTTTTAGTAGAGACGGGGTTTCACCTCGTTGGTCAGGCTGGTCTCGAACTCCTGACCTCAAGTGATCCACCTGCCTTGGCCTCCCGAAGTGCTGGGATTACAGACATGAGCCACCGTGCCCAACCTCCTAACATTTTTATGGGTAGAAAGCAAAACAAAACAAAACAAAAAAACACCCAAAACAAAACACATACAACCTTGAAAGATATTTTGTTGATTTCAGAAAATGTTTTAGACAAAAATGATGTATTTGATGTTCAAATGTCATGGTCTGAGTGTTTCAAGGAACGTCTGGACCATACTAATGTGTCATCAGGCATCAGAGTCCCGACTTGGAGACTGCTATACAAAGCTGCTGCAGGCAGCAGGCAACAGGACAGACGATAAAAGGAAATGACTATACATCAAAGATATAAATAAACTTTTATTGAGTTAACTGTAATGGTATTTTAATAATTATTTTTTCTGAGAGAAAATCTGGTTCCTGTATCTTCAGGAGTAGATATATGTGTGATCATTGGCTATGAACTCACCTAGAGGCACATAAAAAATAGGACATTACTCAAGCAAATGAAGGGGACATAAAAGAATGGGATAAATTTGTGTGTATTGCTTTTGGAATGGGTCCTGTTATTTCACATTCATATTACTGAAGGTATGTGCTGGAGTCTTTTTTTTGAGACAGCGTCTGGCTCTGTCATCCAGGCTGCGGTGCAGTGGCATGATCGTGGCTCACTGCAGCCTCAAGGTCCCAGGCTCGAGTGATCCTCCTGCCTCAGTCCCCCAGAGCAGCTGGGACTACAGGCCTGCTCCCCCACACCAGGTTAATTTTTGTATTTTTTGTAGGGATGCATTCTCACCATGCTGCAAGGCTGCTCTCGGACTCCTGGCCTCAAGCAATCTGCCCACCGCGTCCTCCCAAAGTGCTGGATGGAATTACAGGTATGAGCCACAGTGCCTGGCCTCCCTTTCTTTTTTTTTTTTTTTTTTTTTTTTAAATAAAATCCACTATAATATGCTACAAAGTATCTTATAAAAGTCCCTTATAAAGTTCCAGTGCTACATCAATCTTAAGATTCCTCCACTTCAAATTCAGTTTCTTAACATTTCCTCTTCTGCCACTATGCTCTACCCTTAGGGCTGAAGAACAAGACTACTGTTATTTGGCTTTGTCACTCCTGAAATAGAAATTAATCTTAAATCTAAAAATAAAAAAATTGTAGTCTAATACTTCCTATTGGAGCCAACAAAATCACACAGAAAATTTTCTAAAGGCCTAGCCATTGTCCTATTACATACATCTTTCTGCTAAAAGACACTTACCACAGGATCTTTTATCTCAAGAGTAGCTTTAAATTTATCAATACAGCGCTTCTGAAGGCATGGGATGGTAGTTACTTCTGGACTGGTAGACAAAATAAACACTGTGATAGCAGTAAGTAGACTGACTTCATCAAGTTCTTGGTGTGTTTCATCAACTAAAGAGAAATGCTCTATTAGAAACAGTTCATATTTACTGCTTTATATACCTGTGTGAAGCTGTCTTCAGTTTGGTAGTAACAGTTTGGTGTACACAACAGATACACACAATGAACGCTGACTAAGAACCCTGGCAAAGGTACATTTTAAGATGTGCATTATAAGTAATTCTAGAGCTAAGAACTACCAAAGTAATTATAATCTTTAAAGGTTAAGACATCAGTAAATAAATACATACATTTACTAGGAATACATATTTATTAGTTGTGTGACTTTGGACATCTAACTCCATCTTCAGTATTCTCATCTGTAAAATGGGAATAACAGCAGTACTCACATTGATAGGGTTGTGAAGATTAAATGAGTTAATCCATGTGAAGCATTTAGAATAGTATGCTACACATGACGCTCAGTATATGCTACTTATCATGTTAATTATTTTTACTGTGAAGCAACACAGAAATGCTTGCACAATTGTTTTCTCTTTGTTAAAGTATTTTTATAATACATGTATCAAGTGAAAATACGTTAGCACTTTACAAATATGATTTCTCAAGAGTAGAGAAAAACCTGAAAACAGCTGTGTAGGCCACAATCATTTGAAGGAATTTTCTATTAGAAGTAATCTACCTTTATTTTCTAGTCATACTCTCATTAAATAATTTTAATGAAACTGCTGTGGAAAAAAAATCACTGTTATTCAAAAAAGAAAGATGTAGCAAATTCAAATATTTAAATTGTTTAAGAATGGGTTGATACTTATGAAGAAATGACATATGTAGTAGTTTTGGTCACATTCATTCAACAAGACTTAAGAAACACTGTGTGCCAGCCCTCTTTTAGGCACAGAGAATACATCTTATAGAGAAGATACACTATAAGCTGAGAAGCAAAGACTTTCAACTAGTGATAAGGTCTAAGCATATAAAAATATATTAAAAAGCTGGCTGGGTGCGGTGGCCTGTAATCCCAGTACTTTGGGAGGCTGAGGCAGGCGGATCACTTGAGGTCAGGGGTTCGAGACCAGCCTGGCCAACATGGTGAAGCCCGGTCTCTACTAAAAATACAAAAATTGTCCAGATGTGGTGGTGCATGACTGTAATCCCAGCTACTCGGGAAGCTGAGGCAGGAGAATCACTTGACATCAGGAGGCGGAGGTTGCAGTGAGCCAAGATTACGCCACTGCACTCCAGCCTGGGCTGCACAGGGAGACTCCGTCTCAATAAAAACAAAACAAAACAAAACAAAACAAACATCACACCAGGAGCAGTGGTGTGTGTCTATAGTCCCAGCTACTTGAGACACTGAGGTGGGAGGACTGGTTGAGTCCAGGAGTTCAAGGCTGCAGTGCACAATGATCGTGCCTGTGAATAGACACTGCACTCCAGCCTGGGTAACACAGCAAGTCCCTGTCTCTTTAAACAAACAAACAAACAAACAAACAACATTCAAAGTAGCTCAGGACAGCCTATCCTGGGTGATCAGAGAAAGCCTTGAGGAGATAATACCTGAGCTGACTATACTCAAGAGGCACAGTAGCAGTGAAAGCAAAATTTTATGGATGAATAGGATTTATTTTATAAAAGACATCTGAGTGATTTTAAGGTAAAATAAGTACACAGTTAATATTTAAAGTTAACATGTAGCACTGTTATAAGCACTTTATATACATTAAATATTTAATCAACATAACAGCATCATGAGGTAGGTACTCTTATTATCTCTCATTTTATGGACAAGAAACACAAATTCAGTCATTTGTCCAAGTCACACAATTAGTAAGGCAGAAAGCTTGATTACAGAGAGTGTACTGTTAACTATAATGCTATACTGCTTCCCTTACAGCAAAGTTATTTTTAACCACCTATAGCAACTTGAAACTGCAACAGAGTCAGCTAATTTGTTTAGTAAAAATGTCTTTATTCTCAGCAAGATAAAGTTCTCCTGGGTTCCTTTTACCATTTCTTCTAAAATATCTTTATTCCTACTCTCTTTTACCTAGGATAGATGCACAATTCACTTAGCTAGCCATATGAATGAGTCATCTTGGAAATGAATCCTCTAGCTGCAGCCCTGGCCAACACCTTAACAGTAATTTCATGAGAGAACCTAAGCTAGAACCACATAGCTAAACTGCTCCTAATCCTGGACCCATAGAAACTGTCAGATAATATAATATGTGTTTGCTCTTTTAAGCCACTAAGTTTTGAGGCAATTTTTTGGGCAGGAAACATTTAACCTGTCATGACCAACTCCTTAATTTCTCTTAGTAGCTAGTCTAAATCCTGTCCTAGCCTAATTCCCTGATACACATCCAAAAACAACAACAACAAAACACAACCCATTTTTTTGTGTGTGAGATGAAAGAAGCAAGCTCATCATAAACCTCAACATGAATTATTATTATTATTTGTAGAGACAGTATCTTGTTATGTTGCCCACACTGGTCTTGAACTCCTGGCCTCAAGCGGTCCTCTTGCCAAGGCCTCCCAAAGTGCTGGGATTACAGGAGTGAGCCACACTGGCCAGCCCTCAACATAAAAACTTGTAGCTATAATATTATTTTCCATCCTTACCTGCTGTTCTTTCCTCATATTGGCAGAGGTCAATCCTGTTAAATGTGCTGTAAATTTTATTCCTTCTGCCTAGACAGGGACGCTGCTTTCCTTTCTAATACTTCTATCTCCAACCCCATGTCCACCTCCTTTTTTTCCCCCGTTAAGTATGAACTCATGCTTGAATGTCACCTTAAAAAAAAGTTATCCCTTGACCTTACACTTTCCATTTAGCTATTTCTCTTCTTCCTGTGAAGAGAAGCCTATACTTGATCTTTCCCATGCCTTACACCTCTCATTTGTGCCTCACCACTGTGAGCTCTATCCCCCACACTGTTTGGCCTCTCTACAGTATTTTATAGTGCTGACCACTCCCTCTTTATTAAAAACTGGCTTATGTAATTACGTTATCTTCTGAATCTCCTCTAACCTTGATTTTGGTCCTCTTCTTGCTCCAGAAACTCAAGCTGGGTGATTTCAATTGTCCCATAGGTTACACTGACAGCTCCCAAATACACACATAGTCCAGAAAGTATCTCTAGCCCAGACTACTTTTGAAATAACCCTCACTTGGTTATTTCTGTTAATCACATTCGAGTGTTCAAGTCATCCTACGCTTTCAACTCCTAAATCAAACTATCAGTAAGTTCTGTTGAAAACTGCTTAACATTTTACTTTTCATCATTTTAATCCTTTTTGTCCATACTATTATTATCTTATCTCCCACAGTTTGGCTTTCTTCTTTACACTGCTGCCAAGAGCGAACCTTTAGAAACGCAAATCCAAGCATATTACTTTCCTTTTTAAAACCCTTTCGTGGCCAGACACAGTGGCTCATGCCTGTAATCCCAGCACTTTGGGAGGCCAAGGTGGGCGGATCATCTGAGGTCAGGAGTTCGAGACCAGCCTGACCAACATGGAGAAACCCCATCTCTACTAAAAATACAAAAAAAATTAGCCAGGCGTGGTGGCACATGCCTGTAATCCCAGCTACTTGGGAGGCTGAGGCAGGAGAATTGCTTGAACCTGGGAGGCAGAGGTTGTGGTGAGCCAAGATCGCGCCATTGCACTCCAGCCTGGGCAACAAGAGCAAAACTCCGTCTCAAAACAAACAAACAAAAAAACCCTTTCGGCCGGGCATGATGGCTCATGTCTGTAATCCCAGCACTTTGGGAGGCTGAGGCAGGCGGATCACGAGGTCAGGAGTTCGAGACCAGCCTGACCAACATGGTGAAACCGTCTCTACTAAAAATACAAAAAAAAAAAATTAGCCAGGCCTGGTGGTGAGCACCTGTAATCCCAGATACTCAGGAGGCTGAGGCAGGAGAATCACTTGAACCTGGGAGGCAGAAGTTGCAGTGAGCCGAGATTGTACCATTGCACTCCAGCCTGGGCAACAGAGCGAGACTCCAACTCAACAACAACCACAACAAAACATTTCATTATTCCACATGCCTATTAAAGGCAGTCCAAATCATGCCAGACCCTCCATAATCTGGCCCCATGTACCATCCAACTTCATTTCTTTCCCTACTAATTGCCATTCACGACTCTTACACACTCTTCCATCCAAATCCACACCCCCTCATTGTTCTACTTGCCTTCCCTAGCTATTTAATTCTCCAAGTTTTTGGTCAAACTGTTGTACCTAGAATCCATTTCTTTTTCTTTTTTTCTTTTTTTTTTGAGACAGTCTCGCTCTGTTGCCCAGGCTGGAGTGCAGAGGTGTGATCTTGGCTCACACGGCAATCTCTACCTCCCGGGTTCAAGCGATTCCTAGAATCCATTTCTATGATGTCCATGTGGAGAAAACTTTCTAATCCTTTAAGGCGTTGACTCTTCTGAGAAGCCTCTAGTGGTGGATACAGAGATGCACCGAGAGATCCCCTTCAAGGGAGAATGTGCTGCCCAGCTGTGGGAAGTGTGATCAAGGGTCAGCTCCTTCCGGATCAGTCTCAGCTAGAGATGGCTGTCTTACCTGAGATCAAATCCTTCCTGGAGCAGTCCACATTTGAAGTCCAGGCCATTTCTGTCATATGTTAAGACACTCTGATGGGCAATCTGGCTCCAGAGCTCCTCAGACAGATTTACTGAGATTTGTTGGGAAACTGTCACAGTTTGACTTCTTTTGCCCAATATTGCCTTCCCCTCTTCCCTTCACAGATGTTGTTTCTTAATAAACTTCTTGCTCCCCAAACTCCCTCTTGGTGAGTACTTTTAGAGAATCCTACTTGTGACACTCTGCCTGATTTCACTTAAACAGTACTAATTACTCCCATTTTTTAAAAAAAACCAGTTAGAATTTTTTTTTATTGTACTAGAAATGCAGCGATAATTAAGACATTACTATTGCCTTTGGGAAATTCTTAACGTAATAATCACACCCTACGGCAATTTATAGGAGCCAGGCTCCACCAGATTCCCAACTTTGGGCAAAGTGGGTGGTCAATAAATGCTGACTGCAGTTGAAAACATTTTATATGTAAAATGAAATATGGCAAATTGTGACATTTATAAACAAAACTGGGAAGGCAGGGAAAATGCATACTGTGTCTAAAGACTTTTTATAATCACTACAACACACTAGTGAAAATAAAAACCTCATAAAAATAAGAAAAAAAGAGAAACAAGTTTTTTTGTTTGTTTGTTTTTCTGAGATGGAGTCTCGCTTTGTGCCCCAGGATGGAGTGCAGTGGCGCAACCTTGGCTCACTGCAACCTCTGCCTCCCAGGTTCAAGTGATTCTCCTGCCTCAGCCTCCTGGGTAGCTAGGATTACAGGTGTGAGCCACTGCACCCGACGAAAAACAAGTTTTAATGGATGCTGAAAATAATACTGGCTATCATTTATTGATATATGCCAGGTAATAAGTGAGATGCGTTTCACATATTAAGTTACTGCTCTAATAATTTCTTGCAACATAATATCCTTATTTATTACTCACTACAAGCTCTGCCTCCTGGGTTTAAGCAATCCTCCTGCCTCCTGCCTCTGCCTTCCGAGAACTGGGACCATAGGTGTGCACTACCACACCTGGGTAATTTTTGTATTTTCAGTAGAGATGGGGTTTCACCATGTTGGCCAGGCTGGCCTTGAACTCCTGACCTCAAGTGATCCGCCAGCTTCGGCTTCCCAAAGTGCTGGGATTGTAGACGTGAGCCACCGTGCCTGGCCCCAGAACACAGCTTTCTTTTTTTTTTTTTTTTTTTTTTTTTTTGAGACAGAGTCTCGCTCTGTTGTCCAGGCTGGAGTGCAATGGCGTGATCTTGGCTCCCTGAAACCTCCACCTCCAGGGTTCAAGCAATTCTCCTGTCTCAGTGGAGTAGCTGAGACAGCATTGGGTAGCTGGGATTATAGGTATGTGCCACCAGAATCGGCTGATTTTTGTATTTTTAGTAGAGATGGGGTTTCACCATGTTGCCCAGCTGGTCCTGAACTCCTGACCTCAGGTGATCCACCTGACTTGGCCTCCCAAAGTGCTGGGCTTACAGGTGTGAGCCACTGCACCCGGCCAATTTTCTATCTACTTATACATATCCTCTAAACACATAGTATTGAATATGGTCTCCTCTAGGTGATATGGCCAAATATGATCAAGTAAAATATCTTATCCTCAAAAAACTCTTCTTCTCACTTTTTAAGACAAACTGAACTGCTTCCAAATAGCCTCAATTACCTGGATCCCAACAGTCAAGAATTGTTGTTAAGGCACTTCGGAGAAGGTCAGTCCAAGCAGTACGGCTCTTTTCTGCCCGGGCCATGGGAGAAGATAATATTCCTTTTAGAGCCTGTAGGGAAGCTGCAACTGTCGAAGATAACTGGCCCCCAGGTAACTTCACAGCAGTCTCTCTGAGGACCCCGATTGTGAGGTACAATATAGTAGGGAGAATTGAGATGCTTCCTGTAAGATACATTTTTTAAAAACACACTGGATTTCAACCTATATATATGGTTTCTAAAAAGAAATCATCAAGGAGTAAGACAATGTCAGATTTTCAGTTTTTAAAAGATGATTTCTAATAAAGAATTATAACTGTTAAGATAATGTAAGTAGCTTTATTAAAATTTTTATGGATGGATTAAATCTTGATGGTTATAACTGGAGATTACGTTTAAATAAATTGTGTGAGTATCATTATGCTTATGCTGTTTTTGTTTTCTTTGGCAGTCGATAAATGAATTTATTTTTATTTATCTTTTACTGTGGTAAAATATATACAACATAAAGTTTACCATTTTAACCATTTTTAGTGTACAGTCCAGTGGCATTAAGTACATTCACAATGTTGCCTGGGCAACACAGTGAGACTTCATCTTTACAAAAAAAAAAAAAAAAAAAAAAAAAATGGCTGGGATGGTGGTGTGCGCCTGTGGTCCCAGCTACTCAGGAGGCTGAGGTGGGAGGACTGCTTGAGCCCAGGGGGTTGAGGCTGCAGTGAGCTGAGATTCTACCACTGAACTCCAGCCTGGGCACAGAGTGAGACCCTGTCTAAAAAAAAAACCAACCAACTAACAAAAAAATAACACCTTTAGTGGCTGAGTGCAGTGGCTCATGCCTGTAATCCCAGCACTTTGGGAGGCCAAGGCGGGTAGATCATGAGGTCAGGAGTTCGAGACCAGCCTGGCCAATATGGTGAAATCCTGTCTCTACTAAAAATACAAAAATTAGCCGGGTGTGGTGGCACGCGCCTGTAGTCCCAGATACTCGGGAGGCTGAGGCAGAAGAACTGCTTGAACCCGGGAGGCAGAGGTTGCAGTGAGCTGAGATCGCGCCACTGCACTGCAGCCTGGGTGACACAGTAAGACTCCATTTCAAAAAACAAACAAACAAAAAACAAAAAAACACCTTTAGCAGAAATATGTTTACCAATTAAGAAGCATCTACTAGGTACTAAATACCTATAATCTGCTAGATTTCACAGAATATACAAGATTTAATTGGAAACAAGACATTTCTCTTTTATATGTAATAATCAATTACACATAATGCCTCTGTAGGACAGATACAAGCTACAGACCTACATATGGAAATAACACATGCATATACACGAAAAAACAAAACTCAGATGAGCTAGAGTTTTTAGGGAAGCCTTTATACATGAGGTAGGCCTGCAGTTGAACCATGAAGAAAAATTTTAAAAAGCAGATAAGGGTCATTTCAGATCAAGTAACGACACGATAGCACAGAACAAGGATGAACATGAAGCCTCTTGGGTTTAGGATTTGCAAAGAAGGAACTGAAAAAAGGTAACGATTAGCAGAGCTACACAGAGAACCTTAAATGCTATGTTAAAGAGTATGGACTTGCTGGGCATGGTGGCTCACACCTGTAGTCCCAGCACTTCGGGATGTCAAGGAAGGAGGATCACTTGAGGCCAGGAGTTCAAGACCAGCCTGGCAACACAGCAAGACCCCATCTCTACAAAAAATTAAAAAAAAAAATTAGCCAGGTATGGTGGCACAGGCCTGAGTCCTAACTACTCAGGAGGCCAAGACAGGAGGATTGCTTAAGCCCAGGAGTTTGACATTATAGTGAACTATGACTGTTCCACTGCACTCCGGCCTAGGTGACAGAGAAAGTACCTGTGTCAAACAAAAACAACAACAAAAAAGAGTATGGAGTCAATTCCAAACAGAACCAGATACAATGACAAACTTGTGCCATCACTGAGGCAGGAAAAGTCTGTTAGAAATTGTATACCAAAACATGCCCAAGCACTAATAATTGCCACTGACTGGTCAGAAGTACTGTCAATCATAGAAGAGCATATCTATAATACTTGCTATCTCTATATTTTCACTCTCTCTTTTTTTTTTAGACATAATTTCACTCTTGTTGCCCAGGCTGGAGTGCAATGGCGTGATCCTGGCTCACTGCAACCTCCGCCTCCCGGGTTCAAGCGATTCTCCTGCCTTAGCCTCTTGAGTAGCTGGGATTACAGGCATGTGCCACCATGCCTGGCTAATTTTGTATTTTTAGTAGAGATGGGGTTTCACCATGTTGGTCAGGCTGGTCTCGAACTCCTGACCTCAGGTGATCCACCCACCTTGGCCTTCCAAAGTGCTGGGATTACAGGCGTGAGCCATTGCGCCTAGCCCTCTATATTTTTACTTTTAGTAAAACAATTTATTAAAATGTAATCCTAATCTTAGAGGATTAAAGACAATACCCAAATGTTTGGGTCAGCATTCATTTAAAAAGAAAAAGATTAGCAACTAGACTCCATTATCTATTAAAACCATTTCTCTTCTAGGTCAAGTCAAGCAATCACATACCACAGCATACCTTCAGGAGAGCACACTGCAGGAAGTTCGGAAAGGATAACCAATGCAGCTGAAACCAATCTACTTCCATCTTCTAATAGTATCTGTGGCTTCGTAGCTTTTACTCCTGGGCTACCTGTCAATTTAGGGTTTAATTCTGGGAGCTGTCTAACTAGAATGCATACACACAATTCCAGTGTTGCAAAGACCAAAGACTTTCCAGGCACAAGTCCTCCGGTGTCCTTTCCCTCTCCAAACTCTGGCAGAGTTTCCTTTTCAGCAGCCCCATCATCAACTAAAAGAAAGAATAGTGTTTAATACTTTGTGCTTGCTCTGCTTCTGGTAGATGGCAATTTAGTTAAATCCTGTTACAGGAAATACATGTATTTTATTTTTTTGAGACAGAGTCTCGCTCTGTCACACAGGCTGGAGTGCAATGGCATGATCTCGGCTCACTGCAACCTCTGCCTTCCAGTTTCAAGCGATTCTTCTGCCTCAGCCTCCCAAGTAGCTGGGATTATAGGCATGCACCATCATGCCCAGCTAATTTTTGTATTTTTAGTAGAGATGAGGTTTCACCATGTTGGTCAGGCTGGTCTCGAACTCCTGACCTCAAGCTATCCGCCTGCCCCGGCCTCCCAAAGTGCCAGGATTACAGGTATGAGCCACTGCGCCCGGCCAGGAAATACATTTAATGACTAAATTTTGGGTGTTAAAGACTGAGGGAGAAAGAAGTTATGAAGGTAAAAGTAATCATCTTTATTATGACTTCCTATTGCAATTGCTCAAAAGAAGTCTTTTTAATCCTGTCAGCCTTACAATATTGCCTGGTTAACTCCTTCTTGCTGTTAAGACTGTAAACCTGATAGCTAGAGCTCCAGAAATTACCATGTGACCTTACGTATCGATGGTGGCTGGACAGAAAGACAGAAAGTCACATCCTTAATGTCTTTAAGAAGGTGCCATGTCAGCCCTAGACTGCCTATCTCTGGCCATCTATTTAGATGAGCAAATAAATCTTTGGGGTTTAAATCCACTGTTATATTGGGTTTTCTATAATATGTAGCCAACTATAATCTTAAGTGGTAAACTCTCCAATACCATATTAGACTTGTAAATGAGCAATCTGCAAACATAAGTTCTTTCCATGCACGTTGGTAAACACAGCTAAAGCAAGTATTCTAGTAGCGTAAGGGATTTATTTCTTCCAGGTTTTGTTAAAATTCTCATTTCACCCAGAGAATAGTAATTTAACTACTGACAATATCTAAACTAACATGTAGAGGTGAATGAGAAGATTTAAAACCATGCCAGGCTAGGCATGATGGCTCATGCCTGTAATCCCAGCACTCTGGGAGGCTGAGGTGGGTGGATTGCCTGAGTCCAGGAGTTCGAGAGACCAGGCTGGGCAACATGGCCACATCCCGTCTCTAATAAAAAATACGAAAAAATTAGCCAGGCATGGTGGCATGTGCCTGATGCCCTAGCTACTCAGGAGGCTAAGGTGGGAGAATCACCTGAGCCTGGGAGGTTGAGGCTGCAGTGAGGCGAGATCGTGCCAATGCACTCCAGCTTGGGCAACTGGAGTGAGACCTTGTCTCACTAAATAAATAAATAAATAAATAAAGCCATGCCTAAAGACTCTACTTTCAGGGATCATTTCTATAGTTCATTACTAGGGAAGTTTCTCTCAATGTGTAGAGCACAAAAAGTAAAATAAGGCCATGCCTAGACATGTTTTATTTGTACCACACACAAAAGATTATCAAAACTATATAGATACATTAAATAATACTTTACAAAAGAATGATGCTATTTGATCAACTCGGCATTAAAGGTTAACATTTACCTTCTGCACTTCGTCTTTTTTCCTTCACATGTTCTTGAGCAGCACAGATAATCTGCCTTACCACTTCAAGTGAAGCCAACTGAATGGAAGGTGATTCTCTGGTTAAAATTACTCGATGTAGAACATTCAGCAATTCTATACCCAAGTCCTATCATGGAAATCATGTACAGGACACTGTATTAGAAATTATACATTTCTTTTGTAAAAAATACCAATGCTAAATGCCATGACAAAATTCAGAAAAACAGAATGTAACAAATTGCTTTAGTGCAATAAAGTTAAGTAACGCTCCATTTTAAATCAACTCCAGAGGCCGGGCACAGTGGCTCATGCCTGCAATCCCAGCACTTTGGGAGGCTGAGGTGAGTGGATTACTTGAGGCCAGGAGTTCGAGATCAAGCCTGGCCAACATGGTGAAACCCTGTCTCAATCTGATTAATGCTTTAAACCTAATAAAAGTTAGTATTAAACACTTAAATAATAGACAGTCTTTGCAGAGGAAATTATACTACTCACTTATCTTAACATCCAAGAGTCAATAACAAAAGTAATCTACTTGATAAAACTTGATATCAAAAGTATCTGCCCAATGCATACTTGCCCTTGAGAAAAGCACTCAAAGAGAAGTACCATACTTTGTACAGGAACCCTTTTCCCATGGCCACACCCAAGTCAGATATTAGTACCTGACTCCACCTGTAGGCTAGCCAGCAATCTCTTAAAAAGACCTGGGGGGAGAACTTAGCCAACAGGAATACTTTGTAATGGACTGTAACTACATGAACCCATTAGATTCTCTCTTGGGGAATGGAATATAAGATACAGGTATATACACAAAAAGCAGGGTATGCAGAAGCAAAAAGAGACAAAGAATAAATGCCACATGTAATTAGTGGCTACTGTCCTGGACAATGCAATATAGAACCCTCCCATCATTGCAGAAAGAAGCAGAGACAGAAAAGCGGCAGAGTAAGAGGCATGATTGTTTTTGGGTCAACACATATGCTTATGGCATTCTGGTTCCAAGGCCTAGCTGTGAGGCTGTATGGTTTAGAAAAAAAATTTCTGTGTGTTTACTTTCTGTTAACTATAGAAACCTGAACATGTTTCTCTTCCTTAAAGACTACAGAAGCCTTACAAAAAAAACCCCAGATAAATCACCTGATCACTGCCAATTTTTGATCTGGGCCAAGGTACATCTAGAAGTGCTTGCAATGCATGTAAACAAGCAGTTATGCTTTCCATGGTTGCATCTGAACGTAAGGAACATAGAAATTCCACGCTGATTCCTGTGGAAAGCAAAAAAAGAGGAGGAGGCTTCTTTCAAATTATTAGTTTATGAAATTAAGTAATTAATCTTATATTTTGGTAAGATATATAAACAAACAGTAAAAAGGTAATACAAATAAATCACAATGAATTTAAGACTAAACAATTAAATGACAAGTCACTTAATAGTCTGTTTCTATCTACATGTACAAAAAAAATAATCTATGCCGGGCATGGTGGCTCACACCTGTAATCCCAGCACTTTGGGAGGCCAAGGTGGGCGGATCATCTGAGGTCAGGAGTTTGAGACCAGCCTGACCAACATGGAGAAACCCCGTCTCGACTAAAAATACAAAATTAGCTGGGCATGGTGGCGCATGCCTGTAATCCTAGCTACTCAGGAGGCTGAGGCAGGTGAATTGTTTGAACCCAGGAGGCAGAGGTTGCGGTGAGCCGAGATCGCTCCATTGCACTCCAGCCTGGGCAACAAGAGCAAAACTCTGTCTAAAAAAAAAAAAAAAAAAAATCTAAACTAGGCTTGTGCACTAGTTGCTTAGTTGCTATGAAACAGTTCAAAGCTGCAAAAATTACAATAAAATTGCACCGGAAAACATATGGAGTTTCATAACTTTACTTTGGCTAAAATTTACTGGGTGATTACCAAGTATCACTGTGCTTTGACATACATCTTTTTATTAAATTCTCGTAATAGTTGACAAAGTAGGCACTATTATTGACACTAATTCTGACATAAATGAGCAGAGAGCTTAAGTAATTTATTTATATTTTTATTTTCAGTTGACAATAATTGTGAGCTTGAGTTGAAATCGTGCCACTGTACTCCAGCCTGGGTGAAAGAGCAAAACTCCATCTCAAAAAAAAAAAAACAAAAAACCCCTAAGGTTGTAAACTTGTAAAAGTGGTTTAACTGACCTAAAATAAGATGGAATCTATCAGTGTAGACATCCTCAGGGGACTTTATGGTAGCCCCAGATGATGAACCCTGACACATGGAAGTTGGTGTTACAGGCCTGGAGAGATTAGATGCTCCTTCATCTGGGTCAGCAACAACAAAACCCGTGCTTGTAAGCCACAATGCTGTAGCATGGAGGATAAGTGCCCAGGAGTTGTAATAATGCAATTTTGCATTTTCACTAGTCTCTGCTGTGTAGAAAGCACCACCTAAAGCAAACAGTTTCAGGAAAAATAAGAGATTAACTTCCAATATATTTTCTCTTTTTTCTGTTACAAGATATAGACCATTTCCATCACTCCGAAAGTTCCCTTGTACCCTTTTTCAGTCAGTTCCCTATACCCTAAGGCAACTACTTTCTAGTTTTTATCAGCACAGATTAGTTCTGCCTATTCTTGAACTTCATATAAATAGAATCACATATACATATGTACTTATTTGTGACTAATATATTGTTAACAAAATAACCTAACAACATTTTTAGAGATTCATTCATGCTGCTGTGTTATCAGTATTTTGTTATCAATGTTCTTATTTTTACTGGGAGTACAACTGATAGGTCATAGGGCTGATCTACTTTTAACTTCATAAAAAGTTTTCAGCCTAATTAGTAACTTTTTATAATTTAATCATAAACATTTTAAAACAAAATATGTGTATATGTGTGATTAAAATAAATACCAATACCCATTTACCGACTTCCAAGATGAACATTAACATTTTCCCTGATTTTCTTAAATCTCTCTTAATTTTTTTCTTTTTTTTTTCAGACAGTCTCACTGCAGTGGCGTGATGTCGGCTCACTGCCAACCTCTGACTTCTGGGTTCAAGCGATTCTCCCGCCTCAGCCTCCTGAGTAGCTGGGACCACAGGTGTGCACCACCACGCCCAGCTAATTTTTTGTATTTTAGTAGAGATGGGGTTTCACCATGTTGCCCAGGTTGGTCTTGAACTTCTGGGCTCAGGCAATCTGCCCACTTCAGCCTCCCAAAGTGCTGGGATTACAGGTGTGAGCCACCGCGCCTGGCCATTTTTTTGCTTAAAAAACCTAAAACTGTTAATACCACTAATTCTTGCCCCTCCTTCCATGACTACTTTCCTGAAGCCAGTAAGAATGACTCCTAGATATGGTCTTATACTTTCACAATAATGTATGTATTCATTAATAACATACGCTATTTTTTTTTGTGTTTAAACGTTTACTTAAAAGGCATCATACTGTATGTATCCTTTTTTTTCTTTGTGTAGATGGGGTTTCACTATGTTGTCCAGGTTGGCCCTGAACTCCTGAGCTCAAGTGACCCTCCCACCTCAGCCTCCTGAGTAGCTGAGACTACCAGCATGCACCACTGTGCCTGGCTTACATGCATCCTTTATTTTTTTTGGCCAGGCACAGTGGCTCATGCCTGTAATCCCAGCACTGTGGGAGGCTGAGGCAGGCAGATCACCTGAGGTCAGGAACTCGAGACCAGCCTGGCTAACATGGAGAAACCCTGTCTCTACTAAAAATACAAAAATTAGCTGGGCGTGGTAGTGCACGCCTGTAGTCCTAGCTACTTGGGAGGCTGAGGCAGGAGAATTGCTTGAACCCAGGAGGTGGAGGTTGCAGTGAGCCGAGATCAAGCCACTGCCCTCCAGAATGGGCCACAGAGCAAGACTCCACCTCAAATAAATAAATAAATAAATAAGTAAATAAATAAATAATTTTTTTTCCACTTAACATTATGTTTTTAAGATTTACTTACAGTTGCTATATGTCTGTCATTCATTTTTCTGTTGTGTAAATAAATCAGTTTATTTTCATGTTGTTTCCATTTTTATGCTACTGAAAAGTACAACAAACACTCCATATATCTTTTTGTGTATAATTCCAATGAAAATTCTAATAGAACTAGGCTGGCCACCATAGTGTACACCATAGTCCCAGATGCTTAGGAGGGTGAGGTGGCAGGATCACTTGAGCCCAGCTGTAGTGCACTATGATTGCTCCTGTGAACAGTCATTGTACTCCAGCCTGGGCAACCCAGCAACACCCTGTCTCTAAAAACCAACCAACCAACCAACCAACCAACCAACCAACCAACCAACCAACCAACCAACCAAATACACACACACAAAACTAGTAGAACTTTACAGGCTCATCCTAAAATTCATATCAAAAAGTAAAAATACAATGATAGCTAAGACATTTTGGAATAACATGAAGAAGATTAAGAGCGGCTACAAAGTAACCAACCCATAAAATGCAGTACTAGTAACTGATTAAAAATAAGAACCCTATCCCTATTTCCACACACACAAAATAAATTCCAGTTTTACCAAAGTTCAAAATGTAAAAGGCAAAACTGTAAAGCTTGTATGTCTTTATGATCTTAAGTTTAAAAATGTATGCGGTAACATACAAAAACACAAACCATAAATGACTGACTGATTACATTCTTTTAATTTTTTTTTTTTAGAGAGGGACTTGCTCTGTCACCCAGGCTGGAGTACAGTGGCACGATGATAGCTGCCTGCAGCCTCCAACTCCTGGGCTCATGAGATCTTCCCACATCAGCCTTCTGAGTAGCTGGGACTATAGGTGTACTACATCACACCCAGCTTATATTAGTTTAAAAAAGGTAAAAGAAAAGGACAAGTTACAGACTGAGAGAAAATACTTACAAGACATGCAACCACAAACGAATAGTGTTGTGTATATATATATATATAAAAAAGATTAAACAATCAGGAAGAAAACAATTGTTATAAATGAATTTCTGATGCTGCAAAAGAAACAGCACTCGGATATAATTTTAATTTCCTCAGCAAGGCAATTTACTTTTGCAAAAGGGTGTCACTCGCATCAATCAAGATCGCAAGTGCACACCAAACAAAGGAGACAAGGGGGTTTTTATATCCTAATGTGATCTGTATCTCTGTGTTCTTCCCCCATGGGCTGTGGACTGCACAATCTGAGCTGACCCGAATGGCCACTTGTATATATTTTTCTAAATATGGAAGGGAGGGGGACGTGAGGTCCAGTGGTGGAGCATGTGGGACGTGCAGTTTCGGGAGGACAATGGGTACAGGTAACCAAAGGAACAGATGTGAGTTATCAATTAAAACTGACAGGGAGAGGGTAGGCTGTTTACAGTAAGTAGAGGCAAGGAGAAACAAGAAAGTTGAGTTTGAGAACAAAGGGTAAGGAAGTTAAAGGCTAAATCTTTTGAAGAGAAACTCAGAAAGATTCATTGTATCTTACAACAAAATAAATACCAAATAGCAGATGGGCAAAGATTATGACTACATTATTTATGGAAGAAACAACTTAAAGATTCTTAATCAAGGAAATAAGAAAATAAAACAATGAAATATTTCATAGCCATCAGATTGGCAAAAATTATTAAGTATGATAATACAGTGTGGAGAAATGAAAACAAGTTGCTGGTGGGTGTGTCCTTTTTTTTTTTTTTTGAGACAGAGTCTCACTCTTGTCACCTAGGCTGGAGTGCAGTGGCACGATCTCAGCTCACTGCAACTTCAGCCTCCCGGGTTCAAGCAATCCTCCTGCCTCAGCCTCCCGAGTTGCAGGGATTACAGGCACTCACCACAACACTTGGCTAACTTTTGTGTTTTTAGTAGAAATGGGGTTTCACCATGTTGGCCATGCTGGTCTCGAACTCAGGACCTCAAGTGATCTGCCTGCCTCAGCTTCCCGAACTGCTGGGATTACAGAAGTTTGAGAACAGCCTGGCAACAAGGCAAAACCCCATCTCTACAAAAGATACAAAAATTAGCTAGGCGTGGTGGTGTGTGCCTGTAGTCCTTGCTACTTGGGAGGCTGAGGTGGGAGGATCGCCTGAGCCCAGGAGGCAGAGGTTGCAGTGAGCCAAAATTGCACCATGGCACTCCAGCCTGGGAAACAAAGTAAGACCCTGTCAAAAACAAAAAAAAAGAAAAGAAAATGTGTTACTGTCACTCTAGGAATTATCTAAGTATTTTATCTCCTTACCTTCAGCAGGAAGTTGGGAGGCAAATTCTGAAGGCAAAGTTAAAAGAGCAAAATCCTGAAGTGCAGCAAGCCAGAGTCTGCTTAGTGTGCCAAGATCTGCATAGACTAAGTCAAGCAGTCCATCTGATGAACATGATCCATTTCTGATACCGTCTTCTAAACAGGTGGTAGTCTTCAAAGGTTGTCTGTGGTTTTTATGTCTTTGCACAGCAATTATGTAGACCTGTTAAAGGTTAATTTAAAAACAGGAAAATCTTTTATCTGCTGAAAAGGTGCTATAAAATTTTTATATCTTCCTGAAGAGGCAGACTTACCTTTGAGCATACTGGACTTGAAATGCACTGTGATATCAAGAAGGCCTGTCTGTGTAACTACACACAGAAAACTGGGGTAGAAAGAGTCAAAAATACTATCTTCAATGAGATGCATTAGGGATAACAAATATCTGGTAAATATGATGCCACTTCTCACATTTACAATCATAATATTATATCACGGCACTCTTTCTCACTAAGCCTGGTATGGCCTAATAATCCATCTTAACATACAGCTACAGGTAGCCATCTCTTAACTGAAATACTGAATATATTTTCATTCAAATGTATCACTAAAGCTCTATAAAAAGTGTACACAAATAGATTTAATATGGATTATAGAATGTTAAAGTAAGCAACACAGTGTATAACATGCACTATCCCTTTATCTACAACTCTAAAATCCAAAAAGCTCTGAAAAAACCTAAGTTTTTGGCAAACTAATCTGGTGGAAAACTGATGAACTTATGTGAGGCCATTTAAATCTATATACACAACACAGTATAAATATTCAAACATTAATGTGTTTGATTATAGATTCTATGGTATTGCCCCAGACTTCCCAGATATATATTGGTCAGTCATTATTTATCTTTATTGAAGAAATAATATGAGGAGGTAACAGGCTTAAGCAAAAGCACAGAGATGTAGATTCAGTCTATTTTATTTTATTTTTATTTTTTTGAGAAGAAGTCTCACCCTGTCACCCAGGCTGGAGTGCAGTGGTGCCATCTCAGCTCACTGCAACCTCCGCCTCCCAGGTTCAAGCAATTCTCCTGCCTCAGCTTCCCAAGTAGCTGGGATTACAGGTGCGCACCACCATGCCTGGCTGGTTTTTGTATTTTTAGTAGAGATGGGGTTTCACCACGTTGACCAGGCTGGTCTTGAACTCCTGACCTCAAGTGATCTGCCCGCCTCAGCCTCCCAAAGTGCTGGGATTATAGGCGTGAGCCACCGCGCTGAGGTTATTTTATTTATTTATTTTCTTTTCTTTGAGATGGAGTTTCGCTCTTGTTCCCCAAGCTGGATGGTGCGATCTTGGCTCACTGCAACCTCTGCCTCCCGGGTTCAAGCAATTCTCCTGCCTCAGCCTTCCGAGTAGCTGGGATTTACAGGCATATGCCACCACGCCTGGCTAATTTTTTTTTTATTTTTAGTAGAGACGGGGTTTCTCCATGTTGGTCAGGCTGGTCTCGAACTCCTGAACTCAGATGATCCGCCCACCTTGGCCTCCCAAAGTGCTGGGATTACAGGTGTGAGCTACCGTGCCGGCCTAATTTATTTATTTTTAAAATTTTATATAGAGATGGGGTCTCAGTATGTTGCCCAGGCTGATCTTGAACTCCTGGCCTCAAGTAATCCTCTTGCCTTGGGCTCCTAAAGTGTTGGGATTACAAGCATGAGCCACTGCACCTGGCCAGACCCAGTTTATTGAATCTAGGCACAACTACTTCCTAATGAAGGTTGTGCTAAATAATGACAAAAATAAAGATTCTACAACTTTCAGGTTTAAAATACCTCTACTGGAGGAAACCCTTTTGTACATGTTGGTTAATCTCTTAGATGAAATCTGAGATTACATACCTTCATTAAAATGGTATGTGAACTGGGCCAGGCGTGGTGGCTCATGCTTGTGATCCGAGCACTTTAAGAGGCAGAGGAGAGTGGATCACTTGAGGTCAGGAGTTCAGGACCAACCTGGCCAACACGATGAAACCCCATCTCTACTAAAAATACAAAACTTAGCTGGGCGTGGTGATGCATACCTGTAGTCCCAGCTACTTGGGAGGTTGAGACACGAGAATCACTTGAAACTGGGAGGTGGAGGCTGCAGTGAGCTGAGATTGCTCCATTTGTACCCCAGCCTCGTCAACAGAGCAAGACTCTGTCTACAAAAAAATTATATGTGAACCAAGATTGGTCATGTTTGGTAACTGCTGAAGCCAGGTGATGGGTATATGTAGATTCATTATAAATACTATTAGGTCTACTTTTGCAAATGCTTAAACATTGCATAGTAAATTAAAAAATACTATAGCTTTCTCCTTTATTAGGAAAGTAAATAAGCATCTTACTGTAAGATTTCTTTATCCTTGGAAAATAAAATAACGACTACTTACTATTCAAAAATCATTCTACGAAAGAGCATTAGAAAGCATTACATGCTACAGAGTTGATAGAAGATACAAGGAGACCCAAATTTCCAATAATTCAGGATTCAATAAATGTTGATTTCCACTGGCTACTGTAAGTCTCTCTGGCTCATAAGTAGCACTGCTTAAAGTAGGAGATAATAGACTACGGAAGACTCTTTAAAATGCTTGACTAACATATTAACATATAAATACATCACATGTTGGAATTCTTTTTGTTTAACCTTAAAAATGAACTTATTTGTAGTTCATTTTAAACAGTAAATTTCAGTTTATGGCCTAAGGTGTTTATTAACAACTTCCAAAATTCCAGTTACAAATTAAGAAATACCAACCTCTGCCCAGGCTTTAAGCACAGCTAAGATCTCCATGGTAGAAGCACTTTCATTATATAAGTGACTTAGAGCTTCTTTTCCAGCCTGTATTTTAGTTAACGATGAAACAAGCAACTGATGAACTCTTCGGAGATCATTAAGGTCACTTACAACTCCACTTGCTATCCAGGCACTGCAAACCTAGTTTTCAAGAAATTAAAAGTTATATTTTAAAATTATAAGTATCTCCCTTGGCTGGGTGTGGTGGCTCATGCCTGTAATCCCAGCACTTTGGGAGGTGACGCAGGCAGATCGCTTGAGCCCAGGAGTTTGAGACAAGCCTGGGCAACATGGCAAAACTCTGTCTAAAAGAAAATACAAAAATTAGCTGGGCATGGTAATGTGCACCTGTAGTACTAGTTACTCAGAAGGCTAAGGCAGGAGGATTGCATGAGCCCATGAGTGTGAGGCCACAGTGAGCTAGGATTGAGCCACGTATCTAGACCTCTAGATTGGGTGGCAGAGTGAGACCCCATCTCTTAAAAAACAAAAAACAAACAAAAAAAGCCCATCTCTTAAAAAAAAAAATCTCCCTTGTGAGTTCAGCAGAGCTCACTCACATTTCAAGAATCTAGTCACTGAGACTATATTGCTATTGCTTTCGAGAAATCCTATGGAAGGAGACTGATAATGATAGTCAAAAGTCAGCATTTCCAAAGGGAACGAAGTCTAAGGCTGAAGCAAGGAAATCAGTGCTAATGAGTATATAAATTAAACATTTCTAGATGTATTAATATGGAGAAATGAAGCTATGAAATAATAAAACCCCAACAAAAATTTTGATTGTTTTGAAGACAGTGTAATTTTAATCTTAAAAACAAAACATCATTAATTCTACAATGCAAAACATTTACTCAAGCTATGGTTTTTCCAGGTGCCATGATATTTCTCTCTCGTTTTTTGGGATAGGATCTTGCTCTGTAGCCCAGGCTGGAATGCAGTGGTGGCATTACAGCTCATGTAGCCTTGACCTCCACAGGGGGATCCTCCCACCTCAGCCTCCTGAGTAGACAGGGCCACAGGCACATACCACCACATCTGGCTAATTTTTTATTTTTTTATAGAGAAAGGATCTCCCCGTGTTGCCCAGGCTGGTCTCAAACTCCTGAACTCAAGTGAGCCACTTGCCTGCGCCTCCCAAAGTGTTGGGATTATAGGAATGAGCCACTGTGTCCAGCTGATATTTCTCTTTTTCTAAGGAAAACTTATTTTTCCTCTTCTGTGTATTTGTTTAGTTCTTGTCTCATCTCACAAAATATTTCAAGTGGCTTACAGCAAGAACACACATAGTAAAGTTATAATAAATTAGAGATTCATACATTTAATGTAGTTCTCTGAATAGTAAAAGCACTCAACTATTTCCCAAGTACAATTAAATAAAAGAAAGTTGAAAGAACTGACTAAAATTAGTTTTTCCCACTATGCTTATAATTAATTTATTCATGCCAGTCCTGCTTTTAATTAGTTCAGGTCATCCCGGGCTAGATTTTTTTTTTTTTTTTTTTTTTTTTTTTGAGATGGAGTCTCCCTCTATCGCCCAGGCTGGAGTGCAGTGGCATGATCTCAGCTCACTGCAGCCTCTGCCTCCCCCAGGTTCAAGTGATCCTCCCACCTCAGCCTCCTGAGTAGCTGGGACAACAGACACCTGCCACCACGCCTAGCTATTTTTAGTAGACTGGGTTTCACCATGTTGGCCAGGCTGGTCTCTAACTCCTGACCTCAAGTGATCCACCTGCCTTGGCCTCCCAAAGTGCTGGGATTACAGGCGTGAGCCACTGTACCTGGCCTAGGGCTGGATATTAAGTGTCTGACAACGCAGTCTGAGAAAAGCAACTGTTTAAAATTGTATATTGTATGGCTCTTAAGTATATGAAAAAGTGCTCAATCTCACTTGAAATACAAATCTAAACTATCCTGAGACAGACTTTTTATTGTATCGTATAGACAAAAATGTAAAAGTTTGATGACTCACAATGTTGCTGGGACTGTGGCAAAACAGGTACTTGTATAACATTGCTGGTGGAAATTTAAATGGTAAACACCTCTAATATCCATCAATTATCCATCAATTCAATTTTGGGGGAATCCATCAATTCAATTTTGGGGAATTTATCTCACAGATATGCTTACACCCAGTGAAATGACCTATGCACAAGGTCACTCATACAGCACTATTCTAATAGCAAAAGAAAAAAACCCAATGTCCGTCAATATGGAACTGGTTAAATAAATTATAACATATCTATATAGTGGATTATCATGCAGTTATCAAAAAGGAAGAGTAAGTTTAAGAAGAAAAGTGTAAGCTATGATTGACGGTAAGACAACCATAAAGAAAAAACATTGGTAAAAAAATACTAACTGGAGGACTGCTTCCCAAGATTATCTCTTAAGCTTCATCTTTTAACCATTTACCTGACATGCTTTGGCAGTGACATCAGGTGGTGTCTCTGAAGTGAAGGCTGGTCTAAGCGCTGCTCCTACCTGGCAAGAAATTACATGACATATCAAACATCAAGAAGTAAGACAGCACAAGTTCTCCCTCTTTTTAATGTTATTTTAAAATTATTTATTTATAACAGGTATTATGGACAGCTGTTGTTTTGTCTACCCAGTGTATCTTCCCCTGTTTTTAGATAACAACATCCCAATTTTACCTTCGGGGAACGATCTTCTCTCCCCCTTTATTTTTTTTTGAGACGGAGTCTCGCCCTGTCGCCCAGGCAGGCTGGAGTGCAGTGGCGCAATCTCGGCTCACTACAGCCTCCGCCTCCCAGGTTCAAGTGATTCTCCTGCCTCAGCCTCCCAAGTAGCTGGGATTACAGGTGCCTGCCACCGCAACCAGCTAATTTTGTATTTTTAGTAGAGACAGGGTTTCACTATGTTGGCCAGGCTGGTCTCCAACTCCTGACCTCAAGTGATCCAACTGCCTCCTCCCAAAGTGCTGGGATTACAGGTGTGAGCCACTGTGCCCAGCCTCTCCCCAACTCTTAATCCATATTGTTGTTTTGGAGCTGACAGCATTGCCTGGCTCCAGGGACTCATGCTGGGATAATGAAGGCTCTCAAGACTTTCACTGGGAGTACTGGGAAAGAAGCACTGTATCTTTCTGAGGCCCTGGGTGCTAAGAGAGCCATCTTGATATCACTTGGAGAGAATAAACCTGAGAATAAGTCCACTGTGGAAGAAAGCAGAGACAATTAAGAGATTCCTAATAATAATTTTCCTTTACTGCTTGAGTTCTAATTGTATTTCTAGCACTTGCGATTGTAAGAGGGCTAAAAATATAACAGAACTCCTCTTAATTAAGTTGAATTATAATATTTCATTCTAATATAATAGTTCTTTTTTTTCTTTTTTTGAGACAAAGTCTCACTCTTGTCCCCCAGGCTGGAGTGCAATGGCATGATCTCGGCTCACTGCAACCTCCACCTTCTGGGTTCAAGTGATTCTCCTGCCTCAGCCTCCGGAGTAGCTGGGATTACAGGCGTCTGTCACCACATCTGGCTAATTTTTGTATTTTTAGTAGAGATGGGGTTTCACCATGTTGGCCAGGCTGGTCTCGAACTCCTGACTTCAGGTGATCCGCCTACCTCGGCCTCCCAAAGTGCTGGGATTACAGGCATGAGCCACCGCGCCCGGCCTCTAATATGACAGTTCTACGTAACTTTAATCCCTTCATTTTGCTTTGTCCCTAAGCATATGTTGGTATTAGCTGAACGAAGTCATGAAGACTGCTAATCAACTGATGAACTGCTCTGGTCTCCCTAACTGCTAGCCATCAGAAGTTGCTTCTGAATAATAATGAGAGATCTCCTTGGATGAATGCTGCTAGAGGATTACAAGACAGCTAATGATTTTGTTATCTTCCTTGTTCTTCTTAAATTGTTCAATGGACCAGTCAAATAATCAGTTAAAAAGATTACAAAACCAGTAATAGAAACCTGAATCCTTGGGCTGGGGCTGGTGGCTCATGCCTGTAGTCCCAGCACGTTGGAGGTGGAGGCAGACAGATCACTTGAGCCCAAGAGTTTGAGACCAGCCTGCGCAACATGGTAAAACCCTGTCTTTACAAAAAAACACAAAAATTAGCCGAGCGTGGTGGCGTGTGGCTGTAGTTACAGCTACTTCAGGTTGCAGTGAGCCAAAATCATGCCACTGCACTCCAGCCTGGGCAACAGGGTAAGACCTTGTCTCAAAAACAACAACAACACAAACCCCACAGAAATCTGAATCATTTCCTAAGTCTAGAAAATAAATGAAAGAGGTTATATATATTATGAAAATTAACCTTTATTTATTTATTTATTTATTTAGAGAAACGTTGTGTTTAATGGTAAAGCTTAGCACACCCCAGCACCAGGAATGGCGCGGAGTTGCAGCTGCAGGGACAGGCAGGTGACCCTCACGGAGCCTCACATGGCGAACAGGATGAAGAAGGAGATCATCAAACAGAAGAGCCCCATGGCCTCAGACAGGGCAAAGCCCAGAATGGCATAGAAGAGGAGTTGCTGCTTGAGAGACAGCTTCCTGGCATAGACAATAATCAAGCTGCCAAACACCGCTCCAATGCCAGCCCCTGAATCAGCCACACCAACTGTGGCTGACCCAGCACCAATAAACTTGGCGGCTGTGTCAGTGTCCCGGGAGACAACACTGGTCTGGAACTCCCGTCTGGCCACCTGGAGTGGGGAGCTGCTGTAGGAAGGCTGTTTAGATGAATTCTCTGGGCTATTCAAGGAGAAGGCAGACACAGGCCTGATTAGACCCCTGGTACAACAGCAGATCAGAGCTGGAGAAATGAGTAATACCCCGGTGGTCTGCATTTTTTCAGTCTCCCAGCTTTAGCCCTTGGTCTCAGCACTCAGCTTCCCCCACCCGGAAAATCAACCTTTAAAGTTACAAAACACTTGTTTTTTTATTTTTGTTTTCTTTAACAGGGCCATTTTTTTTCCCCCTCTCTGGAGATGGAGGTCTCCCTATGATGCCCAGACTGGACTTGAACTTCTGGGCTCAAGTGATCTTCCTGCCTCAGCCTTCTAAGGAGCTGGGACTACAGGCATACTGCCCTGCCCAAAAGACATGTTTTATGTACTTTGCTTTTACTTGAAGCTTTATAAAATATTAGCTGAAAGATTTCTTCTTCAAACACATGTACTTTCTATATATGGAATATACTGGTGATACGTTAGCAGAGATACCTACTCATTTACGAGGTGATATCCCAATTCGGTTCATAGACAGATCCTCCCCCCTTTCTTCCCTCCCTCCCTTGCTCCCTTCCTTCCTCTCTTCCTTTCTCTTTCCCCCTTTCTTCTTCCTCTTTTTTAACTTTCCCATCCTCAGACAGTTTCAGACTTTTTTTTTTGAGACAGGGTCTGGATCTGTCACCTAGGCTGGAGTGCAGTGGCACAATCTCGGCTCACTGCAACCTCCGTCTCCCAGGCTCAAGTGATTCTCCCACCTCAGCCTGAGACTACCGGTGCACTCCACCATGCCAGCTAGTTTTGTATTTTTGGTAGAGATGGGGTTTCGTCATGCTGCCCGGTCTTGAACTCCTGGGCTCAAAGCTACCTACCCGCCTTGGCCTCCCGAAGTGCTGGGATTACAGGCATGAGCCACCATGCCTGGCCTCATAGACTTTTTATCTGTGTGTTTAATAATAAAATTCTCTAAAAGAAAGTGCTTACATTGGCTTGATACTGTTCCAGAATCACATGACCTGGAAACTCTGGTTCTGGAACAGTTGCAAATCGCCGAATAACAACTAACAGCATTTCAAGGCCAGAAAGACGGAGCTGGTCACTGTGATCTGTGGCAGCCATAAAAGCCATGCGAATTAAGTCAGCAAGATGCAGTACCAAAAAGTCATCTATAAGATTAAAAAACATATTGGGAGAAAAAAAGATTAGAAAATATCAAAAAAATGTGCTGGAACTAAGACTTACATTAAGTGATAATTTTTCCTCCTTTAAGTACCTCTGACTTGATATACTGTTTTTGCTGTTTGTTAAATAGAGACTTTAAAGCTGGATTTAATGTACACTGCAAATACACACAAGAAAACTGTCCCAAAGCTAGTAAGTATATCCAGCTACTCAGGGCAGAATTAGCATTTTTTAAGTGTCCTAATAGTATCTTCAATAAAATTTTGTTCAGCTTTTATGATAAAAGTACATTAGTTGGTATGGAGGAGACTTTGGGCTTTGACTAATTAAGCAGAAATTTATTTTCTTTATGTCAGGTTGAAGCTAAGACATAATGTTCCTTTAAAAAAAAGTTTTATGCGGCTCTTTCTATGAACGACAATATCTTATTTTTACATATACTGCCAAACATACAAATGGTGGGAGTATAAAAAACATTTCTAGTCGTAGAAATGATAAATGGTAATTCCTTTCATTCCTACAACACATTGTTTGGTATAACATATCTCCTGTGGAGAGATATAAGAAAATCATTTAACAGAAGAAATCACGTCTTAGTAAATGCCAACTACAACTTTAACTGAGAGCACAGGAATCAGTTAAGTATCTACAGTATGTAAATTTTGTAACTGTAAAGTATCTAGCAAAGTGCTCATCACAAGAGACTCAATAAATGCATACTTAAAAATAATTAAACCAGAGATACCTAATTCATACTCAGACTGGCAACAGCAACATTTTGCTTTGTAATTCTTTTGTCTGGTAAAGAATACTTCTAAGGAATTTAGAAATATGCACTGTGGACAGGTGTGGTGGCTAATGCCTGTAATCCCAGCACTTTGGGAGGCTGAGGTGGGAGAGTCACTTAAGCCCAGAAGTTTGAGACAGCCTGGGCAACATAATAAGATCTCACTTCTACAGAAAAATTAAAAAATTAGATGGGGATGGTGGTATATGCCTGTTGTCCCAGCTACTCGGGAGGCTGGGGTGGGAGGATTGCTTGAGCCTGGAAGGTTGAGGTTACAGTGAGCTGTGATCATGCCACTGCACTCCAGCCTGGGTGACAGAGTGAAATGCTGTCTAAAAAAAAAAAAAAAAAAACACAAATATGTATTGTGTCTTTGAACATATGAGCTTAAGTGAATTTAAAAAATCAGACATCAAACCATAAAGGCAAACATAAATAGGTAAAAATAATACAGTTAAACAGTAAGAGGTGGTCAAAATGGTCTTACAATCAGGTTTACTTAACACTGAGAAAGGCTCAAATGTTTTTTAGTTAATATCTATGATACTAAAATAATCTGTAAGCAAAAACTGGCCCAAGTTACAAACCAGGAAATAATTTTTGAGAACTAGTAAATGTTCATACTATTTCCCAAGAACCAATTATTTTCTATAAACTTAATGCATTGCACCTGCTCATTAAAGTGAATGCCAATATAAGAAGCTTAACCATTAAAAATGTATTTAAACATGAAGTGATGTGAACACGGCTCACTGCAAGCTCAAACTCCTGGGCTCAAGTGATATTCCTGCCTCAGCCTCCCCAGTAGCTGGAACTATAGGTGCATGCCACCATGCCTTGCTAATTAAAAAAATTTTTTTAATAGAGACAATGTTTCATTGTTGCCCAGGCTGGTTTCAAACTCCTGGGCTCAAGTGATCCTCCTGCCTCAGCCTCCCAAAGTGTTAGGATTACAGGTATGAGCCACTGTGTCTGGCTAGTTTCATTTTAAAAAAATATTTTAATATTTTAAATATTAAAACCATAAGCAGACAGCATTTTTACACATATCATTTGGTGTTTTCATCACTATGTCACTTACTTCTTGAATCTCTTTTTTTCATTTCTTGTGCTAAAGCAATGTCAAAATGTGCACTGTTAGCATTCTCACATTGGTTAATTATCCTACAGACACATTCAGCAGCAAAGACTCTAGTAGCCCATCGGGGATTGGTAAAAGGATGGGATTTTTCATCACGTCTGGTGGTCAGGACTGAGGCATCATCCCCTTTATCTCCTTCTTCTTCTTGCATTGTATCCACACAAGTTACAGCTGTAAAATCTTTTATTAAAGGAGAACATATGTAATTATAATCAACTGAAAGATATATATATATATATCAAAAGGAACAAAAAAATGACTTCAAATTCAGACTAGAATTGCTCAACTATCAATTGCTACTGATCAATCATCTTTTTAATAACATCAAATAATTAGGTCTAATAACTACATACAACTAAACAGCTGTCTAAAGGAGATGCTGTTAAGAACTGTTCCAGGTCAAAATGACCAAGCTGTTAAATTATACTCAAAGTAAAAAACAAACACAATAAAAAATATTTAAAAAAACAAACAAACACAATAGTAGATACTGAAATAATTATCAATCCCCTGCAAGTAGATGGATGTACTTAAGGAGACTCAAAATTCTCGGGTGTGGGTGGGATACATTGGGAAGGCTGTTTTAACACTGGAGCCTTGCATGGATTTCAGGAGGTTCCTGAATCTACTGAAATTGTCTGAAAATATTTTTCTTAGGATAGACTCATTGCTACCATTACAGTATCAAAGGTGTAATGATAGCTGGTCACTGAGTAGTGAATTATCTCCTCTACTTATTAACTGTTACACTTACAAACTGTTTAACAACTGAAAATGGAACTAATGCTATGAAACAAACCAAACTGCTTTTCTTATATTATCCCGTATGTCAATATTTTTTTGCACGTTAGAATACCAAACATGTCACAAATAAAGTTATGGTCAAGTTAACAGAGCCTGGAAGGTGTTTTCCTGAGAAGGTATGGAGCCAAACCTCAGAAGATGAAGAATTAATGGCAAGATAAAATTGAGCAAGCTCAGGGAGTATGAATGCAAAATTTAAAAAAGATAATTGAGACACCAGGAAAATGTAATCAGTCTATGCACACATGTATTTTCTTTTTTTTTTTTTTTTTGAGACAAGATCTTGCTCTGTTACACAATCATGGCTCACTGCAGCCTCGAACACCTGGGCTCAGGCGACATTTTCTTTTAAAGAAGTCCTTGCAATTTCTTGAGTAGTGGGGAACAGAAGAGAAAATTAGAAAAATAAAATATGTAAAGCGTAATAGTTGAAACAGCCAGTGTAAACCATTGGAAGAGGGACCAATAAGAATCAAGATAGTCAGAGCAGAGAATACAAAACATTCCAGGAATTTGGTGTTAACTTTTCTCCTATCACACAATTCAGACATGAGAGCTACATTAAATTCTAAGGCTTGGGCAACTGAGTTGGGAGCACTGAAGTACAGTGGAAGGCTTGTGGATTTTAAAAGTTGTGTAGGCGTAGGACTGAATCTGTCTATGTCTTCAGGCAGGTTACCTCTCCAAGCCTATTTTCTCTTCTATAAAACAGAATAAAATTGTCTATGCATAGAATGGGTTAAAGGCTTAAATCAGATAAATTATATACAGTTCTTGGAAAATAACTGGTTTTTCTCTTCTCTCTTCCTCTCATTTATTTTCTCTCTTACTCCAAGGATACAAATTTTAAAGATTTGAATATACTTTCTCATGAACAATTATCTTGTATTACTAAAGACATTAGGGTAATAACAGTTTTCTAATACTACTTGAAATTAACATTATTGTATGTAGTGAAACTGGCTTGCTCAAAATGTCATAACTTTGTATAACTTTCTCTTATGGTGACTAAGTAATTTCATACGGTGCGAGGGGTGGGGTGGGTATGTATGAACATATGTATGTATGTATGTATGTATGTATGTATGTATGTATGTAGAGACAGGGTTTCACTCTGTTGCCCAGGCTGGAGTGCAGTGGTGTGATCTTGGCTCACTGCAACCTCTGCCTCTCGGGCTCAAGCAATCCTCCCATCTTAGCTTCCCGAGCAGCTGGGACTACAGGTGTGAGCCACCAGGCCCAGCTAATTAAAAAAAAAATTTTTTTTTGTAGAGATGGTGTTTTGCCACGTTGCCCAGGCTGGTCTCAAACTCCTGGACTTGAGCAATCTGCCTGCCTCAGCCTCCCAAAGTGCTGGGATTATAGGGGTAAGCCACCACACCTGGTCTCAAATATTTGTTGTATGTATGAAAAGAAATGATGGGAACAATATACATCAAGTCACACCTTTTAGGGCATAAACAATAACTTTACTTTTTAATTTGTTTTATATAGGAAAGTCATCTAAGACAGCCAAAGGGAAAAAGAGCAGGCTTAAGTATTGGATTTATATTGTTCAAATTACAGAGAATTCTAAAACACTAGAAATACAATCTTCATTTGAAGAAAAGCAACAATCAGACAGTCAGAATCCAGCTAGTTAGACAAGACTGATGAATTCTCAGTGGTAAACAATTTTATGTAAAGTTTCAAATTTCAATTTTATTATTTTAACTGATAATGTCCAATACTTACCAGCTGATGCAGCAAGTACATCTTTACAAAGCTTTAACCACAGGGAGAGTTTTTCCACTGCCATAGATGTAAGCATATAATTTAAAGTCTCTTTGATATCATGGCATAATCTCTCATCTGTCTCCTTGTCTAGTAAGATCAACAATGCCCCCTCAAGGCCAACTTCTCTGATGTTAGCATCTGACAAGAAGAAAATCAATTATCTAAGTAATACAGAAAACAAAACTACCATATCAGAAGCTCACACATTCAGTAGTTATTCAAATAGTAGATAAAAATACATCTTAAAGAACTAGCCCAAATACTGTGCTTTAATCTACTGAGATCCATTTTAGTTCACACTTGAATTTTGGGATTTATGATCCTATATAGCAGTATTTTATGTAATGTCACTGAAAAAAAGTATTCATATGTTATTATTAATATGTTTTCTTAATCAGGTAAAAAGTTTTACCCAATTAGTGTCCAATACTTACAAAATTTTTTTTTCTTTATTCGAGACAGAATTTCACTCTTGTTGCCCAGGCTAGAGTGCAATGGCACGATCTTGGCTCACTGCAACCTCCGCCTCCCAGGTTCAAGCAATTCTCCTGCCTCAGCCTCCCTAGTAGCTAGAATTACAGGCACCCGCCACCACGCCCAGCTAATTTTTTTTTATTTTTAGTAGAGATGGGGTTTCACTACGTTGCCCAGGCTGGTCTCAAATTCCTGACCTGAGGCGATCCACCCATCTCAGCCTCCCAAAGTGCTGAGATTACAGGTGTGAGCCACTGAACCCAGCTCAATACTTACAAATTTTATTCAGTGCTTAATTTTTTTTTTTTCCTTTTGAGACAGAGTCTCACTCTGTCACCCAAGATGGAGTGAAGTGGTGCAATCTCGGCTCACTGCAACCTCTGCCTCCCGGGTTGAATTGGTTCTCCTGCCTCAGTCTCCTAAGTAGCTGGGACTACAGGTGCCTGCCACCATGTCTGGCTAATTTTTGTATTTTTAGTAGAGACGGGGTTTCACCATGTTGGTCAGGCTGGTCTTGAACTCCTGACCTCAAGTGATCCACCCACCTTAACCTCCCAAAGTGCTGGGATTATAGGCGTTGAGCCACAGTGCCCAGCCTCCAGTGGCACTTTTTTTTTTTTTTTTTTTTTTTTTGAGACCGAGTCTTGCTCTGTTGCCCAGGCTGGAGTGCAGTGGCATAATCTTGGCTCACTGCAACCTCCGCCTCCTGAGTTCAAGCAATTCTCCTGTCTCAGCCTGCTGAGTAGCTGGGACTAGAGGCGACCACCACCACGCCCTGCTAATTTTTGTATTTTTAGTAGAGACGGGTTTCAACAGTGGCCAGGCTGGTCCCGAACTCCTGACCTTAGGTGATCCACATGCCTAGGCCTCCCAAAGTGCTAGGATTATAGGCATGAGCCACCACGCCTGGCCCAGTATAATTATTTTCTAGTTTTAAAAAAACATAATTAAGTTTTCCTTATTCTGGTATAAAGCTTTAAAATATATTAACGTGAGAGTAAAGCTCAAACAGAAAACAAACACTATATGGAGAACACTGTTTAATTACTACAACTAAGCTATTGTGGACTACTGAATAAACATATATCACTATACAATATTCTCACTACAAAGTAATACCTCAAAGGGGAAATACTAGCCTTGATCTAGCATCTACTATTACCTTTAATTCTGAAAATGCCAAAAGGACAAATACATTTTCTCTTGAAGAGTTAACTCATCTAGCATTTATGAAAGCATGTAGATTTGAAAGGTTATATTATTAGTAGACTATTCTATTTATTTATTGTTTTGGAGACAGAGTCTCGCTCTGTCGCCCAGGTTGGAGTACAGTGGCACAATCTCACTGCAATCTCTGCCTCCTGAGTTCAAGCGATTCTCCTGCCTCAGCCTCTCCAGTAGCTGGGATTACAGGCATGTGCTACCATGCCCAGCTAATTTTTTTTTTTATTACCTTGTAGAGACGAGGTTTCACCATGTTGGCCAGGCTGGTCTCGAACTCCTGACCTCAGATCCACCCGCCTCAGCCTCCCAAAGTGTTGGGATTGTAGGAGTTAGCCACTGTGCCTGGCCTTTGTGGGTGTTTTGTTTTGTTGGTACTAGACTATTTTAAAAGAGAAATTATCTTTTAAATATTAGAAGGAGGTGATAGAAATGTTTCAGATTAGGGATCTAACAAGATATAATAGCTAAGGTAATGTGAGTCATGACTGGATCTTAGATTTAGGTGGCAGTGAGGGGAGAGGAATCATAAAGGACATTTTTTGGATGACTAGGGAAATGTGTGTGAGGGCTGCAAATCAATATTGATTTTCTTAGGTGTGTGATCATGTATGGGTATGTCCTTTGCATTAGTCCATTTTCATACTGCTATAAAGACATACCCAAGACTGGGTAATTTATTTAAAAAAGAGGTTTCAGTCCAGGCACAGTGGCTCACGCCCATAATCCCAGCACTTTGGGAGGCTGAGGCAGGTGGATCACCTGAGGTCAGGAGTTTGAGACTAGCCTGGCCAACATGGTGAAACCCCATCTCACTAAAAATACAAAAAATTAGCCAGGCATGGTGGCAGGTGCCTGTAATCCTAGCTACTTGGGCAGCTGAGGCAGGAGAATCGCTTGAACCCAGGAGGCGGAGCTTGCAGTAGGCCAAGGTTGCACCATTGCACTCCAGCCTGGGAGACGGAGTGAGACTCTGTCTTGAAAGAAAAGGAAAAAAAAAAAAAAGAGGTTTCATTGACTCACAGTTCCACATGATTGGGGAAGCCTCAGGAAACATACAATCATGGTGGAAGGGGAAGACGCATGTCTTACATGGCAGCAAGCAAAAGAGAGCATGTGAAGGAGGCAAAGGGGGAAGAGCCCCTTATAAAACCATCAGATCTTGTGAGAACTCACTATCACGAGAACAGCATGGGGGAAACTGTCCCCATGATCCATTTACCTCCCACCAGGTACCTCCTTCAACAACTGGGGATTCTAATTGAAAATGAGACTTGGGTGGTGACACAAAGCCAAGCCATATCATTCCACCCCTGGCCCCTCCCAAGTCTTATGTCCACATTTCAAAACCAATCATGCCTTCCCAACAGTCTCCCAAAGTCTTAATTCATTTCAGCATTAACTCAAAAGTCCATAGTCCAAAGTCTCATCTGAGACAAGGCCTATGAGCCTGTAAAATCAAAAGCAAGTTAGTTACTTCCTAGATACAATGGGGGTACAGGCATTGGGTAAATACTCTTGTCCCAAATGGGAGAAATTGGGCTGCAGTCCCCACGCAAGTCCAAAATCCAGTGGGGCAGTCATAAAATCTGAAAGCTCCGAAGTGATCTCCTTTGATTCCATGTCTCATATCCAGGGAACACTGATGCAAGAGGTGGGCTCCTACAGCCTTGGGCAGCTCCACCCTGTGGCTTTGCAGGGTATAGCCCCCTGCCCCACCTACTTTCACAGCTGGCGTTGAGTATATGTGGCTTTTTCAGGCGCACAGTGTAAGCTGTCAGTGGATCTACCACTCTGGGGTCTAGAGACCCTCTTCTTTTCTTATTTTTTTGAGATGGAGTCTCGCTCTGTCATCCAGTCTAGAGTGCAATGGCATGGTCTCGGCTCACCGCAACCTCCACCTCCTAGGTTCATGTGATTCTCCTGCCTCAGCCTCCTGAGTAGCTGGGATTACAGGCATGCACCACCATGCCTGGCTAATTTTTCTATTTTTAGTAGAGATGGGGTTTCACCATGTTGCCCAAGCTGGTCTTGAACTCCTGACCTCGTGATCCACCCGCCTTGGCCTCCCAAAGTGCTGGGATTATGGGCGTGAGCCATCATGCCCGGCCTTGACAGTGGTCCTCTTCTTACAGCTCCACTAGGCAGTGCCTCAGTGGGGACTCTGTGTGGGGGCTCTGACCCTTCATTTTCCCTTTGCACTGCCCTAGCAGAGGTTCTCCATGAGGGCTTCACCCCTGCAGCAGACTTCTGCCTGGACATCTGGGCATTTCCATGCATCCTCAGAAATCTAGGTGGAAGTTCCCAAACCTCAGTTCTTGAATTCTGTGCACCAGCAGGCCCAACACCATGTAGAAGCTGCCAAGGTTTGGGGCTTGCACTCTCTGAAGCAATGGCCTGAGCTGTACCTTGGTCCCTTTTAGCCATGGCTGGAACAGCTGGAACACAAGGCAACAATTCCCAAGGCTGCACAGAGCACGGGGACCCTGGGTCTGACCCATAAAACCATTTTTCCCTCCTAGGCCTCTGGGAGGGGCTGTTGTTGAGGTCTTTGACATGCCCTGGAGACATTTTCTTCATTGTCTTGGCAAAAAGATTAACATTCGAGGCCAGCGCCGGTAGCTCACACCTGTAATCCCAGCACTTTGGGAGGCCGAGGTGGGTGGATCACGAGGTCAAAAGATCGAGACCATCCTGGCTAACAAGTAGTGAAACCCTGTCTCTACTAAAAAATACAACAAATTAACTGGGTGTGGTGGCAGGTGCCTGTAGTCCCAGCTATTCGGGAGGCTGAGGCAGGAGAATAGCATGAACCCAGGAGGCAGAGCTTGCAGTGAGCCAAGATTGCGCCACTGTGCTCCAGCCTGGGCGACAGAGTGAGACTCTGTCTCAAAAAAAGAAAGATTAACATTTGACTCCTTGTTACTTGTGAAAATTTCTGCAGTGCGCTTGAATTTCTCCCCAGAAAATGGGGTTTTCTTTTCTATCACATCCTCAGGCTGCAAATTTTCCAAACTTTTATATGCTCTGCTTCCCTCACCTTTTTTTTTTTTTTTTTTTGAGACAGAGTCTCACTTTGTCGCCCAGGCTGGAGTGCAGTGGCGCAACCTCAACTCACTGCAGCCTCTGCCTCCTGGGTTCAAACGATTCTCCTGCCTCAGCCTCCCCAGTAGCTGGGGTTACAGGTGCCACCACCACGCATGGCTAAGTTTTGTATTTTTAGTAGAGATGGGTTTTCATCATTTGACCAGGCTGGTCTCAAACTCCTGACCTCAGGTGATCCACCCACCTCAGCCCCTCAAAGTGCTGGGACTACAGGCATGAGCCACCGCACCCAGCCTCTGATTCCCTTTTAAACATAAATTCCAATTTCAGATAATCTCTCTCAAGTTCAAAGTTTCACAGATCTCTAGGGCAGGAGCAAAACGCTGCCAGTCTCTTTGCTTAAGCATAGCAAGAGTGACCTTTACTACAATTCCTAGAAGTTCCTCAACTCAATCTAAGACCATCTCACCTTGGGCTTCATTGTCCACATTATTATCAGCATTTTGGTCAAAGCCATTCAACAAGTCTCTAGAAGTTCCAGACTTTGCCACATCTTCCTGTCTTCTTCTGAGCCCTCCAAACCATTCCAACCACTGCCTATTACCCAATTCTAAAGCTGCTTCCAAATTTTTGGGTATCTTTATAGCAGTGCCCCACTCCTGGTACCAATTTACTGTATTAGTCTGTTTTCACACTGCTATAAAGAGATACCTGGGACTGGGTAATTTATAAAGGAAAGAGGTTTAATTGACTCACAATTCTGCATTGTTAGGGAGGCCTCAGGAAACTTACAATCATGGTGGAAGGGGAAGAGGCACGTTTTACATGGCAGCAGGTGAGAGTGTGTGTGAAGGAACTGAAGGGGCAAGAGCCCCTTATGAAACCATCAGATCTCATGAGAACGCACTCACTATCATGAGACCACCATGTGGAAAACCGCTCCCATGATCCAATCACCCCCAACTAGGTCCCTCCCTCAACACCTGGGGATTGTAATTCAAGATGAGATTTGGATTGGGACACAAAGCCAAACCATATCCTTCTTCTTGGGAAATGCAAACTTAAGTATTTAGGGTGAACTGTCATGATGTCTGGGGCCTGCTTTAAGATGATTTGGCAAAAGGTTTACGTGTGTATATGGAGGGAGATGTCGATAAAATAAGTGTCATAAAGACATTAAGTAGATGAATCAACATGTTCACTGCATAATTCTTTTGGGTTCAAAAAATTATAATATCTGTTATGATGATCTGTGATCAGTGATCTTTGATTGGTGATCTTTGATGTTACTATTTTAATAGTTTTGGAGTGCCACAAACTATGCCCACGCAAAACAGCAAATTTATTCAATAAATGTTGAGTGTGTTCTGACTGCTCCAAGCCATTTCTCTTTCTCTCCTGGCCATTCCCCATCTCTTTTATTCTAATCAGTCCTCTCTATTTTCTGAGACACAACAGTATCAAAATTAGGCCAATGAATAACACCGCAATGGCCTTGCAGTGTTCATGTGAAAGGAAGAGTCACACGTCCTTCACTTTAAATCAAGAGCTGGAAATGATTTAAGCTTAGTGAGAAAGGCATGTCAAAAGCCAAGACAGATTAAAAGTTAAGTGTCTCTTAGGCCAGTTATCTAAGTTGTGAATGCAAAAGAAAAGTTCTTGAAGGAAATTTAAAAGGCTACTCCAGTGAACACACAAATGATAAGGAAGATAAACAACCTTATTAACCAACACAGAGACAGTTTTAGTGATCTGGACAGAAGTTCAAATCAGGCTCAGGCCTGTAATCCCAGCACTTTGAGAGACCGAGGTGGGCGGATCACCTAAGGTCAGGAGTTCAAGACCAGCCTAGCCAACATGATGAAACCCCGTCTCTGCCAAAAATACAAAAATTAGCCAGGCATGGTGGCGGGCACCTGTAATCCCACCTACTCGGGAGGCTGAGGCAGAAGACTCGCTTGAACCCGGAAGACGGAGGTCGCAGTGAGCCAAGATCGCGCCACTGCACTCCAGCCTGGGTGACACAGCAAGACTCCATCTCAAAAAAAAAAAAAAAAGTTCAAATCAGCCACAACATTGAGCCTGATGCAGAGCAAGGCCCTACCTCTCTTTAATTCTTTGAAGGCTGGGAGAGGTGAGGAAGCTACAGAAGAAAAGGTAGAAACTAGCAGAGGTTGGTTCATGGGGTTAAGGAAATAAGCTGTCTCCATAACATAAAAATGCAAGATAAAGCAGCAAATCCTGATATAGAAGCTTCATCAAGTTAGCCAGAAGACGTAGCTAAGGTCAAAACAACAGTTTTTCTTTTTCTTTCCTTTTTTTGAGACTGAGTCTTGCTCTATCACCCAGGCTGGAGTACAGTGGCGTGATCTTGGCTCACTGCAACCTCTGCCTCCCGGGTTCAAGCTATTCTCGTGCCTCAGTCTCCTGAGTAGCTGGGATTACAGGCACCCACCATCATCACATCCGGCTAATTTTTGTATTTTTAATAGAGATGGGGTTTCACCATGTTGGCCAGGCTGGTCTTGAACTCCTGACCTCAAGTGATCCACCCACCTCGGCCTTCCAAAGTGTTGGGATAACAGGCGAGAGCCCAGCCTAAAACAACAGATTTCAAAGTATATGAAATAGCCTTCTACTGGAAGATGCCATCTGGGACTTTCATAGCTAGAGAGGAGAAGCCAATTCCTAGATTCAAAGGATAGGCTGACTCTCTTGTGATGGGCTAATGCAGCTGGTGACTTTAATGCCAGTGTTCACTGACCATTCCAAATATCCCATGGTTCTTAAGGATTATGCTTAATTGGCCAGGCATGGTGGCTCACACCTGTAATCCCAGCACTTTGGGAGGCTGAGGCAGGTGGATCACTTGAGCCCAGGAGTTCAAGACCAGCCTGGGCAACAAGGTGAGACCCCATCTCTACAAAAAATACAAAAAAAAAAATTTAGCTGGGTGTGGTGACATTCATCTGTGGTCCAGCTACCAAGGAGGCTGAGGTGGAAAGATCACATGAGCCTGGAAAGTAGAGGCTGAAGTGAGCCCAGGTCGTGCCACTGCACTCCAGCCAGGGCGACAGAGACAGACCCTGTCTCAAAAAAAAAAAAAAAAAAAAAGAACTATGCCAAATCTGCCTGGATGATAGCATATCTGTTTACAACTGGGTTTACTGAATATTTTAAGTCCACTGTTAAGACTTACTGCTCAGAAAAAAAAAAAGATTATTTTCAAAATATTACTGCTCACTGACAATGTGCCTAGTTACCCAAGAGCTCTCGTGGAGGCGTACAAGGAGATAAATGTTGTTTTCATGCCTGTTAACACAATATCCATTCGCAGATTAAGGAGTCATTTTGATTTTCAAGTTGTCTTATTTAAAAAATACATTTTATAAGGCTACAGCTGCCACAGACGGATGGATCCAGGCAAAGTAACTGAAAACCTTCTGGAAAGGATTATCATTCTAGATGGTTTCTGCAGATGGAATCTACTCCTGGTGAAGATGCTGTGAACACTGTTGAAATTACAACAAAGGATTCAGAATATTACGTGAATTTAGTTGATAAAGTGGTAGCAGGTTTGAGAGAACTGATTCTAGTTTTCAAAGTTCTACTCTAACTAAAATGCTATCAAAAAGCATTGCATGTTACAGAGTAATCTTTCATGAAAGGAAGTCAATGGATATGGCAAACTTCATTGCTGTCTTATTTTAAGAAATGGCCAGCCGGGTGTGGTGGCTCACGCCTTTAGTCCCAGCACTTTGGGAGGCCGAGGCGAGTGGATCACGAGGTCAGGAGATTGAGACAATCCTGGCTAACATGGTGAAACCCTGTCTCTACTAAAAATATAAAAAATTAGCTGGGTGTGGTGGTGGGCACCTGTAGTCCCAGCTACTTGGGAGGCTGAGGCAGGAGAATGGCGGAAACCCGGGAGGCGGAGCTTGCAGTGAGCCAAGATCGTGCCACTGCACTTCAGCCTGGGTGACAGAGCAAGATTCCATCTCAAAAAAAAAAAAAAAAAAAAGAAAAAGAAATCGCCACAGCCACCCCCTCAAACCTTTAGCAACCACCACCCCTGATTAAGCAGCCATCAACACTGAGGCAAGACCCTCTACCAGCAAAAAGATTATGACTCACTGAAGGCTCAGATGATGGTTAGCATCTTTTAGCAATAAAGAATTTTTAATTTAAGGTATGTACATTGCTTTTTTAGCCATAATGCTATTTCACACTTAGCAGACTACAGTATAGTACAAACATAACTCTGATATGCACTGGAAAACAAAAAAATTCCTGACTTGCTTTATTGCATGGTCTGGAACCAAACCCACAATACTAGGTATTGTGTATAGGTATGCCTATATAGCAGCCCAGCCATGCTGATTAATTCAAGTTGAAGCAAAAGTTTTTATTTTTTTTTTTTGTTAGAGACAAGGTCTCACTATATTGCTCAGGCTGGCCTTGAATTCCTGGGCTAAAGTGATCTTCTCACCTCAGCCTCTAAGGAAGCTGGGACTACAAGTACATGCCGCCACAACTTGGGCCAGCTCCCTAAACATTTTAATGTCCTGAGAATAAAACTGTTACTTAAAGAGCATAGATTACTGATAGTAAAATATATTATGGACCTAAAAGCTTAAGATACTGAAAAGCTCCGTGAAGTCTATAACTTTCTAAAAGTATGATGGTACTTTGAAAACTATATACATAAATTATTATTATTATTTTTTGACACAGATTCTCGCTCTGGTGCCCAGGCTGGAGTGCAGTGGTGCAATTTCGGCCCACTACAACCTCCCCCTCCTGGGTTCAACTGATTCTTGTGCCTCAGCCTCTCAAGTAGCTGGGACTACAGGCGCATGCCACCACACAGATCTAATTTTTTATATTTTTAGTAGAGACGGGGTTTCGCTATGTTGGCCAGGCTGGTCTCGAACTCCTGACCTCCGGTGATCTGCCCACCTCGGCCTCCCGAAGTACTGGGATTACAAGCGTGAGCCACTGTGACCAGCCAGGGTGTAAGATAATTACCTTTTTTTTTTTTTGGAGTCAGTGTTTTGATCTGTAACCCATGCTGCAGTTATTATGCAGTGCATAATAACTCACAGCAACCTCAAACTCCTGGGCTCAAGCAATTCTCTTCTCTCAGCCTCCTGATTAATTAGTAGCTGGGACTACAGATGTGTACCATGACACCTGGCTAATTTTAAAATTTTTTGTAGAGATGGGGTCATGCCATATTGCGCAGGGGGTTATTTTTATATATACATACATACATATATATATATATATATATATATATATATATATATATATATATATAATTTTTAAAAATAGAGATGAGGTCTCACTATGTTGACCAGGCTGATCTTGAACTCCTGGCCTCAGGCCATCCTCCCATCTTGGCCTCCCAAAGTGCTGAGATTACAAGCATGAGCTAGTGTGTCTGGCCCCCAGGGCTGTTTTTGAACTCCTGACCTAAAACAGTCCTCTCGCCTTAGCCTCACAAAGTGCTTAAGATTACAGGTGTGAGCCACCATACCTGGCCTATTATTACTATTTTTGTAGGCTAATAGTTTCTTTGAATTCATATGCAAATTCAGGTTATTCATATCATAGTTTTAAAATGAAGTGATATACACTTAAATCTTACTGGCTAAGAAATCCTTTAATTCAGCTCTAAAATGTAAAAGAAGGGGCATTAAAAACTCTTTAACTTGTAGCAGACGTATCTATAATAAATTTTATGAAAGTGAGATTCTGCGGCAAACAGAGGCAGGTGTGATAAATTATTTAAGGGCTAATCCCATTTCATTTGACTGCGGTGAAAAAACTTGCTCTAGATCAGTGGCTCTCAAACTTTAGTACAGTCATGCATGGCGTAATAGGATTATGTTCTGAAGAATGTGTTGTTAGGCAATTTCATTGTCATGTGAACATCATAGAGTGTACTTACCCAAACCTAGATGGTATAGATTACACACACAGGCTATATGGCATAGCCTATTACTCATAGGCTACAAACCCATAGAACAAGTTACTGTACTGGATACTATAGGCAATTATAACACAATGGTAAACATTTGTGTATCAAAACATAGAAAAAGTACAGTGAAGATATGGTATTATAATCTTATGGGACCACTGTTGTATGTGCAGTCTGTTGTTGACCAAAATGCCATTATGTGGCACACAGCTGTACTAACATAGGGACTGTAAAAATACAGATTTAAAAATACAGATTGCCAGGTAATACTCCCAGATTTCTGGTTCAGTAGGTCTGGGATGGGTCCCAATAATCTGCATTTCTAACAAGTTCCCAGGTAAGGTATACACTGCTGGTTTGAAAACCAGTTTGAGAACCACCACTCTAAATCAGTAACATCACTGGTTGGAATAACTGTTAGCAATTCTTTCTTGTAGCAGGTTTAAGACATATTAACTTTTAAACTGTTTCAAAACTCATGTATATATGGAAAATTTAAAATAAAAATAATCATTTGAGCTGGACATAATCTTGATCAAGAGAATTACCTGGAGTCAACTCTTCTCTGCTATCCTTAGCAAGCATAACAGCATGTTCTGAAACTTCAGCTGCTTCTCTTTGTACAAGCTGACGTAAGCAAGCCAGTACTGCTCTTCTCAGTAACAAGTAGGGGCTACAAAGATTCACCTGAAAAATACCATTTGAGGAACGACAGAGCTAAAATTCTTGTTGGCACTCAGTGAGTCTAATAGATATTCACTGGACCCCTTCCTGATTCTGTCCAGCCCATCAGTGGGCTGGACACAATTTATAAATACATAGGAACTTCTTGAAACCATTCTAGAATATATTTCTGATTCTGTAACTTAGAAACAGCTTAATAGGTAATATGTGTACTAGATTATGCACTACTCATAAATCTAACAAAAGTCTTTTGGCAGTGTCAGAAGGCAGAATTTATATGAGTAAATAGACTTTTAAGAGAAAAAAAGAACTACAATGGAAAGGATTTAGTTGCAGTTCATACATTTGTGTTCATGCAACTATATTATAATGTTTTATCATTCTCTAAGCAGAAATTTATACACATCCATATAGGCAATACAGCATATTGGTTAAAATGGAGGCTCCGGAGTCAAAATGTCTCAGTTTGAGTCCTAGATCCATCACTTACTAGCTGTGTGACTGTGGGCAAATTATTTAACTCCTCTAGAGTGCCTTAGTTTCCTCGTTTGTAACACTACTGCATCTCTCAGGGCTATTGTGACATTAACACAAAGCAACATGCAAAGTGCTTACCACAGTACCTGTCAAATAGTAAATGCTCAATAAATGTTAGTTATTATTAGTGTGGTCTTTTAACAATAATATTTTAATCAGACAACATACAAAGTAAATGCATTTTCAAATAAAGGCAGAAAACATTCACCAAAAATGCTCTCTAGAGACAAGCATTACAGAACACCAAATTTTATATATATATACATATTTATGTATTGATAGAATACATATATGTATACATCTTACAGATGCAATGTAAATCTCAATAGGTTGTATCTACCCATGGCAAATGATAAGACTGGTAATATACTTCAGTTACAAGTCAAAGGTTAATGGATAAAAATTCTTAGTGATTTCATATATGAAATAAAGTTGAGATTTTAAATTTTGTACTATGAAAGTAAAGATCAGTCTGGTATGTTCTACAAAATAAATATGTATATTATGGTAGTGATCTTCAAAGCAAAATTTGAGAAATAATGGCATAATTTTATGGCAATCTTTAGATTTGGCATATGTGGGAAAAACAGGACTGAAGTAGGTGAAGTTTTATAAAGAGCAGAGGCTAAATTTTGGGAGGAAATAAAAGGTAGGTAGTAGGAGCTATTAAGAATATATAAGAAGAGTGTCAGGTGTGGTGGCTTACGTCTGTAACGCTAGCACTTTGGGAGGCCGAGGTAGGCAGATCACTTGAGGTCAGGAGTTCAAAACCACCCTGGCCAACATGGTGAAACCCTGTCTCTGCTAAAAAATACAAAAAAATTAGCCGGGCATGGTGGCAGGTGTCTGTAATCCCTGCTACTCGGGAGGCTGAGGCAGGAGAATTGCTTGAACTTGGGAGGTGGAGGTCGCAGTGAGCCGAGATCACGCCTCTGCACTCCAGCCTGGGCGACACAGACTGTGTCTCAGGAAAAAAAAACAAAAACAAAAACATATATATATGTATGTATGTATGTATGTATATATGAGAAGAGGGCTGGGCATGATGGCTCACACCAAGGGAGGCCGAGGCAGGTGGATCACTTGAGGTCAGGAGTTTGAGACCAGCCTGGCCAACATGGTCAAGCCCTGTCTCTACTAGTAACATAAAAATTAGCTGGGCGTGGTGGCACACACCTGTAGTCCCAGCTACTGGAGAGGCTGAGGCAGGAGAATCGCTTGAACCCGGGAGGCAGAAGTTGCAGTGAGCTGAGATTGCACCACTGCACTCCAGCCTGGGTGACAGAGTGAAACTGTGTCTCAAAAAAAAAAAAAAAAAAAAAAAAAGAATGTACAAGAAGAAACACATGCAAAGAGAGCCAAATTCTACATTTTATCAGAAGCCAAGAAACAGAAAAAATTTGTGCATATATCATCACTGAGTAGTTTTTTGTTGTTGTTGTTGTTGTTTTTTGAGATAGGGTATCGCTCTGTTACCCAGGATAGAGTGCTGGAACAGCTTTATAAGTATGTTCTGTTATACCTTCAAGCTGTATTATGAACCCAAAAGTGGATAGAAAGGAATGCCATTCATAAAAAAGTCTCAAGGTATAATGTAATCCCATGTTTAGAAACTATATTGTTAGCAGGTTAGGATAACAGAGAAGTTAAAATATAAAAAGATTATGTTTACTCATCCCCAAGATTACTGTTGTATTTAACAACAATGACTAAAAAAGCACTTTACAAGACAATTTTAAAGGAAAGTTAATAAATCTACTAGTCATTTCAACTGGAGTTTTACAAGCATATAATACAAAGCAGGTGCAGCATTTATTCAGGCTAGTCAAACATCTTTTAGAAAAAGCATGCTTGGAAGTACCCTTTACTTATTTGGTAGAAAAAAGATTGAAGGCTGTCACACAAAGTAAAATGGGAGGCTTAATGTCTCCATGTCATTCTCCAGCATTTATATTGGGAAGAGGAATACAGTGGCTTAAGGCAAACAAACAAAGCAGGCAAAATACAGAAATTAAATTAAACTGTAACTACAATTATTTTCTGAAATGAATATATTAAATAAAAATGAGACCAAATTTAGTGCAAGGAGTGAGTGCACCAGCTGGAGAAGGTTAGGAAGGATTTGCTTATACTGGTATCAAATAAACACCACGAAACATGCTACACATACTGGACTTAGCATTAATGGTTCGCTTAAAAAAAGAGATGCAGAGGAAACAAACATCTACAACCAAAAAATGACACAAAGAAACAGCACCGCAAAACTCAAAAAAAGTTAGGAATCAAGGGTCAGGGACCTACCAACACAGAATTATCCAACAAGATCTCCTGCACAAAAACAAATGACACACCAGTCATGACAAAACCAAAAGATAAATATTAGGATGACTTTGACAACAGTCAGCTAAGCATTAAAATATAAATGTTGATAGTTATTATTTAAATTGGCTTAGCTTCAGCTTAAAAATTTGCCACAAATATTTTATTTTCCAACAAAATGAGTTGAGCCAAGTTTTTGAAAATAGTCAACTCAAGAACTCTAAGACGTAAATATATAATTTTAAAATGTACATGTGATTAATTTTAGGTTTTTCTTCAGAATCTCTGATTAAGCCTCAGTATCAAACCCAATCAAGTAGACATAAGTGTTGAGAGGAGTGATCTGGATTGCATTCACATGAACAGGTGTCCAGCAAGAGGCAAAGTTAATGGTTTACCTCATCAGAAGTTAATTATAGTTTAACTCTTAGAAGCCAAGTTTTAAAACTAAGAGTATTCAGAATTGCTAGTGTAGCTAAGGCCAAGTTTAGAACGGAAGTTAAAGAGCATGCAGTTAAAGGAAAATACTTCCCAGTAGGATTTTTGCCTAATGATGAAATGCAATTTCCTTACTTTGGTGAATACTCTAAAATATAACAAATTCAATCTAATAAATTCAGAATAAATTACTAACCAAAATATTGAGACACTAAATTAATACACTATAGTGATAATTTTTGACTATGATTGTGTATTAAAAAAATCATTTTACAGCTTGAATATTATGAGTTAACATACGATTTGTAACTGTTACTTCAGATCTTCTCACTTGCTCTAATGTACCCAAAAGAAAAGTCTGATAATATAATAATCTCTATTCTTTTTCATATGTAACTTTTTTTTTGATGCCTATTTTTTTTTCCTGCAGTAAATATGTACCCTTTTTTGATTTGGGAAGGCAAAAAGTTAATAAGTTTGATCAGATTTTATTTATTTATATTTTTGAGACAGTGTCTTGCTCCATTGCCCAGGGTGGAGTGCAGTGGCGCAATCATGGCTCACTGTTGCCTCAACATCCTGGATTCAGGTGATCCTCTCACCTCAGCCTCCCAAGTAGTAGTGGGACTACAGGTGCACACCACCATGCCCGGATAATTTTCTTAAAATTTTTTGTAGAGACAAGGTCTCAGTATGTTCCCCAGGCTGGTTTTGAACTCCTGGGCTCAAATGATCCTTCTACCTTGACCTCCCAAAGCGCTGGAACTACAGGTATGAGCCATTGTGCCCAGCTGATCAGATTTTATTCATCATGAATTAATGGGTTATTCTTGTTCTTCATTTCTCAATAAACTTTAATTAATAAAAAAATCATGTATCAGGTAAAGGAGAAATTTTATAGGTAATTAATGGAAATCTTCTACAAGACAAGAAGAAAAAACGGCAGTATCACTTAATTTAAATGGAGAGTAAAAGATCAAATGCAAAGGAGTGAAAAATTTTTCAATAACTGGTTTTAGGAATGACTCTTCAAATATAAAAGTAATATTCCTGGGGAAGAGTCCCTGAATGGTACAGGTAAAATCCTTTTCCTGTAAGTGCTGTTTTCCCTAATACATGATTGACCCAGATCTAAAAAAATACAGGAACAAAAGTTTCTATCAGAAAGTCAGTCAAATTCTCTTTTTAAAGTTTTATTGGGCTAGGCATGGTGGCTCACACCTCTAATCCCAGCACTTTGTGGGGCTGAGGCAGGAGGATGGCTTGAGACCAGAAGTTCAAGACCAGCCTGGGTAACATAGCAAGACCCTGTCTCTACAAAAAAGAAAAAAAATTAGCTAGGTGTGGTGGTACTTTACTGTAGTCCGAGCTACTTCGGAGGCTGAAGGGGGAGGATCACTTGAGCCCAGGAGTTCGAGGCTACTGTGAGCTATGATTGCACCACCGCACTCCAGCCTGACAAAGTGAGACTGTGCCTCTAAAATAAATAAATAAATAGTTTTATATGACTATCAGTATCAATAATTAATATAATAATATACTGTATGTTGAAGACACATGTCAAGACAGCAAAGGCAACTACCATTATTGAGTACTAACTAAATGCCTGAGACATTTGCCTTTACAAGCAGCATTTTGTGTAATCCTCATGTTTTGCAGACAAGGTAGCTGAGGCTAGAAGAGATTACGGGACTTCCCTAAAGGTGCACAGCTAGGAGGTGGCAGAGTTGAGATAAGATCTATCCATAAAATCTACAAAGGTAGTATGGAATAATGAAATGAGGACTGAAGGAGGAGTCCAGAAACCCACAATGTAGATTTAGCCACCACTTAGGTGAGCTAGATGTGTTACTTTATTTAACTTTTCGGTCTTCAGTTTATCTTTTTACTGAGAAGATTGGTTTTAATAATGCAAACACCATTCTACAAAAGTAGGGATAATCTACACGACAGATTTTTAAGATTCTGAGGTTCTTTCAAGCTCTGAAATGCTGCATATTTTGCCTCAAGCTTGAAAATGAAAGGTCTATATAATGATTTTCAACAGTCACGTTACTAATGGGAGTGTGCTACGAATACTGCAGGAGTAGAAAAATTTGAAAAGCCATGGTGCCAATTTATAATTCCAAATGCAACTCAGTTTTTGAGGCAAGTCCAGATAGAAACTGGTGACATGGTAAATCTTTTTTTTTTTTTTTTTCCTGAGACGGAGTTTCACTCTTGTTGCCCAGGCTGGAGTGCCAATGGCACGATCTCGGCTCACTGCAACCTCCACCTCCCGGGTTCAAGCGATTCTCCTGGCTCAGCCTCCTGAGTAGCTGGGATTACAGGCACCCACCACCACGCCCAGCTAATTTTTGTATTTTTAGTAGAGACGGGGTTTCACCATGTTGGCCAGGCTGATCTGCCCACCTTGGCCTCCCAAAGTGCTGGGATTACAGGCATGAGCCACTGCGCCTGGCCAGGGGAAGTCTTAAAACCAATGACAATGAACCACTTCAAAGGAACTTCTGGTTGATGGCCTTTATCTTTCTACATTCAGTAGATACAATATTAGAAGCCAGATATTGATGCATATGTTGCTGGAATATTAAGGAAAAGTGTTATTTCTCCATCTGGGATGCAAAGAACTTAGAATAGATGAAAAAGAAGAAAAAAAGACAGGTGACCACATAGAGTTTTGCATGTCCTACAGCATTTATATAGTACATGGGACATTATAAGCACACAATATGTTTTCATTGATTTATGAATAAATATTCCAAATATCAAGTACAACAATGGGAGAAAAATTAATAGAAGAGAGACTTAGGAGCTGATTGCATGAAAGCTGCCCCCTACTCCCGAAAAAGACTAGAACTGAGGGGAAATAGCTACGTATATAACACATAACTTTGTACATAGTCTAGAGTATAATTAAAATGTGTACTGGAATAAATCTAAGATTCAAATAAAAGAAACTAAGAGCTCGTTTACAATTCTATACTCACACAGAGGCAGCTAACCAGGCTAGACAAGTTGACATGTCGTGGAGCAAACATATGAAGCTGCTGAAGGCAAGAGATGGCCTGAGCTTGAACAAGGCAGTCTGGGTTATCTTGCATTACTGCACAACCCAGTAGACAGGAAGTCCTTAAGGTAGAAATTGAAGTACTGTTACCTAAAATAAAAAGCAGAAAGCTTTTAATAATTGGCCTATAAAAACATTACTCTTTAAACATATATTACAGGTTTTAAAATTTACTTCCAGTTTAAACATATATTACAGGTTTTAAAATTTACAGTCACTACAAATCTGTGATGTACAATTTCTTCTACAAAAGTAGGGATAATCTAAGTTACAGATTGTTAGATTAGTTATTCTTTTTTTTTTTTTTTTTTTTTTTTTTTGAGACAGAGTCTCAGTCCGTTGCCCAGGCTGGAGTGCGATGGTGCCATTTCGGCTCACAGCAACCCCCGGCTTCCGGGTTCAAGTGATTCTCCTGCCTCCGGTCTCCCGAGTAGCTGGGACTACAGGCGCACACCACCATGCCTGGCTAATTTTTCATATTTTTAGCAGAGACGGGGTTTCACCATGTTGGCCAGGCTGGTCTCGAACTCCTGACCCGATTCAGTGATCCACCTGCCTCAGCTTCCCAAAGTGCTAGGATTACAGGTGAAAGCCACTGCGCCTGACCTACTTTAGTTATTCTTAATCTGAAAAGTTTATTACAACACAAATTATTAGGCAAAGAAGAACCTAAGACTATCAGTAGGTTATACCAAATTTTCATAAAAAGTGGAATTAGAAATTGCCAATAAACTTAGCCTCACTTGTATTAGTTAAGAATTACTTTCATGTATTATAATCATGTAATAGTATGCAATTTGAACAGCTCGTAATATTTGAAATTTTGGACTTAGCCATTTATTTCTTAAATAGAGAACACAGCTCTTTGGATGATTCTGCTTCATGTCTGTCATTTTAACTGTTAAGGAAGGCATCTTTAGGAGATATGTAATTGTCTAAATATTGTACTCTGTCTTTTCAAGGTAAGAGAAATCAGGCTGAATGGCATTTATACATTCATTTAACAAAACATACAGCACCTATCACGTGCCAAGCATACAGACTAGGAACTGAATTCACTTTTATGTGTATTATTTTTAATGTAAAACATCACAAAAGCAGCTATGCACACCTTGTAGCTCTGGACCTAACGTGGTAATAAGGGCATTCAAACAGCGACCAAGGCTTTGGTGAACTTCAGCATGAGTAGGAGGCACATTTAACAACAACATTATAATAAGAGAAAGGGTAGGTTCCACATGCACATAATAGAGTGGGCCAGCAGAATCAATGATCAATGATAGAGAATGTAATGCCCAGGTCTGTAATGACAAAGAAAAACAATTAAAAACATTACAGCAGCATTAAGAAACATAAAATAAATTAACTTGTTCTTTTGTTGAAGCAAGTGATAAAGTAACAGCAAATGTGAATGCTACTACTCATGTGGAAAGAGAAATGGAGGACTTCCAACTCAGAGGCAATCATCCAATTTAGAATGATATAGTTCATCATTAAGAATTGCAAGTAATAGTTGGTACTTCAGCTAACAGTTTGAATCAAATCTAGTTTGTTGAAAAATTGTTTATTGTTTAATCTATAGAAAGAATGAAAATTCAAGTTTTTAAAAAGATTCAACAAAATCTACAATTACATTCAACAATATGGACAAATCTCTTGAACATAATGTTGAGTGAAGAAAACCAGACATAAAAGAATATATGTTGTATGATTCCATTTACATAAAGTATAGAAGCAAGCAAAACTAATTTATGCTGTTGCAAATTAGGATAGTGGTTATCCTTGGTGGGGGCAGGTAGTTAACTAGAAGACAGTATGAGAAGTGTGTATGGGGTATTGATAATGGACTGTTTCTTGATTTCGGGAGGTGGTTACATAATGTACTGTTTGTACATAGATATGTGCATTTATGGCAGGTGCGCACACACATGCACACACGCACACACACACACACAATGGTTTAAATGAAAAAAGACTGGTCATATACTGATAACCACTGAAGTTAGGTGATGAGTATAATAGATTCATTGCAGTATACTTTCTAATTTTGTGTACGTTTTAATGTTCTATAACAAGAAGTAAATTAAAAGCTCTCTCTTCAGAAAATGAACTGAAAAAGTTTTATTCCTCTTATCAATGGATGTATAAGAAAGCTTACAGTACTTTAAATGCTGCAAAAATGAGCTCCTATTTGTTAGGTGAGAGAGAGCAATCAAGAAAATTCAGAAATGACACTGACAGCCACAGAAAGTATATGAATTAATCAACAAAAAAGGTATTCAATATACAACTAGGTACATTCAGAATAGACTTCTTGAAGAGAGAGAAGAAGAATATAATAGAAGCAAAAAGTACTATATATAAAGACGGGTGAAAAATGGAAACCTTGTAAGTCAATTCAGTCAAGTACTAGATGAAGTGGAGGAGGCGAGTAGTAATATGGTAATTCAGAGGGGGAAAGCTAACTGGATTAAAGCTTGGTGAGATGGTGGTTATACTGGATCTTAAAAGACTAAAAGATGTGGAATATCAAATAGGCATGTAAGGAGAGAAGAGAAAAAGAAAAGGTAAATGTAGACATGAGAATGACATGTGGATAAATCATCTGTAGAAGTCAACACTTTGAGGTAGTAACAGAAAACATCTGTGGGGTCAGTTGATGGGACTGGAATAAAGAAGTTGATTCAAGAAGCAATAAGCACTTTGTCAAGCTTTTCTGCAGGAAAGTGGCAAGATGAAAATCTTTTAGGAAAACGAATTTAGCCTTATATCTAGAGAGAGTTCGAAAGAAAAGGACCTAAAAATGTGACGAATTAGGAGGCTATGACAGTAATTTGGCACACATTAATAAGGGAGACAGATAAGACGACAGAAGGGGAGTAAAAGAACGGGAGAAATAAAAATCATTCCATATTTGATTAAGATAGGAGAATGATGATTTTACTGACAGAAATAGGTAAGATATGTACAACGATATGGTAAAGTGGTTAAGAACAGGAGTTTGGAGTCTATGACTTGTGTTCTTGATCTGATTCCATGATTTATTAGCTTTTCAGTTGTGAGCAAGTTGCTTAGCTTCTTAAGCCTCAGTTTTATTTCCCCATAATGGGCTATATACACCCTAATAAATTATTACAAGGACTAAAAGAATTACTATGAGACTTAGAAGAATGTATCGTAACACCTGGTACCTATTAAGCTCTTTAAAATAGTAGATGCTGTTATTATTATTTATTACTATTATTATTATTTTTGAGATAGGGTCTGGCTCTGTTGCCTAGGCTGGAGCATAGTGGCACAATCTGGACTTATGGCAACCTCTGTCTCCCCGGCTCAAGCCATCCTCCCACCTCAGCCTCCTGAGTAGCTGAGACCACAGATGCATACCATCATGCCCGGCTAATTTTTGTATCTTTTGTAGAGACAGTGTTTTACCATGTTGCCCAGACTGGTCTTGAACTCCTGAGCTCAAGCAATCTGCCTGCCTCGGCATCCTGAAGTGTGAGAGTATGTGCGTGAGCCACCACTTCTAGCCCAAAGCTATCATTAAGATGGAACAGAGATACATTTTCAGAAAAACACACTGAAATTGACTTCAGACTCTGAGTGTGGGGGAAGATTTTAATTTTAAAAATCCACCAAGGTTAACAACGGCTTCCACAATTACTATGGGAGGAAACTATATTCATAAATTATTAATGTTCAATATAAACACAATCTGCATCATCTAAAAATCATGAATTTCAAGGGAAGTATCACATGAGGTACCCACCTGCACATCAGGAGAAGTGCTGTCCTGCGCCAAAGTATAAAGGATTCCAATACAAGAATTTAGGTGTTGAGAAGAACTTATTCCTCCTAAATACCTATGTAGGGACCCCAAGGCCAATGAGTGTCCTGTTCTGGTAACCACATCCCTTGCTGATTTCAATCTGTAAATATAAAAATAAAAATAAACGGTAATCACTGCAAAAGAAAAAAAACACAAAAACTAATGCATGTACACTGTCACTTAGGCAAAACTTTTTATATGGATAGTTGCAAAATTTAGAAATACATTTTTGGCTAACTAATAAAAACTTCTGAAGTAACCGAAAGGCATCTTGCAAAGGAAAACATTTTGAATCAAAATGTCCTCATATTATTAATGATTAGTTTAGTATGAGCAGTTTCAATGTCTTTCATATATATACATGAAGAAGGTTTTTAAGATAAGCATTATTATTACTTTATCATTAAGTTACATTTTAAAAACTCAAATGCTGAGATACTTTAATTTCATAGAGTTTCAACTTAATTTTGATGTTAAAATTAAATAGGCTAGGTGTGGTAGCTCACGCCTGTACTCTCAGCACTTTGGGAGGCCAAGGCGGGAGGATCACTTCAACCCAGGAGTTTGAGATCAGCCTGGACAACATAATGAGACCCTGTCTCTACTAAAAAAAAAAATTGTTTTAATTAACTGGGCGTAGTGTCACAAGCCTGTAGTCCCAGTCACTCGGGAGGCTGAGGCTGGAGTATTGCTGGAGTCCAGGAGTTCGAGGCTGCAGTGAGCCACAATCACACCACTGTACTCCAACCTGGGTGACAGAGCAAGACGTTGTATCGAAAATAAATAAAATTAAATACAAGAGAAGTTAATGTTTATTAGGAATTTTCTATGTACTGTGTGCTCATTTAAGTGGTTTATATTTAGCCCTTCTTTAATCCTCTCAACAACCCTGGAATTCATACTATTATCAGTTCCTGTCTATAGATGAGGAAACCAAAATGAAAGCTCAAATAGCTCTCACAAAATAACCAACTATCAAATGGTAGAGTTGGGATTAGAGCCAAGTTAATAACCTGACTCCATCCTTCAAATCAGACACACATATTCAGTAGGCTCCAAGGTCAAAGTGCTATCAATACTACCACCACCACTCCTAATATAACTTATTATACATATATAACTAATATAACCACAAAGTTTTATTTGTAGGCTTTTTTCCCATATTACTTTTATATTTACTATCTCATTTACCTTAACATTCTTAAGTAGGTAGCGCAGTACCTCCTGGAATAGAAGAACACTGGCTGAGAGGATTAAGTAATCTACTAAAAGTTATACAACTGATAGAAATGAAAGTACAGGCCAGGAGCAGTGGTCCACGCTTTTAATCCCAGCACTTTGGGAGGCTGAGGCGGGCGGAACACAAGGTCAGGAGTTCGAGACCAGCCTGGCCAGCATGGAGAAACCCCGTCTCTACTAAAAAAATACAAAAAGTAGCCGGGTGGTGGCACATGCCTGTAATCCCAGCTACTCGCGAGGCTGAGGCTGATGGCGTGAACCTGGGAGGCGGAGCTTGCAGTAAGCCGAGATCGCGCCACTGCACTCCAGCCTGGGCGACAGGGTGAGACTCCGTCTCAAAAAAAAAAAAGACATGAAAGTACCGTTTGTTTCCTCATCTGCAGCCTACAGCCTTTTCTTTTTCCTGTAGTTTGTTCTTATTACTTATCATATATGTTTTACATTATAAAACTGTATAAATATTTCACTATCCTAGAGTCCATCCCATTGATGATCAATTACATCACTCATATAGATTCTGATCTTTCTTATTATATAAAGACTATAGCTGAAATAGTAGTTGTTTTATGTGCCAAGACCAGCCGGCCAATTTTTATTTTCTTTCCTTTAGCAGTCAACATTTGACAATTTTTCTTTTCTTAGTTAAATCTCAGAATGAAGATCTTACTAGTTCCAACAAGCCAGAAAGCTATACCCAGTTTTGAAACATAGCCTCTGAATATTAAATAAGAAATTCACTTACTTGTCAAAGCTAACTTGAGCTAATCCAGCAGTAAAAGCTCCATCATCTACCACTTGGGCTAATCTAGCCCATGACTCTGCAGCTGCACATCTCAGCAAGGGGTTGGGGCTTTCTAGGGCTCCCATAACTAATGTTAAGGCAAATCTTTTCATTTCTTCTGGACCTAAACATCCCTTGGAGCCAGCCACGTACTGAAATATGTAAAGAACAACCCAAACTTACAATTGTAGTAAATTCTCATATCCAGTTAGGAATGTACATTCTGGTTAACCAAATCCAAATATGTTCATACTTGGATTACTACTTAAAAACAAATAAGAACACAAAAATCCACACTGATAATACAAATATAATTTCATTTTTTTTTACAAAGCACTTTAGAATTTTAAACCTCCAGGCAGCAATACGGTAATCAATTATCATTAAGGTATAAATGGTTTGAAAGAACATTAACAGAGATGTCCACAAAATAAGCGACTAATGAAGTCTATTATATTTTACTGTACATAGAAACGGTAAGTCATAAGTAACAATGAGCTGGATTTGGTCCACAGGCCATAGTCTATCAATCCCTGGCCCAGGATATCAGGATTGGTAGGTTAATGCATGGCTCTATGCAGAGATTATAGGTTTGATTTCTAACAAGTTTTATGTGGACAAAAAGTAAAAGGAGAATTCCAAATCCTGAAAACTTTTCATCAAGAGATTAAGAAAAATGAAGGAAAAAAGAGCATTTTAAAAACATCATCCTCCGACAAACTTCATTGGCTACAAATTTTTTAAAAAATGAAGCCAACATTTAAATGAAAAAAATAATAATTACCTTCAAGAAACTAGAAACTGAAGAAACAACATGTAACTGAACCACTTGCTGACGAGCTCCTTTTGTGTGCTTTATACTGTCCAAAAGCTGTTCCAATATAAGAAGCCTACAATCAGAAATAACAGGATTTAAAAGCAAGTAGGTAAGTTTTTGTTTGTTTGTTTGTTTGTTTGTTTGTTTGTTTGAGACGGAGTCTCACTCTGTCACCCAGGCTAGAGTATACTGGCACCATCTCGGCTCACTACAACCTCCACCTTCCTGGCTCAAGAGATTCTCTCACCTCAGTCTCCCAAGTAGCTGGGATTACAGGTGTGCACCACCACACCCGGTTAATTTTTGTATTTTTAGTAGAGTAGTAGTAGTTTCACCATGTTGGCCAGGCTGGTCTTGAACTCCTGATCTCAAGTGATCCGCCCACCTTGGCCTCCCAAAGTGCTGGGATTACAGGTGTGAACCACTGCCCCTGGCCTCTCAATACCATTTAAACTTCACACTTTAGGTTCTTTAAACTACTGCAGTAATTGTAAGCATGAGAATGCACATTCCAATAACTGGAAAACTAAAATTTGAGATAATACCAACAAATGTAGTCAATATTGATATAACTCCACAAATATTATATGTAACACATAGCCTCACAGAATTCAAGGCAGGAAGACTGCTTGAAGCTAGGAGTTTACGACCAGCCTGGGCAACACAGTGAGACCTCTGATGCTACAAGAAATCAAAAAGTTAGCTAGGCATAGTGGCACATGACTGTAGTCCTAGCTACCCAGGAGGCTGAAGCAGAAGGGTCACTTGAGCCCAGGAGTTCAAGGTTACAGTGAGCTATGATCATGCCACTGTACTCCAGCCTGGGTGACAAAGCAAGATCCTGTCTCAGAGAAAGAAAGAAAGAAAAAAAAAAAAACAATAAAAATGATGTGAAAAGTGCTAAAAAGGTAATGTTAAATGAAAAAAGCAAGAGTTAAAATTGTTTTACATATAGTATAGTCCCAAGTATATTTTCAAAGCATAGTTGGGGATCCAAAGAGCTATGGTGCTTCTGGTTAGCTATAGATGCCATCATAGCTCATTGCAGCCTCGACCTCCTGGGCTTAAGTGATCCTCCAGCCTCAGCCACCAAAGTACCTGGGAGTATAGGAACACATTACCCACACCCTGCTAATTTTTTTTTTTTTTTAAAAGAGATGATATCTCACTATGTTGCTTAGGCTGGTCTTGAACTCCTAAGCTCAAGCGATCCTCCAGCCTCGGCCTCTGAAAGTGCTAGGATTATAGGGGTAAACCACTGTGCCTGGTCATTTTTCTTCTTTTATAATGTTTGTGAATCCAAATTTCATTATATACACATACTAAAATTTATTCAACCACTCTGCTACTGGTGAGAAAAATGTTCGAATTTTCACAATTCTAATTAAGATAAATACACACAATATTTCATGTCCTTATAGCACAGAGGTTTTAATTCCTTATGTCAAGATTAAATACATGTAACCATAAAATAAACCACCCCATCTTACCATTAATTTCTCTTTAAAACATTGTTTCTGTGCCCTATACTTCATTTTCCCTCTTTTCTCCCTTTAAATGAGAAACCTGAAATACGCTGAAGATAACTTTTTCAGTTGTAAATTATCTTGATGGCAGGAAGCTTATAATTTTATCTTCATCTCCCTAATATCTTGTGTTTGGCATGTAGTAGGCAGTCAGGTGTGCTTATTAAGCAAGCATAAAAGACAACAGCATCAGGTAATTAAACACACGGCATGACTGGCTGAACATGAAAATATGGATATACTTTCATCTGACCTTCATGTACTTTCAATAATATCCCTAAGTCCTTTAAAACTAGATCTCCATCATTCTGCTGAGGCTACAAGGCAAGCTGTCCTGTAAATGGCAATTTTATTATCAAATCAGAATAGACATGGGGATCGTGCCTTTAAAAAACCTAACTGTACAAGGAGTTAAAGAGTAAAAAGGAAGGTATCGAGGCTATGTGTACATCATAAGGGTTGGGGAAAGCAGTATGTATAAAATCAATTTATAAAATGTAATAAAGGCCAGGCGCAATGGCAAACACCTACAATCCCAGCACTTTAGGAAGCCAAGGTGGGAAGATCACCTGATGTCAGGAGTTTGAGACCAGCCTGGACAACATGGTGAAACTCCATCTCTATTAAAAATATAAAAACTAGCCAGGCGTGGTGGCATGTGCCTGTACTCCCAGCTACTTGGGAGGCTGAGGTAGGAGAACTGCTTGAGCCAAGAGTGGAGGTTGCAGTGAGCTGAGATGGCACCGCTGTACTCCAGCCTGGGTGACAAAGCGAGACTCCATCTCCAAAAATAAAAAATAAAAATAAAAATAAAAATAAAATGTAATAAAAATGGTGGAACACTAAGAATACTTAGAAAAGTACTTATTTCCTTACTTCAAGGTTAATTGTATTTATCGTAATAAATTTGAAAAACTCAGAAAAGCACATTAAAAAAAAAATAAAATTTACCCCAAATCCCACCACCTACAAAGAGCCGCCATTAACATTTTGACATCTTTGTTCTTTTCTCCCTTAGACATATGAGTAAAATTTTTAGAAAACAGAGATTGTATTGTACATACTTTGTTAATAACTTGTTTTGTTTCCCCTAAACAATATTATCAGGGATTTTCCCATCTTATTAACTATTATATGGTTTTACTATAATAGTATTACTGAATAGCTACTAGTATTGTATATTCTGGCAACATAATTTATTTAACCAACTTCCTAGTTTGGGACATTTAGGCTATTTCTAATTTTTCTTATTACAAATAACATGCTAAGTATCTTGCATATGAAAATTTTTCTGGTGGCTCACGCCTGTAATTCTAGCACTTTGGGCGGCAGAGGCAGGAGGATCGCTTGAGCCCATGAGTTCGAGACCAGCCTAGGCAACATAGTGAGACCTTATCTCCACTAAAAAGAAAAAAAATTAGCCAGTGTATTGGTGCCTGACTGTAGACCCAGCTACTTAGGAAGCTGAGGCAGGACGATTGCTTGAGCTTGGGAGACTGAAGCTGCAGTGAGGCAAAATAGCACCACTGCATTCCAGCCTGGATGACAGAATGAGACGCTGCCTCAAAAAAAAATCACAAAAACAAACAAGAAAAGTTTTCTGCCCATTGTTTAAGTCCATATTTAAGGCATTTTTTGTTTTTTTTTGAGATGGAGTCTCGCTCTGTCGCCCAGGCTGGAGTGCAGTGGCGTGATCTCAACTCACTGCAAGCTCTGCCTCCCAGGTTCATGCCATTCTTGTGTCTCAGCCTCCTGAGTAGCTGGGACTACAGGCGCCCACACTACACCTGGCTAATTTTTTTTTATTTTTAGTAGAGACGGGGTTTCACCGTGTTAACCAGGATGGTCTTGATCTCTTGGCCTCGTGATCCGCCCGCCTCGGCTTCCCAAAGTGCTGGGATTACAGGAGTGAGCCACTGCGCCTGGCCGGCATTTTTTTTTTTTTAAGAACATATTTATGTCCAAAGCAACCTACAGGAAGATTACGGAGGGTAAATGTGACAACAATGGGGAATTAAGAATAACTGTATGATCAAGCTCCCAAGTTTAAAAACCTATAACGTCATTATTAGATCATATCCTACATCTGTTATCATGAAATTGTATCGCACTGGAAGTTATAAAAATACGTAAGGTTAGAGATTAAGAATTTGTTGCACTGTACTATAAGTTGACCTATACAATTATTTCTTGACCACATTCATGGACCAAAGACTACAAAACAGGATTGTCAGAGCTCAAAATCTTTTTCTTCATCTTCTGCCCCCCAATCCTGAAAGAGATTGAATACACTATTAACTAATCAAGGATTCAAGATATATGACACCAATTCCTATAGAGATCTCAACAAAAGATTCTGATCTTCAGGAAGATGGAGATGAGTTATTTTTAGTAATACTGAATTAGTACTCATAAGTAGTATCAATTATAACATATAATTATCAGTTTGGAATGAAATGATAGGTACTAAAAGTTTTGAGTCTAGATGGAATAAAAGTGCAGTTAACTGAATAAAGGGTGAAGATGTAACATTTGAAAATGTTGATTTATTTTACATTATACATTTTACATTATAAACCCTTTAGACAGGGGGTACACACAGTATACACAAAACAGTAACCACAAACAAAAACAAAATAATACTTTTTAGAGGGTATATAATGGCAAAATTTTTTACTACTGAGAATTATAACTGTTTAAGCTTTTCCTCTCTGTCCATCCATTCCCAAGTGACATCATTTGTTGAAGCAGTCCATTTATCACAATCACCTAAGGAGTTTAAAAACTTTCAGTGCCCACCACCATAGTATGCATACCATACTAATCAGGATCTTCAGTATCTTAAAAATTTGCCTGGATAATTCCAATGTGCAAGTCAGGGGTGGAACAATCCTCAGGTGAATTAATCAACTCATTCTTTGCAATTAGATGAAAATCTATTTAAAAGCAACCACAAACGCAGGCCAGGAGCAGTAGCTTACACCTGTAATCCCAGGACTTTGGGAGGCTGACGGGGGCAGATCACCTGAGGTCAGGAGTTCAAGAACAGCCTGGCCAACATGGCGAAAGCCCATCTCTACTAAAAATATAAAAATTAGCCAGGCATGGTGGCGTGTGCTGTAGTCCCAGCTACTCGGGAGGCCGAGGCAGGAGAATCACTTGAACCTGGGAGGCGGAGGTTGCAGTGAGCCGAGATGGTGCCACTGCACTCCAGCCTGGTTGACAGAGCAAAACTCTGTCTCAAAACAAAACAAAACAAAAAATAAAGTAACCACACACAGGCTGGGCATAGTGGCTCATGCCTATAATCTCAGCACTTTGGGAGGCCGAGGAGGGCGGATCACCTGAGGTCAGGAGATTGAGACCAGCTTGGCCAACATTATGAAACCCCATCTCCACTAAAAGATGCAAAAATTAGCCAGGCATGGGGGTGCATGCCTGTAATCCCAGCTACTTGGGAGGCTGAGGCAGGAGAATCACTTGAAACCCAGGAGGCGGATGTTGCAGTGAGCCACCGCACTCCAGCCTGGGCTGTCTCAAAGAAAAAAAAAGTAACCACAAACAATACATGATTGAGATCAATATTATTTCTTTTCTGTATAAAATATCTTGACTTTCCAACCGGTAAACATTTTTACGTTAGAACCCTACAGTCAGAATAGAGAGAATCAACTAATTTAAAAGACAATTACATATGCATTAATAAATTGTGCATTAATTTATATTACGTAAGTATTATTTCCAACCTTAGGACAACCACATGTTACACAACTGTTTAAACATAAGGCTAACCACAATAACAACAAAATGGCTTGAAATATTCGGTTGCTGTTTAAATTTAGATACTTTAATTAAGACCTTTCTTCTCTAGAACTCAAATGTAAGGCCAAAAAGCAAACAGCCTGATATTTTACATAAATATCATATCTGGCATAACAGGAAATTAGAAACTTAACTTCCCTATTCATGTAGTTTCTATCTTCTGGTTCTGTAACGACACCTACTGGAGACTGTGGATAACTGCTTATAACCCACTTTCTGTATCTGGGATCTTGCCAGGCCACTTCTTTATAAATATATTTTTGAGACAGTGTCTTGCTCTGTTGCTAAGGCTGGAGTGCAGTGGCGAGATCTTGGCTCACTGCAACCTCTAACTCCCAGTATCAAGCGAACCTCCCACCTCAGCCTCCTCAGTAGCTGGGACTACAGTTGCACACCACCATGCACAGCTAATTTTTTTATTTTTGTAGAGAAGGAGTTTTGCATGTTGCCTAGGCTGCTCTTGAACTGTTGGGCTCAAGCAATTTGCCTGCCTTGGCCTCCCAAAGTGCTTGGTTACAGGTGTAAACTACTGTGCCTGGTCACCTACTATTTTTTTTCCAAAATAGTTAGAATCCTGTTTGTTCCAAATTTGTTAGAATCCAAACAGAATGATAGGGTTTGCTTTTATCTGTTCTCAATGTTTTTATCAAAACAAACAAAATCTCCCCTTCCTTGAATATTCATTATTATTATTATAACTTAGGTGGGGATACAAAAACTATGAGCACATTAAAAAATTCATTAAACTTAGTAAGAAAGGATCTTCCTGAAACTGCAATTGGGCAATAAATCCGAAAAGAAAACTTCTCTAGAATAGTAAAATCACTTTTTTAAGAGGAAAGGCTGTAAAAAGTATATTTTCTTTTTTGCTTTTCCACCTTAGACCCATCAAAGATAGTGGAACCATTTAAGAACAGGCTTAATTTAAATCCTTTGCTTAAAAGGCCAGCCCTGTTTCATCCACAGTAGTTATTGGTATATTAATCCAAATTAATTATTCTAAAGTAATTATATGCTCTATAAAAAGGCAGTTACAGACTAGTTCAAATTTCATCCTCTCCATGAATCTTTCTTTGAATATTCCAAACCACTGTAATTTTCCTCTTCATTCATTAACAATTCAGTCATATATTCTCTTATCACCATAACCTTATAGTTACAGTATTACAGGAAATGCTACAAATACATTTGGAAAAAACACTATCTTTTGAAACTGAAGCTAGTAAAAATCAATATAAATTTCATTCACTTTTCTATGCAATGAAAGCACATCATCCCAAGACCTGTTTCAGAGAGGTGTTGGTGATGAAATTAAAATATTTTTCTAAGTCTTCACCAAAGAGATAAAGGTAAATTGTCTAACTGGTATCCTCTGGAAGATATAACTGGATAAGAAGATATAATAAAAGCTATGATCTAGTCAAATGCATGGTTGTTGGTCGAGAGAGAGGAAATGAATGAATGAATCAGTGCGGATGACAGTGATTTGTAAACTATTATTAGCCACAATAGCCTATGAGAGAGATTCACTTCCCATTTCGTTTTTCAGATAGTAACAAGAATTTCCTGGATAGTGGATTTTGATGCCTGAGAAATGTATATGTCCAGTTACTAATTAAGAAACTATCATTCTCAATGAGAAATCATTATCACCCTTTGGTTTTTCAAAACCAAAGTCCATTTTTTGGGGAGGACATCTTGTATTTATTAATTTTTCACATACAATAGCATAAGATGGAAATCCCTACATAGTATGAGGTATACAACATGATGTTTTTAACGAGGCTTTGCTCATATATACATTGTGAAATAGATTACCACAATCAAGTTAATTAAATATCTATTATCTTTGTGTGTGTATGTGTGTGTGTTCTAAAGCAGGGGGGCCCCAACCAGTGGGCCACGGACTGGTACTGGTCCACGGCCTGTTAGGAATTGGGCCGCACAGCAGGAGGTGAGTGGCGGGCAAGCGAGCATTATCATCTGAGCCAAACTCTTGTCAGATCAGCAGTGGCATTAGATTCTCACAGGAGTGTGAACCCTATTGTCAACTGTGCATGTGAGGGATCTAGGTTGTGCACCCCTCACAATGCCTGATGATCTGAGGTGGAATAGTTTTATCCCAAAACCTCCTCCTATCCCTACGCCATGGACGAACTGTCTTTCGCCATACTGGTCCCTGGTGCCTAAAAGGTTGGGGACCACTGGTCTAAAGTTCATTTTAAGTGAACTGATAAAAACCATTTAAAATCCCTCCAACTGAAGACAAATCCCTGGACCTTTAATGGTTCCAAAAAATTTCCAAGGTAAGAAAGCCTATGAGACCTAGTCTAAGAAAAAACCTAGTATGTGTCTTTGTAATGACTGCTCATAAATCAGTATCTTATGTCATTATTTTTCATTTGTATTTTCAGCTAGATGATAAGCTGTGAGCAAAGTATTGTATCCACAACAGTTCTAGTGGTTTTAGGCATTTAATCATTTCTTATTAAGTATTAGCCAAGTGAATAATTAAACAAAAACTTATATTTCACCTTCACCTGTTATTTATAAGAAATCATTTACGCTAATGAGATCTCTGGCAACATTCTTCTTACCCACCAGTTCTCTATTATCCATTCACTGAACCATTGAAGATATTTACCTTTGAGTTTCTCCCACATGAGCGCATACAACCCCAAAGAGCTTGGATGCAGAACTAATAACTGATAGTGCTGGAGGTAAGGGCTTAGGCACTGAATCTCCCTCTACATCTTTCTCATAAATCGAATAAGGGTCATATTCAAGACTTCCGCAAGCAACACCATTACCAAGCAGGAGCTAAAAGGGAAAAAAAGTATATAAGGTTTTAAAATCACTGATCACAGATTGAATCTAATCAAGAGTAAAAAATGGCCATACCTGTTCTTCAATAAATCTATGGTCAGTCTCTTGTAGGAAAGGACTTAGTATCAAAAGATCATCCTGATGACAGAGGGGTGGAAGTAAAAATGTAGATGCTGCCACCTGAATATCAGGGGCAGTCAAGTCAGCAGCCAGCTCTCTGAGGATAGCACAGAGGTTTCCTGTTGAGTCACAGAAAAAGAGCAATTAGTACTATTAATTATCTGGTGAGAGTATGGGATTTAAAACTCAGGTTGAGCTTTAATGCACCCACTGGCCAACTTTAACATATCACAGCCAAAAGACTGTATTTCTCATCCTTGAAAACTGCCCTAGAAATGACTGGCTCAACTACGTGTTGCTAGTAACAAGGTTAAGAATGGATACTAAAAGAACATCTCAAAGTGTAAGAGTGTGTGTGTGTGTGTGTGTGTGTGTGTGTGTGTGTGTACATACCTTAAGGTATAACATGACATAAAATATAAAAATAGATGTAAAAAAAGATTTACAAAAGCAGATATGTTTTTTAAAAAAGCACAGTCTGAAAAAATGTATAAGAATTAGCCTGAGGCCGGGTGTGGTGGCTCACACCTGTAATCCCAGCACTTTGGGAGGCGAAGGTGGGTGGATCACTTGAGGTCAGGAGTTCAAGACCAGCTTGGCCAACATGGTGAAACCCCATCTTTAGTAAAAACACAAAAATTAGCCGGGCGTGGTGGCAGGTGCCTGTAACCCCAGCTACTCAGAGACTGAGGCAGGAAAATCGCTTGAATCTGGGAGGCAGAGGTTGCAATGAGCCAAGATCAGCCACTGCACTCCAGCCTGGGCAACAGAATGAGTCTCCATCTCAAGACAAAAAAAAAAAAAAAAAAAAAAAAGAATTATCCTGAGAAAACTTAGACATGTTATTATGGAAAATTTCAAACATAAATAAATAATAGTACTATGATGATGCCTGCCCCTATCCCTTCCAGCATATGCTCATTATTCATCTTTACCAGCTGCAACAGTATTATTTCACCTACATCCCCATTCCTGATCCCACATTTCTCCACATTATTTTTAAGAAAACCCTAGGCAGCACATCATTTCATCCATAAATATTTCACCGTGTATCATTAAAGTGAAATACATTTTATTTTGAACATAATCCTGCTATCATAATCTCATGTTGTAAAAAAAAAAAAAGCCACTGAACATCAGGTACCCATTCAGTATTCAAATTTCCAACTATCTCATAAACACCTGTTTTTGTTTGCTTCCGTGTTTGAATCTAGATCTAAGTAAGGTGTACACATTGCAGCTAGTTTATCTTGTCTCTTTCAATTTAGTATTCTCCCTATACCTTTCCCCTCACTGGTAATTTATTTGAAGAAACAAGGTTATTTGTTTTGTACAATTTTCTACAGTCTGGGTTTTTATGATTATAGGCCCCTGGTATAGCTTAATTTGTTCTTCTATCTGTACTTTTTAAAAAAAATAAATTGGTAGTTGTATCTAGACGGGGCTCATTTTTGCTTTTGGTGATGGGCAGGGTGGGGTGCAGGTTAGTTCATAAGTGGTATTGTGTTCTCCAATAACACAGGAGACAACATATGGTTGCCTCTCTAACATATACACTTTGAAAAGCTGATCCATTTATCACATTAACTGCAATGATCACCTCAAAGATGTTTTATCCTAATTTCTGTTAGGTTATCAAAAAATCTTATCCACAGAGAGCTTAAATGGCTTTTGCCAGTTTGTAACTTAAATACTGCAGGAATGAGTAAAAATTCCCTTAGAAAAATGTTTATACTCTTCGAAGTGTTTCTTTGAGCAATTGCACCAGGATGAAATGAGGACTGAGGTGATATCCACTGATCAGAAGTGGTAGGATGAGTTAGGAAGGGTTTACTTGCCATCACTTTCTGTATCATTAGCAGCAGTAACAGTAGTAACAACAAATATTTATTGAAGCTTACTTTTTTTTTTTTAAGAGATGAGGTCTCACAATATTGTCCAGGCTAATCTCTAAATCCAAGCCTCAAGTGATCCTCCTGTCTCAGCCTCCTGAATAGCTGAGATTACACACGGTGCTTGGCTTACTGAATACTTAATACGTGTTGGGAAATGTCCTAAAAACTTTACATATAACCTTCATAGTAACCTAATAAGGTCAGGTTAGTATGTTGTTTTACAGGTAAGGAAACAGGAACAGGGAATTTATTACTTGCCAGAGATCATATGATGATCACATAGCTGTCAGACTGAAACCCAGTTAATCAGGCTCCAGAATTTGAGCTTTTAACCACCGTGCTGAATCACTCATTCATCCAAATTGTGTTTAATATGCTACAGAGAAAAATTTTATTATATTTAATCTTCCTTTCAAGAAGGTATACACTATGGGATACCAATATATACATATAATAGGAAGGTAGGAACTATTATGTTTCATAAAAGATAAAAACAAAAGCACTATTAAATTTAGGGAAGGAGAGATTACATACAGGAATTAGGAAGAATGGACAGGGATCAGTGAAGTCATAATGACTGAGCAAATGACAGTTGCTCAAAGGAATGTCTAAGTTTAATTACCAGCATATGACACTCAGCAAAATAATTCTGTTGGTAGTACAATATAAAAGGTATGCTTGTTCCTATGGCTATGTGTGAAAATAGTAGAAAATCTCTGCTTCTCAGTTGAAAGTGATTACTTTCCCAACTGTCCCTGGAAAAAGTACCTAAAAATAATTAAGATAATTTTGAAATGCAAATAGGCTTTTGTATAAAAATGCATCACTAACTTGCTGGTGAGTTATTTTCAATGTAGAGAATATTAAGATATTTGAAAATAAATCCATACCAAAACTAAGACAGGAAATAAAAACTAAGAACTCAATTTTTACTCCAATCCTTCGGAAAACTAAGTCACTCTAAGACTCTAAATCTACATCTGCTGGATAGTCATGAAGAAAAGTTATTTCAATTCTTAAGTACATTCCACATGGCAAAAGCAATTTCTTACTATGTCCTAGAAACTGACTCTTTGACAACACATTGGAGGAACCAATAAAATCAGAAATTTATTTATTTATTTATTTATTTATTTATTTATTTATTTAGAGATGGAATCTCACTCTGCCACCCAGGCTGCAGTGCAGTGGCACGATCTCGGCTCACTGCAACCTTTGCCTCCCAGGTTCAAACGATTCTCCTGCCTCAGCCTCCTAAGTAGCTGGGACTACAGGCATGTGCCACCATGCCCAGCTAATTATTTTGTGTATTTTTAGTAGAGATGGGATTTCACCATGTTGGCCAGGCTGGTCTCGAATTCCTGACCTCAAATGATCCATTTGTCTTAGCCTCCCAATGTGCTGGGATTATAGATGTGAGCCAATGTACCTGGCCTAGAGTTTGTTTCTTCCAGAAGTTCATAGTAAGTCCTGACTTTGTCTCCTAATGAACACTGTGGAACTGATTTGAAATATATCCTTTAGGACTCCTGATTGCATTTCCAAACTCCAATTCTGAGAAAATCCAAGTTAAAAAAAAAAAAGTAGAAGACTTCAAGACTTTTTCCTCTAATTCAAGTTTTTTTAAGGGTAAGACTTACATTATCAGGCCAGGCCCAGTGGCTCATGACTGTAATCCCAACACTTTGAGAGGCTGAGGTGGGAGGATCACTGAAGCCCAGAAATTTGAGAACAACCTGGGCAGCACAGCAAGACCTCATCTCTACAAATGACAAAAAAAAAAAAAAAAAAAAAAAAACTAGCTGGGAGTGGTGGTGTACACCTGCAGTCCCAGCTACTTGGGAGGCTGAGGTGGGATGACTTGAGCCTGGGAGGTCGAGGCTGCAGTGAGCCATGATCACACAACTGCACTCCAGCCTGGTTGACAGAGTGAGGCCCCATCTCAAAAAAAAAAACAAAAAAAAGACTTCCATTATTTATCAGAAGATACACTGTAGATTTTAAGTCGAGATTCTTGTATTCCTAAATGTTTATTGAAGAGTTGAGCAGCAGTCCTTTTAGCTGGGCACAGTGGCTTATGCCTGCAATCCTAGAACTTTAGGAGGCCAAGGAGGGTGAATCACCTGAGGTCAGGAGTTCACACCTGTAATCCCAGCGCTTTGGGAGGCTGAGGAGGATGGATCATATGAGGTAAGGAGTTTGAGACCAGCCTGGCCAACATGGTGAAACCCCATCTCTATTAAAAATACAAAAAAATTAGCCAGGCATGGTAGCGCATGCCTGTAGTTCCAGCTACTCCGGAGGCTGAGGCAGGAGAATCGTTTGAACACAGGAGGCAGAGGTTTCAGTGAGCCGAGATCATGCCACTGCACTCCAGCCTGGGGGACAGAGCAAGACTCTGTCTCCAAAAAAAAAAAAAAAGTTTATTTTAGTCTGAAAATAAATTTCAAGATACTATTGTAAAAATCTGAAGGAAATTGCTTTTGTCACAACGCAACAGTTATCTGAGCTGTGGAATACAGAAATTATCTCTCAGCTTTTTACTAGATATCTAGCAAGTAACTTTTAAATTGATAGATGGCAAAGAATAAGACATATCACTAAGCTATGATTGTTAAGTCTCTAAATAGGTTACTTAGAAAAGGCAGCAGCACAGCATGAGGCAAACTTATGTTTCAATCCTGATTCCACTCTTTATCTGGTATGTGTTCTTGAGTTGGTTTTGTAACCTAAACCTTTATCTGTCAAATAAGAAAAATGTAACTAGCTCACTGTATCATCCCAGGATAAATGAGATATAATAGATACAATTTCTAACACAGTGCCTGGCCTTAAGAAGGAGGTTTTTTAAAAAAAAGTATTTTAGGCTGGGCTCAATAGCCCACACCTATAATCCCAGCACTTTGGGAGGCCAAGGCAGGAGAATTGCTTGAGCCCAGGAATTCGAGACCAGCTTGGGCAACATGGCGAAACCCTGTCTCTAACGAAAATACAAAAAACTAGCTGAGCGTGGTGGTGTGCCTGTAGTTCCAGCTACCCAGGAGGCTGAGGTTGGAGGGTCATTTGAGCCCAAGGCTGAAGTGAGCCATGATTGCATAACACTGCATACCAGCCTGGGTAAGAGAGTGAGACCCTGTCTCAAAAAAAATTAAAACAAAAACAAAACCCCGAATGTTTTTTTTACTATAAGATGGTGAACACATGGATTAGGACTGAACTCCCTAAACCTCCTAGAAACAAGGCACTAAATAACTGCCATTATAATTCATTTAAATATTTAATGAGTGACAATAACTATTGTTCCAGAAACCATACTAGCCACAAACAAAAAAACATTTTGGTCTAAGGCACATACCTTCATAGGTCTCAGGAGGTAATAAAATCAACAGTTCATAAAGTCTTTGTCTATAAACCACTGACGGTGTTTTCAAAGGACTTCCATACATTTTTAGTATTGAAGAAAGCCTTAAAATAAAAGAAAAAGTGTATCTTAAGTGGTTAAGTTATATAACAATATACAAAAATTGACAGCTTAATATCTTAACATATAAATTAGCTATGTATTTTATTAACAAACATTAGTGCTGCTTTACTTTTATTTTTTGAGACAGGGTCCAGCTCTGTAGCCCAGACCGGGATGCAGTGGCATGATCTTGGCTCACGGCAACCTCTGTCTTGTGGGCTCAAACGATTCTCCCACCTCAGATTCCTAAGTAGCTGGGAACTACAGGGTTGCACTACCATGCCTGGCTAATTTTATTTTGTATTTTTGGTACAGATGGGTTTCGTCATGTTGCCCAGGCTGGTTTCAAACTCATGGGCTCAAGCAATCCTCTCGCCTCAGCCTCCCAAAGTGCTGGGATTACAGGCCCAAGCCACCACACCTGGCCACAAAATATGATCTTTCTTCACACTCTCTCCTTTCATTTTCATGTACTCTTCTTTATCTTCTGTTCACCTTTCCTACTGGTGTTAAGACATCACTTTACCAATGCTCATTCATTTAACAAACATTTGCTAAAGGACTACTACTGTTTTTGGTTTGTTTGTTTTGTTTTGAGATGGAGTCTCACTCTGTTACCCAGGTTGGAGTGGTAGTGGTATGATCTCGGCTCACTGCAACCTCCGCCTCCCGAGTTTAAGCAATTCTTCTGCCTTAGCCTCCCCAATAGCTGGGACTACAGGTGCGCACCACCATGCCCGGCTAATTTTTGTATTATTGGTAGAGACGGGGTTTTACCATATTGGCCAGGGTGGTCTTGGACTCCTGACCTCGTGATCCACCCACCTCAGCCTCCCAAAGTGCTGGGATTACAGGTGTGAGCCACTGCACCCGGCCAGGACTACTACTTTTAACAAGGTATATTATCAACTAGAGTATGGTTTTCATCCTTAGCAATACAGAAGTTTAATGAAATTACTTTTATTATGTCACTAGAATAAATCTGCTAAACTGTTATGGCATGAGGTTTCCTGGTTCTCTAAGAAATTCTGGCAATGTTGAGTCATTTGTACTTTCTTTTTTGTTTTGTTATTTTGCTTTCCGAGATGGAGTCTTGCTCTATTGCCCAGGCTGGAGTGCAGTGACGCGATCTTGGCTCACTGCAACCTCCGCCTCCTGGGTTCAAGTCATTTTCCTGCCTCAGCCTACTGACTAGCTGGGACTACAGGCACGTGCCACCACGCCTGGCTAATTTTTTGTATTTTTAGTAGAGATGGGGTTTCACCATGTTAGCCAGGATGGTCTCGATCTCCTGACCTCGTGATGCACCCACCTCGGCCTCCCAAAGTGCTGGGATACAGGCATGAGCCACCATGCCCAGCGTGTACTTTTTTTGTTGTTGTTGTCGAGACAGGGTCTTGCTCTGTCGCCCAGGCTGGATTGTAGTGGCGTGATCTCAGCTCACTGCAGCCTCAATCTCCTGGGCTCAAGTGATCCTCTCACCTTAGCCTCCCAAGCAGCTGGGACCACAGGTGTGGGCCATCATGTCTGGCTAATTTTTGTATTTTTTGTAGAGATGGGGTTTCACCATGTTGCCCAGGCTGGTCTGAAACTCCTGAGCTCAAGTAATCCACCCATCTCGGCCTCCTCAAGTGTGGGGATTACAGGCATGAGCCACCATGCCTGGCCAACTGTACTTTCTAGAAAACTAATGCTTGCTATTTCTAGTCTCTAGAAGAAAGGAGAGTTATCTATTGACTTATCACTGAATATTTTAAAATGTTGTTTCCATTTAGTATCTTTCAGCTTGGTAAATACTACTTAGCAAACATAATTGTAACACCTGGGTAAGGCCAGGCATGGTGGCTCACACCTGTAATTCCAGCACTTTGGGAGGCTGAGGCCAGATGATCGCTTGAGCCCACGAGTTTGAGGATATGGTGAGCTATGACTGCGCCACTGCACTCAATCCCGGGCGACAGACTGAAATAGTGTCTCAAAACAAAAACAAAAACCTCTGTTTCAGTAGAATTTTTTAGTTACCAAATTTAAGAATAAATCTACTGCACTTTTATATTTCTCTAAGGCCAGATTAGAAATAAATAGCTAACACACAAAAAGTCTTTCAATCATATTCACAAGATGTTAGGAAATTATATTTCTAAAAATCCTGCAACGTTCACTTATTTTAACTATAATAAAATTTAGTTCAGAGAAGTGTATGTACATTTTTTAAAAAAAGATGAATAAAACAAAGTAAGAATTTAGAAAAGCATTTTTATTGGTTTCTGCGTTCATTAGGAGGGCAGATTATAGTCCCTGCAGGGCCTTCCTGCTACTTACTTAGGTAAGTATAAATTAAGTATAAATAAATCTTTTATCAGGATAAAAGATAATTTGCATTGTTAGACTTACAGAAAGAGACTTTTCTGAGGCCAACCAGCCCCTATGCCAATAAAAGCAAGCAAACATACATTTAAAAAAATGAAACAAGACATAAGCTGAAACTAGAGTAGGAACATAAATATCAATACCAACACAAGGATCTGAGACTAGGCTTGCACCCATGGTAGGGGTGTAAAACCCATTCATTTTAAGAAACTTTCACCAAACCAAACTAGGAATAGGAGGTTACTCTCTTAATCTGATAGAGTATCTACTAAAAAAGCTGGAGCAAACACCATCCTATCAGTAAAACATGAAAAGCATTCCCTTTAACCCTATTTAGTTTCAAATGGCAGTTATCTAATAAAGTTAGCACATAAGGAAGAGAGAAACAATATTGTAAAAGGAAAAATCCAGATGAATCTACAAATAAATGTTTCATAGGACAAAATTCAGTAAGGTGGTCAGATACAAAATCAAATACATTTTTATACGGCAGCAATAAACAGACTATATACACTATATACCCATTTATTTAATAATCACAACAAAAATACAAAGAACCTCGGAGTAAATTTTTTAAAAAGACTTATAAGACCTTTATTTAGAAAACAATTTAAACTTTGTAAAATACCTCAATAATAGTAAAGAGGTATCATGTTCAGAGGTATTATAAAACTATGAATTATCTTCAAATTTATCCACAGATTCAATGCAATCTCAAATAAAATTTATCTTATTTATTTATTTATTTTTTGAGATGGAGTCTCACTCTGTTACCCAGGCTGGAGTGCAGTGGCGTGATCTTGACTCACTATGACCTCTGTCTCCTCGTTTCAGACTATTCTCCTGCCTCCACCTCCTGAGTAGCTGGGATTACAGCCATGTGCCACCACTATGCCCAGCTAATTTTTTTTTTTTTTTTTTTTTTTTTTTTTAGTACAGACGGGGTCTCACCATGTTGGCCAGGCTGGTCTTGAACTTCTGACCTCAAATGATCTACCCACCTCAGCCTCCCAAAATGATAGGATTATAGCATGAGCCACTGTGCCCAGCCCCAAATAAAATTTCAATAGAAGATCAAAAGTGCATGAAGGGCCAAAATATGTCTAAAGAGGAGTAACGTCAAAAGGCTTAATCTAACATACAAAATTTATTATAAAGATAACGTGTTGGCATATAAATAAACACACCAATAGAGAGCACAGGCATAGATCATGCATAAATGAGAATATAATACATGACAGAAGTGAATGGCAATCATTGAAGGAAGTATGGATTTTTTTAGTAACGTATGGGACAGTTTGTTATCCATATTTAAAAACAAAACGAAACTGAATCCTGCTATGGGGTCTGAATGTGTCCTCCAAAATTCATGTATTAGAAACTTAATCCCCAATGCAGTACTGCTGGGAGGTAGGGCCTTTTGGTAGGTGTTCAGGTCGTGAAGGCAAAGCCCTCACAAATGGATTAATGTCATTATAAAAGGGCTTCACGGAGGGAGTTTGGCCCTTTTTTTTTGCCCTTCTATCCCTTTGCCAGATGAAGAAGGCACAGAGTTCCTCCCCTCTAGAGAATGTAGCAACAAGGTGCCATCTTGGAGGTAAACAGCAGGCTCTCATCAGACACCCAATCTGCTGGTGTCTTGATCTTAGACTCCTGCCTCCAGAACTGTTAGAAATAAGTGCCCGTTTTTTAATAAATTATCCAGCCTCAGGTATTTTGTGATAGCAGCATAGCAGCACAAATGGACTAAGACAGATCCCTAGCTCACTCCAAATAGAAAAATCGGTTCCAGATGACTTAAATATGAAAGATAAACCTTCAAACACTTCAGAGAGAAATATAAGAAAATATAACTTTGCAGTAAGGAAGACTTCTTTTTTTTTGGAACTGGGGTCTCACTCTGTCATCCAGGCTGGAGAGCAGTGGCGCAATCAAGACTATAGCCTTGAATTGAGGTGCTCAAGCAATCATTCCCGCCTCAGCCTCCTGTGTAGCTAGGACTACTAGTGAGCATCAGTACATCTGACTCTATTTATTTATTTATTTATTTATTTATTTATTTATTTATTTATTTTGGTAGAGATGAGACCTCACTATGTTGCTCAGGCTGGTCTCAAATCCCTGACCTCAAGCAATCCTCTCACCTCAGCCTCCCAAAGCACTAGGATTACAGGCATGAGCCACTGCCCCAGCCAGGAAGAATTTTTAAACAAAAAGAAAAAAAGTACTAACCAAAGAGTAAAAGATTAATACATTTGACATTTAAATAATAAATGTTTATTAATAAAAAACTAGAAGACATTTTTAATATTTTAATGAACAGCTAAAGAATAGTCTCAGAAATATGTAGGCCAGGCATGGTGACTCACAAGATAATCTAAGCACTTTGGGAGGCTGAGGCAGGAACATCGCTTGAGCCTGGAAATTTGAGACCAGTCTAGGCAACATAGTGAGGCCCTGTGTCTACAAAAAAGTAAAAAATTAGCTGGGTGTGGTGGTGCACACCTATAGTTCCAGTTACTTGGGAGGCTTACGTGGGAGGATCACTTAAGCCTGGGAGGATCACTTAAGCCTGGGAGCCTGGGGCTGCAGTGAACCATGTTCACGCCACTGCACTCCAGCCTAGGTGACAGAGTGAGACCCTGTCTCACAAACAAGAAAAAAGGCTGAGCGTGATGGCTCATGCTTGTAATCCCAGCACTTTGGGAGGCTGAGGCCGGCAGATCACTTGAGGCCTGAAGTTCAAAACCAGCCTGGCCAACATGGCAAAATCCTGTCTCTATGAAAAACACAAAAATTAGCCAGGCATAGTGGTGCATGCCTATAATCCCTTACTGGGGAGACCGAAGCAGGAGAATAATTTGAAACCAGGAGGTGGAGATTGCAGTGAGTGGAGATCACACAAATGCACTCCAGCCTGGGCAACAGAGCAAAACTGTCTCAAAAAAAAAAAAAAAAAAAAAAAAAAAACCCAAAAATGGCCTGACGCAGTGGCTCATGCCTGTAATCCCAGCAATTTGGGAGGCCGAGGTGGGTTTATCACCTGAGGTCAGGAGTTTGAGACCAGCCTGGTCAACATGGTGAAACTCCATCTCTATTAAAAACACAAAAATTAGCTGGGTATGGTGGTGCATGCCTGTAATCCCAGCTACTCAGGAAGCTGAGGCAGAAGAATCTCTTGAACGGGGACCCGGGAGACGGAGGTTGCTGTGACCGGAGATCGCGCCACTGCACTCCAGCCTGGGTGACAGTGTAAGACTCTATCTCAAAAAAAAAAAAAGGCCAGGCATGGTGGCTCATGCCTATAATCCTAGCACTTTGGGAGGCCGAGACAGGCGGATAACGGTCAGGAGATCGAGACCATCCTGGCTAACACGGTGAAACCCCATCTCTATTAAAAATACAAAAAATTAGCCAGGCATGGTGGTGGGCGCTTGTAGTCCCAGCTACTCGGGAGGCTGAGGCAGGAGAATGGTGTGAACCCGGGAGGCGGAGGTTGCAGTGAGCCGAGATTGTACCACTGCACTCCAGCCTGGGTGACAGAGCGAGACTACGTCTCAAAAAAAAAAAAGGAAGAATTTCTTATAAATCAATAACAAAAAGACAACCTAAAAGAAAAATAGGTTAAAGATATGAATGAATAGGCATTTTATAGCATGGGGAAGGGAAATATTGAGAAAAAACAAACATATAAAATTATACTTAAACCGTCAGGAAACCGATATACAATTAAAACCATAATGAGATACCATTTTTTACCTATTGGATGGGGTAGAATTGATAACTGAGTAAGTGTTGGTGAAAAAGTGGGTCAAAGGATACTTACACTATTGGTAGAAATACAGAAGAACACTGAAAAATAATTTGGTTTATTTTCTGAAGTTGAACATAAAAATACGTTTTAGCATAGCAATTTCACTACTAGGTACATACCCTAGAGACTTAAACAGCTTGAGTACAAATGGTCACATTATTACCATAAGCTTTAAAAGCAGAAAATTGGAAACAACCCAGAAGTCCATTGACAAGAGAATCAATATGTTGTTGTATATTCACACAATTAAATATTATACAGCAACGAAAATGAATGAACTTAAAACATAGGTAAAACTTAGAAACATAATGTTGAATAACAAAAGCAAGCCCCAGAAACAGGACAGTAATTTTTGCCTGATCAAAACCAAACAAACCTAAACAATGTACTATTTTAAGAAACAAAAATATGTGATACACTTTTTTAAAAGGCAAGGAAATGACAACTATAAAATTCAGATTAGTGGTTGCTTCTAAAGGAAGGCACAAAGAATGGTGCTGGAGAGGGGCACACAGACACCTTCAATAGTATCATTAATGCTCTAGTCCAGTGGTAGCCAAATTATGACCCACTGCCTGTTTTTGTAAATAAAGTTATATTGGAACACAGCCACATTCATTCATTCATTCATTCATTCACCTATTATCCGTGACTGCTTTTGAGCTACGATGAGAGAGTTGAGTAGCTGCAACATAGACTTCATAGTCTGTATATCCTAAAGTATTTACTATCTGGTCCTTCAGAAGAAACAGTCACAAACCTTTGCTCAGGCTGTGTTGGATTCACAAGTGCACATTTTATTATTATACCTTATAAGCCATATCTTAAATGTATTTTCTGTATATATAAAGTGTTAATCATTAGATGCTGTTTTCAAAGAACTTTCACATGTTTTATTAATTTGGAAATTACAAGTGCTCACATTATATACTGGCTTTTCTCTATATGTTCTAATCATATACGTATAACTCAAACTTATGAAAAATATAAACAAACAAAAAACTGAAACTGTTAGAAGCATCTGGTTCTCACGAACACAGAATACTCTAACAAACCAATAAAATGCATAGCTGAAAAGGTTAAGAGGCTTAATAGTTAATTTCTTGTTAAATCTGCCTGTATGTAAGGTAGATTATTCCCCTAAAATTTTCCTTCCCTTTTAATATGTAATTTCTTTCAAGATCCTAGCCTAAAAAAAAATCATATAACTAACTGATTGCCTTCCTCCATAAAATCATTCACCAACTACAGAAATTTGCCTTATTAATGTACTTAAGGAATATTACATAATCAGAGGGCAACTATCAAATCTAAACAGTCGATGCTTACTGAGTTAGCAAATCCACAGCACAAGGAAGTGGTGGAAGAAGACGCTGAGTTACTTCCTCAGTAAGAAGATCACCACAGTGGGAAACAAAGCTCTTGATAGCTGAAAAGGAAAACAGACTTTTACTTGGGCATACTGTAATCAACCATGAAAGGCACATTTGATTATGGTACAACATTAGCATTGTTATTAGAGTAATAAAGCAATTTGCTAAAATAAAAAAATTCTTGAAACTCTAGTATAAAAAGGTATATAGTGCTTTCTACTCCTAATCATACTTAAAAAAACAACAACAACTCTCTAGGAGTACTAAGACGGAGCAATAACCATATTCACAAAATGCTGCTGTTCTAGGGTTTTACTTTTACTCAGCCCTCAAGCTTAGAAGCAAAAAAAAAAAAAAAAACCAGCTTAGACTCTCAAGTTTGCCAGCTCTACAACTAGTTCCGTGGAATCACACTGACTTTCAAGTCAGCATGTTAGGTTTTTACAGATGTTATCTGAAACAAATAGTGTGTGCTACCACCCCTGGATAATTTTTGTATTTTTAGAAGAGAAGGGGTTTCACCATGTTGGCCAGGCTTGGTCTCGAAGTCCTGGCCTCAAGTGATTGATCTGTCTGCCTGGGCCTCCCAAAGTGCTAGGATTATAGGATTGAGACATGGTGTCTGGAATAAATAACTTTCTATAATGAATTACTTTGTATGTAGAATAAGATGAGTATTTTAAAGTCAGACTGGGCCAGGCGCAGTGGCTCACACCCGTAATCCCAGCACTTTGGGAGGCTGAGGAGGGCAGATCACCTGAAGTTGGGAGTTTGAGACCTGCCTGACCAACATGGAGAACCCCATCTCTACTAAAAATACAAAATTAGCTGAGCATGGTGGCGCATGCCTGTAATCCCAGCTACTCAGGAGGCTGAGACAGGAGAATCACTTGAACCCGGAAGGCAGAGGTTGTGGTGAGCCAAGATCATGCCATTGCACTCCAGCCTGGGCAACAAGAGTGAAACTCCGTCTCAAAAACAAAAAAACAAAGTCAGACTGATCAATTCTTTTCTCTCTTTCGCTCTCTCTCTCCCTCTCTCTCTCTCTCCCTCCCTCCCTCCCTCCTTCCCTCCCGACCCCACCTCCCACACCCCTGGACCCTTTGAGACAGAATCTCACTGTTACCCAGGCTGGAATACAGTGGTGCAACCACAACTCAATGAAGCCTCCACCTCCCACGCTCAGGTAATCCTCCCACCCCAGACTACAGGCATGCACCACCATGTCTGGCTAATTTTTGTATTTTTTGTAGAGAGAGCAGTTCACCATGTTGTCCAGGCTGGTCTTGAACTCCTGAGCTCAAGCAATCCACTCATCTCGGCCTCCAAAAATGCTGGGATTGGCCACTGAGCCTGGCCAAAATCAATTTCAAAAGTGGTTTTTCTTTAACAGTAAAAATGCCATGAATAAACAAAACCAAAATCAATGCTTCCATGTCTTTCCAGGGATCTCACCCTTCATGGTGAAACATTACTTTTTTTTTTTTTTTCTGAGATGGAGTTTCACTCTTGTTGTCCAGGCTGGAGTGCAATGGCGCATTCTCAACTCACTATAACCTCTGCCTCTCGGGTTCAAACGATTCTCCTGTCTTAGCCTCCCAAGTAGCTAGGATTACAAGCGCCCACCACCACATCTGGCTAATTTTTTTGTATTTTTAGTAGAGATGGGGTTTCACCATGTTGTCTGGGCTGGTCTCAAACTCCTGACCTCAGGTGATCCACCCACCTCAGCCTCCCAAAGTGCTGAGATTACAAGCGTGAGCCACAGCACCTGGCTGAAACATTACTTTTAACAGTCTACATATTGTAGAAGGTACAACTTTCATATACAGGTGACCCTTGAACAACACAAATGTGAACTTCAAGGGTCTCTTCATACATAGGTTTTTTTCAACAGATGCCACACCGAGTGTGCCTACCTCTCCTGCCTCCCCTTCCACCTGCTCCACCTCTTCTGCATCTGCCCCCAGTGAGAGAAGTAGATCAACCCCTACTCTGCCTTCTCAACATAAAGATGATGAGGATGAAGACCTTTATGATGATCTACTTCTGTGTAATGAATAGTAAATATATTTTCTCTTCCTTATGATTTTCTTAATAACACTTTTTCTTTTCTCTAGCTTACTCCAAGAATACAGTATATAATATATACAACATACAAAATATGTGGGGCTGGGTGTGGTGACTCACGCCTGTAATCCCAACACTTTGGGAGGCTGAGGTGGGAGGACTGCTTGAGGTCAGGGGTTCGAGACCAGCCTGGGCAGCATAGTGAGACTCCATCTCTACAAAAAATTTAAAAATTAGCTGGGCATGGTGGCATGCACCTGTGGTCTCAGCTACTTGGGAGGCTGACGTGAGAGGATCACTAGCCCAGCAGGCCAAGACTGCAGTGAGCTGTGTTCACACCACAACATTCTAGCCTGGGCAACAGTGAGACCCTATCTCAAAAAAAAAAAAAAAAAAAAAGTGGTAATTGACCATTTATGTTATCAGTAAGGCTTCTGGTCAACAGTAGGATATTAGATACATTTTTGGGGAGTTAAAAGCTAGACACAGATTTTTGACTTCGAGGCGCATTGGCATCCCTAACCTCCATGCTGTTCAAGGGTCAACTGTATAGGCTAAATGGAAACGATTCTTAATGGTAATTAAACCAAACCTTAGTATTTCTGAAAAGAGGAATGAATGCTCACCTAAGACAAAACAATGTTGGCAGTTTTAACTGGATTGGACCTAATAAAACATGTATCTTAAGAACTCTCAAATCTGGTTTATTATAACATACACCAGTTATCATTACCAACTAATCGGTTATAATTTTTTTGTTCAGTTACAAAAAAAAATCATTAGTGGCATATCCCCCTGCCTCGTGTTAAATAAAACATACAAGTACATGTTAAAGACAAAGGGTGGGTAAAAAGCCAAAGGAAAGGGAGAGAAAAGACTAAATCCAACCTACCACACAGTGCACCAGCTCGTCCTTCCAGGGTCACCTGCCATGTAAACGAATCTCCTCGGCTCTTTTCTGTTTCTAGATCTTTAGGAGATGCTGGAAAGACACACTTCCACAACAGCAGAACTCGAGCAAGGTGATGGCTAACAACTGCAGGACCTGTAATTTATTCAACTTGTCACTTGTAAGAGAATCCAAGGTTGTCACTCTTTAAAACTCTATTATTAAGCAGCAACTTCTCTCCTAAACATTTTAATTCATTATTGCAACATTTTGTCCCCTTTCTTATCTTCAGGTTCCAAATTATTACTGAATGAATTATTATCTGAAGGTGCTGGAGTACAGAGAGGAAAAACAAAGAACTAATGGTACAGGCTGGGCTCTAGTATCAGCTCCTCCACTACTGCTATGTGCTCTTTGAGACTCAGTTTCGTCTACATATTAAATGAAGCTAAAGCCCCCTGTAATGCTTGTCTTTAAGGGCTTGTCAGGTCCAAATGATAGAATGCACTTTAAAGTACTCTGAAAAGCTGTAATGGACCACATAAATGCAAAGTACAATTATTATAGTAACAAACAACATTGCATGCTTTTTGAGACAGGTTCTTTCTCTGTCCCCCAGGCTGGAGTTTAGTAGTGCAGTGGCATGATCACAGCTCACTGCAATCTCAATCTCAACCCCCCTGAGCTTAAGTGATCCTTCCAGCTCAGCCTCCTGAGTAGCTGGGATTACAGGTACATGCCACCACGCCCAGCTAATTTTTGTATTTTTTGGTAGAGATGGGGTCTCGCCATGTTTCCCAGGCAGGTCTGAACTCCTGGGCTCAAGCAATCCACCCACTTCAGCCTCCCAAAGTGCTGGAATTACAGATGTGAGCCATCTGTATTCTTGATCTTCAGAATAATGCTAACTTCTGATAGCAACTTGTTCCAGGTCAATAATCAGATACAAAATGTCTGAATAGAATACTTTTTGTTAAAAAAAGGTTTCAGAGCAACATTTATGAATTGAAGGAATCATGACACAAACCCAATAATAATACAAAACAATGTACAATGATAACATTATCAATTTTTTAAAAACCCAAACCCATAGCTTTTCTCCCCAGGTACTTTTCTTTAAATTTCTGGAGTTACTTTAAACTTCTCCAGTAAGCGCTCTCTACTTCTTACTCCCACATTCTGCTGACTGTATGTCTTTCTTCTGTTCCAAACCCATAGCTCAGAACTGCATTTGGCTTTGGAGGGAGACTGCCTAGATTAATATCCTGGCTTCATCCACTTATTAGTTGTGTAAACCTGGATGAGTTATTTAACCTTTTTCTGCCTCAATTTCTTCATCCATAAATGGGGAGAATAATAGTATTTTATTCAAAGGACAGTTTCTGAGGCGTATATGAGTTTATACACAGAAGAGTGCTTAAAGCTGGGCACAGTGGGTCATGCCTGTAATCCCAGCACTTTGAGAGGCCGAGGCTGAAGGATTGCTTGAGGCCAGGCATTTGAGACCAGCCAGGTCAACACACCGAAATCTTTCTACAAAAAAGTAAAAAGTTAGTTGGGTGTGGTAGCACATGTCTATAGTCCCAGCTACTTGGGAGGCTGATGCAGGAGGATCATTTGAGCCCAAGAGATCAAGGCTGCAGCAAGCTATGGTCTGACTGCCACTGCAACAGAACAAGATCCTTTCTTTAAATAAATAAATAACAATAATTATAATGTATCTAGCAAACACAACACACATACACGCACACTTTATGAGCCATCCACAGAAAGACAAGATATGGAGGAATCTGGAGATAAATCCAAGTTTTTTCATATGGCATCAGATAAACTGGGAAGTGTATCAAAAAAGGTTTAAGTGTGTAGCTTACATTCAAGGAATGAACATGTTTTGTGTTTACATTAGTTCATAGTGAAATAATGAAGAAAATTATAAATGGTAAAGGGAATGAAAAAAACAGAGAAGACATGTTTAAAATGCAAAGCAAAAATTAACAAAGCACTAAGATTGCTGTCTAAAAATCATTCCCAGCTGGGCACTGTGGCCCATGCCTGTAATTCAAGCACTTTGGAAGGGCAAGACAGGAGGATCACTTGAGCTCTGGAGTTCAAGATCAGCTGGGGAAACAGCAAGATCCCATCTCTACAAAAAAAATTTAAAAATTAGCTGAGTGTAGTGGTGTAAACCTATAGTCCTAGCTACTCATGAGGCCGAGGCAGGAGGACTGCTTGAGCCTGGCATTCAAGGCTGCAGTGAGCTATGATGGTGCCACTGTACTCCAGCCTGGGTAACATGGTGAGACCCTGTCTCTTAAAAAAAAAAAAAAAAAAAAAAATTCCATTTCCTACAAAAGGAATCAAGGCTCCTTGGAGAAACGGCTGATGGCAAGCCTAAGGCAGAAAATGTAGTGTAAAACCTGGGACATCTTGCATGCAAAAACACATTATCAAAGAATACTAGGTTCACGTTAAAAGGACAAATGAACCAACTTGAAGGGACTCCCAATGACCAAAGATGAGACAATTTGAGGATCGAAAGGAATAATGATCGCAAGTGATTAAAACATATAAATATATAAAATTCCATGAGCTCATAATGATACCTAAAAAAAAAACCTCACTGGTCCCCCCTGAAAGTTGCTATGATACTAACGCACTCTAAAAATTGATAATAGCCTGGGTGCAGTGGCTCACTCCTGTAGTCCCAGAACTTTGGGAGGTCAAGGAAGGCAGATTGCTTAAGTCCAGGAGTAACCTGCTTGAGTCCAGGAGTTTAAGACCAACCTGGGCAACATGACAAAACCCCATCTTTACAAAAAATTAGCCAGGCAGGGTGGTGCACACAGTCCCAGCTACTCAAGAGGCTGAGGCAGGTGGATCACCCGAGCCTGCGGAGGTCGAGGCTGCAGTGAATCATGATCGTACCACTGCACTCCAGCCTGGGTGACAGAGTGAGACCCTGTCTCAAAAAATAAATAAGCAAATGAATAAGAATAAAAATAGATAATAAAGGGAAAGAATAGTTAAGAAAAATGAATAAAACCCAAGAAAACAAAGTAATTAAACAAAACCTTAATTAAAACTTTTAATCCCTTTTTGTATGCTGATTATGCATATGCCGTAAAATATGATGTACAGGAGAAAGGACTTCTTGTTGTCTTCCTCCAACACAATTAGCTTGTTTTAAAAGCTCTTGTTTATCAAAATGCATTTATTAGGTAGTTTATTTCCTCCTTAATTCACCAGGAACTTCAATACGGCAGGCATGAACACCCAGCAATAAGCAAATAAAAGCTTGACTACATTATTCCCAGCACACTGTGAAATGATGATCTATGCTTTGGTCTAACAAACACTTTCTGTAAAGGGGCAGATAGTAAACATTTGAGGCTTTGAGAGCCACATACTTCCTGTTGCAATTACTCAACTCTGCCACTGTACACCTAAAGGTCACAGACAATCCACAAACAAGTGTGGTTGTACACAAATAAAACTATGAATGCTGAAATGTGACTTTCACATGATTCTCATGTATTACAAAATATCTTTTTTCCCCAACCACTAATAAATATAAAAACTGTTCTTAGCTCACAGGCTGTATAATAAATATTGGTAGTAGGCCAAATTTGGCTCCTTGAAGCTAAACTTGATCTAGTCCAATAAATCTCTTTAATCATCTTAAGAACACTACTTGGCCAGGTGCGGTGGCTCACGCCTGTAATCCCAGCGCTTTGGGAGGCCGAGGCAGGTGGATCACGAAGTCAGCACATCGAGGCCATCCTGGCTAACATGGTGAAACCCCGTCTCTACTAAAAAATACAAAAAATTAGCCAGGTGTGGTGGTGGGCGCCTGTAGTCCCAGCTACTCGGGAGGCTGAGGCAGGAGAATGGCATGAACCCAGGAGGTAGAGCTTGCAGTGAGCCGAGATCGCGCCACTGCACTCCAGCCTGGGTGACAAAGTGAGACTCCACCTCAAAAAAAAACAAACAAAAAAAAAAAACACTACTTAAAGTAGTTCTTCATTTATGATTGTTTATTCTAATTTAAGCTCCTTTAGGTCAAATTACTTTATAGGTGTCAAAATGATTTATCGGCCAAATCAGGTCAGTTGCTTTATTTTATTATTATTTTTTATTTTTATTTTTTGAGACGGAGTCTTGTTCTGTCACCCAGGCTGGAGTGCAGTGGCATGATCTCAGCTCACTGCAACCTCTGCCTCCTGGGTTCAAGCAATTCTCCTGCCTCAGCCTCCCCTGTAGCTGGGACTACAGGCACATGCCACCATGTCTGGCTAATTTTTGTATTTTTTTTAGTAGAAGCAAGATTTCACCGTGTTGTTGGCCAGGCTGGTCTTGAACTCCTGACCTCAGATGATCCGCCCGCCTAGGCCTCCCAAAGTGCTAGGATTACGGCGTGAGCCACTGCGCCCGAACTATTCATTTTTTGTTTTATTTTGAGAGGGAGTCTTGCTCTGTCACCCAAGCTGGAGTGCAGTGGTGCAATCTCACTTCACTGCAACCTCCACCTCCTGGGTTCAAGCAATTCTCCTGCCTCAGCTTCCCGAGTAGCTGGGACTACAGGCATGCACCACCATGCCCGGCTAATTTTTGTATTTTAGTAGAGATGGGGTTTCACCTTGTTGGCCAGGCTGATCTTGAACTCCTGACCTCAAGTGATCCACCCGCCTCAGCCTCCCAAAGTGCGGGGATTACAAGCGTGAGCCACCATGCCCAGCCTCAGCCAGTTGTTTTATATCTAGCTATAACTTGTATGACAACAGAGACTTAAAATATAGGTGTGATAGAGTAATAAAATTAAGTTTCATTAGCACCATAAGACTGGGCAAAAAATAAATAAATAAAGTTTTCAGTGGCTCATGCTTATAATGCCAACACTTTGGGAGGCCAAGGCGGAAGGACTGCTTGAGCCCACAAGTTCGAGACGAGCCTGGGCAACATAGTGAGACCCCATCTCTACAAAAAAAATTTTTTTAAATTAGCCAGGCATGATGTTGCATGCCTATGGTCCCAGCTACTTGGGAGGCTTAGGTAGGAGGATCACTTGGGCCCAGGAGGTCAAGGCTGCAGTGAGCCATGATCATGCCACTGCACTCCAGCTCGTGTGACAGAGTGAGACCCTGTCTCAAAAATTTAGAGGATATAAATAGTCATGACTGTAAAACAATTACTGTTTTTTAATAAATATAATTTAAGTAAAATTCATCCCCTTCAATGTAGCAACCTTATTGGCTGTTATGAATCCTCAAACAATTATAGAACTGGATTCCCAAGCTATGGGTATGTTCTTTTGCCTATATTGTGGAAATGTTTTTTTCTGAAGATGGATGTCAATGATTTTTGAAAAAGCCACAGTTGTTCAGAGTTAAGCCTGAAAGATGATTAGTAACTCGGCTTATCCTACTTGAGGCTTATCATCTAGCCCGGAAGAGAAAATCAAGAGAGATCTCAAAAGGTTTTAAGCAATGACGAAAGTAAAAGGCTTTTTAAGGTGACTACTACAAGAAAAATGTTTGTGTGGCTATTTAAATTCTGGTATGTATTAAAAGTTCATTTCATCAAATCACATATAAGAATCATTTCACTCAGAAAACACAAAGTATTTCAAGGTATGTAAACCTTCTACAGACTGTTACCTAATGTCATCAGAGCAGAAATCAGCAACCATCCAGCTTGTGTGCGCTGAGCTGAAAGGCGACTGTTTTGAGCAGCAGAACACAGCAAATCCTCTGCTAATGTCATAATAATCTATTTACATATAGAACAAGTTTTAAAAAAAGCATATCAGTTTATAAATTACTAAATGATAGCAGCTAACAATATCTTGAAAAATTAATTCTTACATAAAATAAATGTAAACGATAAAGAACTGTCATTCGTGTAGACTACATAATAGGACTGTCATAAAGGAAACTATAAAAAATTAAGTTTTCAAGGTTAAATACTGGTATATGAGGTAGTACACAACAATCCCATAATTTTTTGTAGAACACATGTGACAACAATGTAAGATTATTCAAGTATAGCTGTATAGAATTTGAATTTACTTTTAGTTTTGAGCAACTATCCTTTTAAATCCATAATTATCCAAAAAAAGTTTTCTTACAGGAGTCTCTCTCTTAAAAATGCTACATACAGCCAGGTGCGGTGGCTCACGCCTGTAATCCCAGCACTTTGGGAGGCTGAGGCGGGTGGATCACAAAGTCAGGAGATCGAGACCATCCTGGCTAGCACAGTGAAACCCCATCTCTACTAAAAATACAAAAAATTAGCCGGGCGTGGTGGCACATGCCTGTAGTCCCAGCTACTCGGGAGGCTGAGGCAGAAGAATCGCTTGAACCCAGGAGGCAGAGGTTGTAGTGAGCTGAGATTATGCCACTGAAACTCCAGCCTGGGCAACAGAGTGAGACTCAGTCTCAACAACAAAAAAAAGCTACATACTACTTTTGTAACTCAGTAGCTGATAATAGTCTTCCAAGAGGTAGTATACTATAGTGGTTAGAGGTAGTCAAAATAGTCTCATACTGAAGAGTGAAATTTATTAAAATGTTATAGTAAAAAAGTCTATGAGGCTGGGCACAGTGGCTCATGCCTGTAATCCCAACGACTCAGAAGGCCAAGGTGGGAGGACCAATTGAGGCCAGAAATTCAAGACCAGCCTAGGAGTGAGCTAGGATCACACCACTGCATTGCAGCCTGGGCAATAAAGAAAGACCATGTCTCCTTGGAAAAAAAAAAAAAAAAAAAAAAAGGACCAGCCTGGGCAACAGAGTGAGATCCTATCTTCACAAAAAAATAAAAAGAATTAGCCAGGCAATGGAATTACGTGCCTGTAGTTTCAGCCACTTGGGAGGCTGAGACGGGAAGATTGCTTGAGCCCTGGCATTTGAGGCTGCAGTGATCTATGATCTCGCCACTGCACTCTGGCCTAGGTGACAAAGCAAGACCCTGTTTCAAAAAAAGGGGTCCATGTTATAAAACAACAGAGAAGAAAAACAGGACATTTCACATTTATGGATAATGTATGCTTACACAGTACAAGGCCAGAGAGCATCTAATATGAGAAAACACCTATTACCAATCACCTCTGAAAAAGCAGGAAGTATTATGAGTTGGCATATAAATTTTCTAAAGAAGAAGGCTAGTGTATTTTAAACCAACCAACCAACTTACTACTAATTTAGGACTCCCTGCAGCTCATACAGTCAATGGATAGCACTCAAAAAGAGTGAGGACAAAACAAACCATTCTAGTCAAATCAGAACAAGTGGATAATTCTCTCGGAAAGAAATTCCAAATATAATATGGGAATGGGAACCTTGTCTGAATTAATGAGATATGAGAATAGGTTTAATTAAATACATTGAATGACAAGTCTTTGCTTAGCAAGATGTGATGTGTTAAGAATATAACTAAAATAATAAATTTAAATAATCTCATCTTCCAAAGTTGTCACCTACCTTATTTCAGTGGCATTGGCAATACTCAAAATATTTTTGGAATTGTTCAAGTTATGGAATGGTCTTCTGCAGAGCCTACACTATGGTGGATATACTATCAAACTCCATAATGACACAGGAGTGGCAATGAGAAAGAAAGGAATAATGGTGTATTTTTTTAAATATATTTACGAGTTTGTGAGAAGTATGGGTTAGAAGGGCTTTCACTGTCAAATAATGTTCTCTGACAACTTACAATTCCTAGCTATTAAAAAAGAAACAAAATTCAAACACCTTGCTTGCCTATGTTGTATTATCTAGGTTTCATTAAAATTTTTCTTTAGTTCTCTTCAAAATTCTTTGTACATTAAAACTGGGTTATTTATTCACTAGGTTTGTGTCATTTATTTGTCTGATTCTAAATTTACTCAGAAAATGACATTTTTTGGTAGCAATACAATTTGGAGAAGTTGAATATCATTATGAACTCATGAAATTTTATATATTATCTAGTATGTTTTAATTCACTGTAGTCATTATTAATTTTGATGTATAAATCATGCCATCTTTGATCAGTGGGAGCCCCTTAAGTTACCTCTTTTTAAAATGAACATAGTATTCCTTGATGACTTCCTTACTTTCTGGCATGACAAGATATCCCAAGTTTATGTTGTGCATTTCCTGCCCCAGACCTGAAACTAGCCATTGCTCCATAGAGTCCTGATTCCTTTTTGGTTGGAAACAGTATTTAGAGCTATAATCTGGGCACTAGGGGTATCCCTGACACTGGGTTATCATTGCTTTTAGGCCTTTTCACTGTACAAAAGGAGGATGTAAGTATTTTCAAAAAAATAAAATGAGTTCATACTGACAATTTCAATTTGAATCTAACGTATGGGACTTTTACTTAACTTCAATTCTACAGTTTTAGTTCTTTCTACTTATATTGAAAACCTTCGTTCCTAAGAACATTAATATAACTATTTGTCTACTTGATCTTAAGATATGTAAACTATTTTTAAAGTAATACCACAAATAATACCACTAACTAAATTATTAAATATTAAGCTTAGTTATTTAAGATTTCTTTTGCAGCTCTATTTATCCTCTAAAATAAAATTGTAAATGTACTTATATGGCAGGGCTAGATGTACAGCAAAATAAAGCATTCAGTAACAAATTCTGTTACTATGTGAAGATACTTCTAACAAAAAGCACCTCATTATCATACATAGAGAATGAAATCATTACCTTGCCTTTTCCATGAGGAATTCCTAAAGGACAATGTTTTACTGCTCCCAACAAAGCTGCTACAGCAAAACTGAAGCCAGTCACTGCTTCAGGTGAAGACTTATGTCCAGTAAGCCGTTCAAGGCAACGATCCAAGAGTGGTGTTAGGTAGGAGGGTAATGCCACGGCAATGCAGTGTAAACACCAAGCTGCTGCTAGTCGAACAGAAATGCTAGGATGAAGAATAACTGACAAGATACTGTCAAGGAGACCTGGAAGGATAAACAAATGATGACTTAGGTACATAGATAAAACTCACCTGACCATAAAATAGTCAAAAGAATACATAGCCACATGGATATAAAATATATTTTTATCAAAAGCCACATTATAATAGAAAAATACATAATTACAAATAATTTTCTTTTAACTTCATTTTTCTCCCTTCTCACCATTCCTATTCAAAATAATTTTCTAACCTAAGAATCACTTCTACTAATATATCTCATGAAAGTTGTCCTAAATTAAGTCCGCGCACAAAAGAAAAACTTTATTTCCTAAATAAGCCAATCTCTTATTTAGCTTCAGATCAATTATTAATTTGGTACTAAAAATTAAAAGTTATCAACAAATAACACCTTGAAAAGAAATGTCACACCCTGGCCAGCTGTGGTGGCTCACGCCTGTAATCCCAGCACTTTGGGAGGCCAAGGCAGGCAGACTGCCTGAGCTCAGGAGTTTGAGACCAGTCTGGGCAACATGACAAAGCCCTGTCTCTACCAAAAATGCAAAAAATTAGCCAGGCATGGTGATGCATGCCTGCTGTCCCAGCTACTAGGGAGGCTGAGGTGGGAGGATCGCTTGAGCCAGGGTGGCGGGACTTGCAGTGAGCCAAGATTGTGCCACTGTACTCCAACGTGGGTGACAGACTGAGACCCTGCCTTGAAAAAAAAAAAAAAGTCATACCCTGCCCCACCCTCTTTTTATTTTTTAATCCTTCTAGTACATTTATCTACATAATTCATATACTTTTTTTTTTTTTTTTGAGATAGCATCTTGCTCTGTCACCCAGGCTGGAATGCAGTGGTGCAATCTTGGTTCACTGCAACCTTCGCCTTCCGGGTTTAAGTGATCCTCTCGCCTCAGCCTCCTGAGCAGCTAGGATCCCAAGTGCGTGCCACTACACCTGGCTAATTTTTGTATTTTTAGTAGAGATGAGGTTTCACCATGTTGGCCAGGTTGGTCTTGAACTCCTGACCTCAGGTGATCCACTCACCTCACCTTCCCAAAGTGCTGGATTACAGGCATGAGCCACCATGCCCAGCCTACATAATTAATACACTTTCTATCCACCATGTTGCTCTTATAAGAATAAAACATTAAAATCAAGGCTTCACTAGGTCCTCAGTGGGCTACTAACCAACTAACTACAAAGACAGTGAAGTAACTGTCACCATCAATAAAAGAAAGGGTATTATTTGCTATGATTCAACATAAACTTTCATGAAACATGTAAGTTTCATGTCAAATGCTATTTAAGTAAGTGTCCCAGATCTAAATAGCTTATAAACACAAATATAATGTAAAGTTTCTCAGCAAGAAATGTGTGCCACGAAGGATAAAAGCCATAATGATATATTTTTTGAAACAGGGTCTCACTCTGTCACCCAGGATGGAATGCAGTGGCATGATAATAGCTCACTGTAGCCTCAGTCTCCTAGGCATAAGTGATGCTCCTGGCTCAGCCTCCCAAAGAGCTAGGACTACTACAAGTGCACACCACCATACCTGGCTAAGTTTTAAAAAATTTTTAGTAGAGAGGAGCTCTCACTATGTTGCCCAGGCTGGTCTTGAACTCAGCTCAAGCAATTCTCCCATTTTGGTCTCCTAAAGTGCTGGGATTACAGGCGTGAGCCACCATGCCAGGCCTAAAAAGTGATTTTTAAAAGTGATTTTTTAAAAAGAAGCAAGTCATTTATGACCATATATTGAATGATTTTTTTTTAACATGAAATATCCAGAATAGGTGGATTCATAGAGACAGAAAGTAAATTCATGGTCGTCAGGGGCTGCGGCAAAGGGAAATGGAAATGACAACTAATGGACTTCTTCCTGGGGTAATGAAAAGACTCTGGAATTAGACAGTGGTAGTGACTGTACAGTATAGCAAATATACTCAAAATCCCTGAATTGTATACCTTATAAGCGTAAACTTCATGGTAAGTGATTTATATCTTTTTTTGTTTTTTGAGACAAAGTCTCTTGTTGCCCAGGCTGGAGTGCAGTGGCGTTATCTTGGCTCACTTCAACTTCCACGTCTGGGGCTCAAGCGATTCTCGTGCCTCAGCCTCCCGAGTAGCTGGGAATACAGGCATGCGCCACCATGACGGGCTAATTTTTCTATTTTTAGTAGAGACGGGGTTTTGCCATGTTGGCCAGGCTGGTCTTGAACTCCTGACCTCAAGTGATATGCCTGCCTCAGCCTCCCAAAGTGCTGGATTATATGCATGAGCCACTGTGCCTAGCCATGAATTATATCTGAATAAAGCTATTATAAAGTGATTAAACACTTAAGAAAGAAAATACTGCTTTAAAGACCTTTGAGGAACTGAATTACTTGTACTGTACTAATGTTTTCACTGCAGATGCAGAGAAAGTTCAGGTTTACTTCTCTGTAAGTTTTTCCATGTTATAAGTCTCTAAATGGGGGGTAGGGTGCAGACTTAGAGAACAATCTTTAATTACAGAAGAAAAAACTAAACAATATACATCTTTTTAATAATCCTGATTATAAATTTTTCATAAAACATTTCTCATAAATCTATAATGGAATCTATAAGTAAGCTATATGAAGATTTCCTTCCTTGGAACAAAGTTATCTAGTGTACAAGGTATTCCAATGAGTCACAAACAGATATACCTGTACTTGAATCCTGTAGCAAAGGTGCCGCTGTGGTGCCAAGATTGTGTATGAGATTTCCAAGTTCTTGTAAAGCACAAACCAGCATATGTTGGCTAGCGGCTACATCTGTGGAACCAAGCCGGGTTTCCAAATTACCATCACTCATTACGGCATCTGATAGAAATGCAAGAATTAACTATGCATAACCACTGTATTAAAATATATTGAAAAGGGTGTGAAGAGTAAAAAGGTATAACGGCAAAAATTTACACATACACTTGATCTATATGAAATACTTGAGGCAATAACTAAAATGCTTAAATGGGGACTTGCATCAATAAAGAGAGAAATGAATTACTATAACCAATTTAGTTCAGGCATTCCAATCAGAGACCCCTTATTACTCCCTTAGCAAGTGGCACTGAGAGAGAGAACTCATGGGAAACTAAAAATGATTTCAACATTATTGATATTTAATATCCAACATTACTGATATTCGAGATAAGCAGAGTAGACTTAAGATGGTACAGGAGCTGAGATAGACAGTTTCAAAAATAATTTATCTTAAATTCTATAGGAAGTACAACATGAATTCTGAGGAACTTCTATCAGCCTTCAAGGTTTCTGTATTAATATAGTATTATATATCAGTCTAGCTTTCCCAAAGGGACAATTCCATTAGCACTGTTAAACAAACTGTCTTAGTAGAGATCCATACCCATAACTTTCTTTAGCTTCCAGATGGCCTGGCAAATATCCTTTACAGCAGCAAGCTGAGCCTTTTCTCCAAGAAGACCACCTATAGTAGTTCGAAGAATAAATGAAACACAACGGCGACAGCAGACGGCATCGATCTGAGTTTGGGTGGCTTTAGGGTGTGACGGTGACGCAAGGCTTAGGATATGAGAAAAAAAGGCAGCAAAATTTTTCTCTAGCCAAGCTCCTCCTAGTGTTGAAACAAATACCACATAAGCCTAAAAAGGAAAAGAGTTTTATTTTCAATATTAAATTGTTTCAATTCTGTATTCTCCCCCACAAAACATGTAGCATTTATTAATATTTTTCTTATTCCTTATAAATTGTATTCTTTCCTAATTTATGCCACTTGAAATATACAAACATAGCACCATTTTGTTTTTGTTTAAGCCAGAACTGAAGTGCATTTTTTTTTTTTTTGAGACGGAGTCTCGCTCTGTCACCCAGGCTGGAATGCAGTGGTGCAATCTCAGCTCACTGCAAGCTCCGCCTCCTGGGTTCACGCCATTCTCCTGCCTCAACCTCTCGAGTAGCTGGGACTACAGGGGCCCGCCACCAAGCCCGGCTAATTTTTTTGTATTTTTAGTAGAGACGGGGTTTCACCATGTTACCCAGGATGGTCTCGATCTCCTGACTTCGTGATCCACCAGCCTCGGCCTCCCAAAGTGCTGGGATTACAGGCGTGAGCCACCGCACCCGGCCTGAAGTGCATAGTCTTTCAATCAAGACTTCATTTCTGTTACCCTCCTGTTTTATTTTGGTCAGACTACAGTTTCAGGATAGTCAGCATACCCAGCTTACATGTAAAATGTATCTGTGGCTTCTGTGAACAACGGCTCCGAGAGATTTAACATTCTGAACAAGAAATCTCAATTTAAACATACAAACACATTATAAGAATTAACTATGCTCCAACATTATAACTCTAAGGAAATTTAGTTCTTTATTTTCATGAATATTAATGGTTTTTCTTACTCCATAGATATAAAGTAGTTTTAAGTTATCTGTTCCTTAGAAACACACAGTTTAATTACAATTATACTGGGAAGCTCATATTTTCATGGAGACTATATGCAGTATAAAACAAAGACAATATATGTGAATTTTTCAAAAATACAAGTTTGCTTTGAATGATAACGGTGTTTAGAAAAAAAAAGATAATCCAAGGAAAGAAGGCAGATATCTCTTTGTTTTATTGTTAAGATAACTCTTCCAAGAGTTTACCTTTTAAAACTCGTTTAGGATGAAAAATTTAAGCACTGAAGTAAACTACATGCTGTACTCCTTGAGGGTTAAAGCCACATAAAATGTTTATTTCACCTATGCTAAACAATTATGTATGTAATAGCTTAAATCTGAACTGCATGAGCACACACAAATACAATGGAAAACATGTTAAACCACAAGATACACAAAAGCACAACAGCTGGAAACAAAAAATCTTTGTGTTTCAAAGAAAATTAAAATGTTCCATTATTAGGAACGCAAAACACATTATAGGTAATAAGGTCCTCTTACTTGCAACCTAGTTTAAAAAAAATGTTTTGGCCTTACCATTTATATCTATTTATAGATATGAGAGCATAAGTGTTGACCTTGCATAGTACCACTTCTGTGGAGTCAGATACTAAAACTTTCATTATAGGCCAGTAAGAGTTAGACTGAGATACTGATTTGTGATTCCAACCTGAGTAACTCCAACTCGAACATCCCTACTGACTGAACTGGTTCCTTTCAGCATATCTCCACTGGCTCGAAGGAATCCTGAACTCCCACGTAGAAACCCTGTTCCTAGTAATTCCAGAACTTCCTCCAAAGATACTCTGCGAATGCTTTGACGTGAGGCTGCTATGACAAAGAACAAAACTGTGATTCATATTTTACAGACTAAATTTTAATGTAAGTTCTTGATTTGCAAAAAGCATGTTAATAGAAACAAAAATAAACTAAAAATTCAAACAAAATGCAAAATTTACAGAACAGTCTACACAGTAACACACAAAGTCACACAAGGGGTCAGAGGTCAAATCAGAATGGACCCTGAAGTGCATGTCAAAAACATCTTAGAGACTATGACTAAGATCATGACCTATTGCTTCCTTTCCTCAAAGAAGTTAAAAGGCTGTCTTCTAAAACAGGGGAAAAACATAAATAAGACTGCCCTAGTCCTCCACAAATGAAAATGCTATACAATGCTTTGAAAATTCTTTTGAAACATGGAAAATGCCAAAATCATAATTTTATTTTTCCAAATGCTGTACAACTGTCAAAGAAGTTTATATAATGTAAATGTCCTATTTTTAAAAATTCTCTATTGGCAATAAAACTTTTGCTATTCCTTCAGTCTCTGAAGAAATCAAAGCTAAATTCATTAAAACTACTCAGTTGGCTCTTAGGCTACAATAACTAAGAGATTAATTAAGGCAGGAATGTTTAAGATCGACTTCAGTTTGACACAGCTGGGTTTCTCCCTGTGACTAGATAATATTATCTCCCCAAAAAAAAGAAGAAACCATTTCTCCCTTGAAAATTAATGGTCACAAGCTCTGACCCTCTACAAGAGTACAGAAATAAACTTTTGTTACAGTTATGAACAAAAAAACCTCCTCCCTAGCCTAAAGAAAACCATCTGAGACAAATGAAAATCTAACTTGGCATTTGGGGAAGAAACATTATTGAATAGTGCAAAATCCATGCTCTGTGGATCATAAATTCTAAGAAAAGACAGCAATAAACGTAATAAATGACTATGTATATTAAACAGTGATTAAAAACCATGCAGAAAACAGAGCAAAATGAGGTCAGGAATATGGGGGTGGAGTGAAGTGTAGTTTGTGACTTTAAATAGGGTATTGGGGTAAGATGCATTGAAATGGTGACATTTTAACACAGTTTGAATGTAGGGAAGAAATTAGTCATGAGGGTATCTGGAGAAAAAGTGTTCTAGGCAGAGGAAATGGCTATGACAAAAAGGCCTTTATAGGATGCCAGGTGAGTTTACACAGAGCAATGGGGATGGAGCAGTGGAGGGGGTAGGTAGGAGACAGGTCAGAGTGTAAGGATGGTAAGAGGGCAGAAGATATAGGACCTTGTAGGTCATTATAATAAGGCTGTGACTGAAATGAGGTGCCAGTGGAAGACCGTGAGCAGACGAGTGATATAATATGTCATGCTGCTGCTGTGTTGAGAGAAGATTATAGAGGGGGGTAAAGATAGAAGCAGGGAAAACCATTAGGAATGATTTATTAATGTAAGCAAGAGATGATAGTGACTTGGATCAAGGTGGTTAAAGTGAAGTGGAGTGAATGGAATCTGGATACACATAAATATATATTTTAAACTTTTTATTAGAAAAACTCAAAATTAGAAAAAAGCTGTAAGAATAGTATAATAAACTTTCATATACAGTCACGTACTACATAAGGACATTTTCTTCAATGACAGAGATCACATATATGACGGTGGTCCTGTAAGATTATAATGGAGCTGAAAAATTCCTATTGCCTTGTGACATTCCAACACATTACTCACGTGTCTGTGGTGATGTTCACGTAAACAACCCTACTACACTGCCAGTCATGTAAAAGTAAAGACCATGTAATTATGTAAAGTACATAATACTTGATAATAAACAACTGTTACTGGTTTATGTATTTATTATACTTTTTATTGTTATTTTAAAATATACTCTTATTTATAAAAAGTTAACTACAAAACAGCTTCAGGTAGGCCCTTTAGGAAGTATTCTAGAACAAGGCATCGCTATTACAGGAGATAACAGCTCCATGCGTGTCACTGCCCTTGAAGACCATCCAGTGGGACAAGATACTAAGGTGAAAGACAGTGAGATTGATGGTTCTGACTCTGTGTAGGCCTGGGCTAATGTGTGTGTTTAAAAGTTAAAAAAAATTTTTTTAATAGAAAAAAGCTTATAGAACAAGGATACAAGGATATAAAGAAAATATTTTTGTAGAGCTGTACAATGTATCTACGTTTTAAGCTAAATGTTACTATTATTTCTAGAGCAGTGGCAGGATCTCAACTCACTGAAACCTCTGCCTCCCATGTTAAAGGGTTCAAGTGATTCTCATGCCTCAGCCTCCCAAGCAGCTGGAACTACAGGCACATGCCACCACGTCCCGCTAATTTTTGCATTTTTAGTAGACAGATGAGGTTTCCCCATCTTGGCCAGGCTGGTCTTGAACTCCTGACTTCAAGCAATCCATCCGCCTTGGCCTCCCAAAGTGCTGGGATTACAAGCATGAGCCACTGCACCTGGCCCCTAAATGTTATTATAAAAATATTCAAAGGAATCAAAAATTTTAAAAATTAAAAAGTTTATAAAGTAAAAAACTTTTAGTAAACAAAGGCTAATTTATTATTAAAGAAAAATACACATTTTTTAAATTTAGCATAGCCTAAGTGTACAGTGTTTGTAACATCTACAGTAGTATACAGTAATATCCTAGGCTTTCACATTCACTCGCCACTCGCTGATTCACCCAGAACAACTTCCAGTCCTGTAAGTTCCAGTCATGGTCAGTGCCGTATAGGTGTGTACCATTTCTTATCTTTTATATCATATTTATACTGTTCCTTTTCTATATTTAGACATGTTTAGATACACAAATACCATTGTATTACAGTTTTCTCAGTATTCAGTATAGTAACATGCTGTAGAGGTGTGTAGTCTAAGAGCAATAGTCTATACCATATAGCCTAGTGTGCAGTAGGCTATACCATCTAGATTTGTGTAAGTTCACTCTATGATGTTCCCACAATGACAAAATCACTTCATGATGCATTTCTCAGAATGTGTCCCTATTATTAAGCTATGCATGACTGCATCTACCTGGACTCATCACATTTTCCTCATTACTTTCTCACTTCTGAAGAATACACTTATGGCCAGTTGTTTTATAGAATGGCCCTTGATATGAGTTTGTCTGGTATTTCCTCCAAATTTTTGACAGAGAACTATGTAAGTGATGTTACATCCTGTTCAATGCATAACATCAAAAAGCACTGCCAGGTGTGGTGTCAGTCTGTCCCTACACAGATGATACTAGCTTTGAACATGTGCACAATGTAAGTCTGCCACATTTTTCCACTGTAAAATTATCATTTATAATTATGATGCAATGTATCTGGCAATACTTTAAGATGGCCTGAGATTGGATAAGACCACAAGACATGCTCTCTTGGCTTTCTTTCCTGCCTTCTCACTGGAAATTTCTGTTTTGTCTTCTTCAATGGTTTCTTGTGTTCTCCAAGAGAAAACTCATGACCTAGTACCTGGTCTGCTCTTCTCTATGTATACTCACTGTCTTGTGATCTTATCCAATCTCATAGCTTAAATTCCATCTCTATATTAGAGATTCCTGAATAATCACTATTAATTTATTCCTAAAATAAATATATTTATTCCTAAAATTTATGAATTTGATGTCCAGTCTTCTCTCCTGGGCACCAGACTCTCATATCCAGCTGTCTATCTGATATCTCTATTTCGATGTCTAGTTAATGTTCCAAATTGTTTTAAACTCAGTGCTTGATCCTCCTCCCTGACACATACACAGCCTGCTCTACTTGCACACTTGCTCAAATCAGTTGATGACAACTCTGTACTTCCAGGTTTTCAGCCCAAAATTCATAAAGTCATCCTGGACTTCTCTTTCACACTCAACATCTATTCTATTTGACTATTCAAAAGATTCAAAAGCAGAACTCCTTAGAGAAATGGCTAATTCTGGGGTTGGGGCGGAGAAAGTAGTAAGCTGTGATTGCACTACTGCTCCACCCTGGGTGGCAGAGTGAGACCCTGTTTCCAAAAACAACAACAATGAAATCACTAAGACAAAGCAAAACTGTCCAAATACAATAAACTACAAGTATCTAGAATTATCTACATTATATGCTCCATTGTACCAATCTAAAAAATGGCAAGCCAAATATATGTAGTCAGATGCATGCTGCTTTAAAAAAAAGAAAATTCAGTATTTAGATCATATCGTTTATTGGATAACACTTCACAATTACTTTAAAAAAAATATATAAAAATAAGGCCATGGCTGGGGGGTGGTGGCTCACGCCTGTAATCCCAGCACTTTGGGAGGCCAAGGAAGGCAGATCACCTGAGCTCAGGAGTTCGAGACCAGCAGAGCTAACATGGTGAAATCCCATCTCCACAAAAAATATAAAAATTTAGCCGGGGATGGCAGTGAAAGCCTGTGGTCCCGCCTACTCAGGAGGCTGAGGTGGGAGGATCACTTGAGACCAGGAGGCAGAGGTTTCAGTGAGCTGAGATGGCACCACTGCTCTCCAGACTGGGTGACAGCAGACCCTGTCACACACACAAAAAAGCTGTAATGTAAAAGGAAGACAATGATTGCATAAAGTACACCACACTTCAAGAGTTCTTGTAAATTTTCCTCAAATTTTTACTGAATTGTTTCAAATGAAATCTCAGGACCTACAGCAATGTTTATGAATTGAAATTGATTTTTTTTTTTTGAGATGAAGTTTCGCTTTGTTGTCCAGGCTGAGATTGTGCAGTGGCGCAATCTCAGCTCACTACAACCTCTGCCTCCTGGGTTCAAGTGATTCTTGTAATCCCAAGTAGGTGGGATTGCAGGCGTGTGCCATCACACCAAGCTAATTTTTGTATTTTTAGTATAGACGGGTCTCACCATGTTGGCCAGACTGGTCTCAAACTTGTGACCTCAGGTGATCCACCCGCCTTGGCCTCCCAAAGTGCTGGGATTACAGGTGTGAGCCACCATGCCTGGCCTGAAATTGATTTATAACGGGTAGCAATAACACTATACATATTTGTTTATATCAACTGGGGAAAAAATTACAGAAGAGACTTTGAAAATAATTACATGTATTTACCTGTTCCTGGATGTTTAGAAATTACAGCTTTAGCTAATATTATGCCTAGTAACTTTGAAACAGAAATCCGCACATCATAATTGGAACCTTCAAAGGACTTAAAACACAGTGTGGCCACACTGTCCAGGTCCGTACTCCACATAAAGATGGCTTCATTCTGAAGTTCAAGGAGACACTATTCAATTGGACAAAGAGAAATTAATGAAAAATAAAATACAAATGTCAGGTTCAGAGCTATGTAAGTTGCAGAAACTATCAGCGTCTAACAAATAATATACAAATTCAAAGTATCTATTATGATTACAGGAATAATAAATGGATACTTATTAAAAGTCATAAAGATTATATTATAGAAGAGAATGAACCTACAAAAGGTGGGAGGAGAACCCATTTCTAACTCCACAGGTTATGAAAAATGCCTTTAGAATCAATCTATTGGCTATGAACAACTGGGAGAATAATTCCAACATTAAAAAAACTCTGGCTGGGCACGGAGGCTCACACCTGTAATCCCAGCACTTTGGGAGGCCAAGGCGGGCGGATCACGAGGTCAGGAGATAGAGACCATCCTGGCTAAGATGGTGGAACCCCGTCTCTACTAAAAATACAAAAAAAAATTAGCTGGGCATGGTGGCAGGCACCTGTAGTCCTGGCTACTCAGGAGGCTGAGGCAGGAGAATGGCGTGAACCCGGGAGGCAGAGCTTGCAGTGAGCCGAGATCGCGCCTCTACACTCCAGCCTGGGCGACAGAGTCTCAAAAAAAAGAACAAACAAAAAAACTTTACTGTATTCTCTTACCAACTATGTTAAGAAGCTATAAATTAAAAATAAAACAAAAAATCACTTTGAAACAACATAAACCTCACATGTAAATTTTAATTTACACAATTACGGAGAAAACATAGTAGAGTAGAATGAATACTTAAGATTCTGGAAACCTGAACTTCCTACCCTCTGACAATGTGTTGCTAACTCTTTGAACCTTGGGAAATTCATATAACTCTGGGCCTTAGTTTCCTCATATGTTAAAATGAGATAGTCCTAGCTGACTACCAAGATCATGTAGCTTTTACTAATGCTTTCACAAAGAAGCTGATTTACTTTTCTTTATATTAATTTTTAAAGTCTGCTTATTAGATCATTTTACCTTTGCAGCAGCACAACGAACAGCCATGGATCTATCTGTCAAGCAGGATCTAGCAGCTTTATAAACATCCCTGTGACAAGGTGCAGCGGCAGCTCCTAGTCCATTCAATATATTTTGCAGACTTAGCATAATCTCATATCGGCCTTGAGACTTCCAAAAAGAAAAAAAATTAAATAGGAAAAATAATTAAACTGCAAAGAACAGGATTAAACATTGATATCTGTCTCTCATACTGAAGAAATATCCAGACTTCTCTACATACTAACCAACCCATTATGACATCAAGAAACAAGTTACTATTTTATGAAATATTATTTGAAAAGTTACTTGTATACACTGATTTTCAACATGATACAAATTTCACAGGGTTGATGTGAAGATTAAACAAAATTACATGAAAAGTGCCTAGCAAAAAGCTTACATGCCATTAAGCATTCAATAAATAGTTGCTATAGTCTAAGCTAACCTATTAAAAATGCAGGGTCTGCCATTTACTAGATAGGACCTTGGGCAAATCTGTTCCTTCATCTAAAAAACAGAGGTAATAGTATCCCTCATAGGCTGTTGTAAGGAATAAATGAGTCATACACACAAAGTGCTTACAACAAGCCCAGACATACAACAAATGTTCAATAGATTTGGTAGCTATACTTTGTTATTATTTATTGGTTGGAACAGCTTAACTCACAGTTTAAAAGTCTTGGCTTTAGAATTGAAAAAACCTGGGTTTGAACTTCTCTGTGACCCGCAGTAACTTTGTGACTTTAAATTGTTCTTATTTCCTCATCTATAAAATGAGGATAAGATGAACCTCATGGGTAAACATTCACCACAGTGCCTGGCACACAGTTAAAAGTCAAGAAATAGTAGCTGCTTGGCTGGGTGCGGTGGCTCACACCTGCAATCTCAGCACTTTGGGAGGCCAAGGTGGGCCGATTGCTTGAGCTCAGGACTTCGAGACCAGCCTGGGCAACATGGTGAAACCTTAACTCTACAAAAAATACAATTTTAGTCAGGAGTGTTAGTGCACATCTCTAGAACCAGCTACTCAGGAGACTGAGGTGGGAGCGTGGTAGTGCACACCTTTAGTCTCAGCTACTGAGAGGCTGAGGTGGGAGGGTGGCTTGAGCCTGGCAAGCAGAGGGTGCAGTGGGAGGCAGAGGGTACAATCGGAGGCAGAGGGTGCAGTGAGTACAGACTGCACCACTGAACTCCAGCCTGGGTGACAGAGCCAGACCCTGTCTTTAAAAAAAAAGAAAAAGAAATAGTAGCTGCTTATTTTATTAATGTTTTACTAAATGCCTCAAATCATATCTATATCCCAGGAAGTTGGGCCACTGAAGGTAGAGAAGTTGGAGTTGGAGGAAGACAAAGATCAGCATCAAGAATCATTTCATAGTAATATTGTTAATTTATCTTTGTTTAAAGGCACTTAAAAGTCATAGGTGAACATAATAAAATAATGCTAACGAGCAACTTCAGAACTTTTCTTTTATTCCAGTTCCAAATGTTGTGTATCACTGGTGAGTGTGGACATCTCTGAAATGTTGTGATACCTGATCAACTAAATCAAAGATCAAAAGTAGGGAATATGGCTCAAGGATGTTAGTTAAAAAAATTTAAAAAATAGGGGAGCAACAATATACTTATCAGTAACTTACAACATTTTCATAACTATAGAGTAATCCTCTATTAACCAAGGGGCCTAAAAAGTGTTAGAACTTAACCAGTGGAATTAGGAGGAAGAAAGTTTAAAATGACTGTATCTTAGTAAATAAAATTTCTTACAGATATCTGCTTTTAAATAAAACCAGACTTACAGGTATTAAAAAAAATCTGTTCTCCTTAATCATTTTCTTCAATCTTTTAGGAAACTATTGCTGAGAAGTGATCTGATGAGCAAATTTTCTCATCAGTTTTACGTTAGAGTCTTCACTTCTTAAAGTTCTTGAATCAGCTACGTCCTTCTTAAAATTTAACCTATTTTTTATTGGAATTTTCCCATGTTTTGCCTTGTTACATTTTTTAAAAATGTGTGTGTGACTTTCCAACATTTCTATAAATTACTTCAGGGCTGTTCTCTAGATTATTTTTGTAAATAAAGTGACAAGAGTAACCAGTGTGATGTTTTTAGATTTTTTTTTTTAAATAAATATTTTTTAAGAGACACGGTCTTGGGCCGGGCATGGTGGCTCATGCCTGTAATCCTAGCACTTTGGGAGGCCGAGGCAGCTGGATCATTTGAGGTCAGGAGTTCAAGAATGGCCTGGTGAACATGGTGAAACCCCGTCTCTACTAAAAATACAAAAAATTAGCTAGGCGTGGTGGCACGCGCCTGTAATCCCAGCTACTTGTGAGGCCGAGGCTGGAGAATTGCTGGAGCCCAGGAGGCGGAGATTGTAGTGAGCTGAGATCGCGCCATTGCACTCAAGCCTGGGTGACACAGCTAGACTCCGTCTCAAAAAAAAAAAAAAAAAAGGGACAGGGTCTTGCTCTGTCACCCAGGATGGAGTCCAGTGGCATGACCATAGCTCACGACAGCCTCGAACTCCTGGGCTCAAGTGATCCTCCTGCCTCAGTCTTCCGAGGGGCTAGAACTACAGGTGTTCACCACCATACCCCAACTAATTTATGTTTTTGTAGAGACAGGGTCTTCCAGTGTTGCCCAGGTGGTCTCAAACTCCTGGCTTTAAGTGATCCTCCCATCTCCTCTCAAGTAGCTGAGATCACAGGTGCGAACTACCATGTCCATGTTTTTATATTTAAAGGTGCTAAGTTGTCCTTACATATTAGGGACCACGGATTTAAACCTTTTGCTAAACAAACATATAAATGCTTTCATTTCAAAACCAGTAAAACCACAGCTGGCAAGAGATTATAGTATCTTAATATCTTAAAGTCAAATGAAGAGACAGTCTCAAAAACAAAGGGTGTTCCAGAGGAGTAAGTGACACAAATATTTCAATGAGGATAAAGTTGAAAATATACTCCCTTGGCAATTAAAAGGTCATCTGGATCTGGTCACACATCCTCTACACTCTTTCCCCTCAGATTATATTCCTTACTACCTTCTGATGCTAGTACAGTAACTCATCTATCCATAAGGTATACAATGTTTATCAACTATGTAGTCCCTGGTGACAAGCAGTTGCACTGGCACCAGTTAAGTACTATCAAATAGAAAAGATGGAGTAAGAGGAGAGAGTAGGGATGGGACTGTAAGTGGAATACGTTAGTTTTCGCCCGCTTGGATTTATATGAATACATGAAATTCTACTGCATTACTATTTTTCTAACTGGGATTCAATATACAGAGTACATACAGTGCATCACCTAGAAATATTAATTTATGGGTACATTTATATTCATATCTACATATGCTTGACATATGTAAAGCTCTTTGATTTGCTCAGGAAAGCATAAACCAATAAAATGCTGTCTTTTCATTCTTTGGCTGAACTTGTAATTACTTACCTCTGCACTCTTCATAGCTTTAAGAATATTCCCCACTGTATCAGTAAAGGTGTTACCCAGTATTCTACCCAACTTCTTGTACAAGGAACCCAAACATACCACAGCAGCACTGAAACAACATTTAAATTAGAAATTAGTCACAGCTGAAAAAATAGGAATAAAAAGATCTTAGGATATGTAAGGATAACTGTTGAAAAATATCCCCCATTCTCTTGTCTTTTTACTTTCTTTGTATTATCCTTTGAAACACAAACATATTTAATTGTGATGAAGTCTCATCTATTTTTTGTCAGTTGTGCTTTTTGGTGCTGTGTCTAAGAAACACTGCCAAAGCCAAGGTCACAAAGATTTACCCCTATGTTTTTTCCTATGAGTTTTACAGTAATAGCTGTTACACTTACATCTATGATCAATTTTGAGTTAATTTTTTATACATGGTGTAACAGAAGAGTCCAAATTCATTCTTTTGCATGTGGACATACAGTTATACTGGCATCATTTGTTGAAAAAGTGACTATTTTAAATTTTGCTTTGAAAGGATAAAATTTCTAAGAATCTATTCTGTGGTTAAATCCTAAGGCACGACACTTAGGTGAATATGATTATACTTTCAATAATAAGGATGTATCAATCTGTGATTACTCTACTATTCAGCCCAAAGATTACACACCCTCAAGTTTGTTACAAAATTCTACAAAATATTTCAACAGAACTCAGCTACATATTAGATAACAAAAAGATAAGCTTAAAGATAAAAATAAAAACAAGAAATAATGTTCTCATCAAGTTTGAAATCTGAAAACTTTATGGGGGAATACATTCTGTTATAAGGTAAAAATGAGACCAACAAAAACTTTATAGAATTATGACATGGTGGCCAGGTGCAATGGCTCATGCCTGTAATCCCAATACTTTGGGAGGCCAAGGTGGGTGGATCACTTGAGGTTAGGAGTTTGAGACCAGCCTGGCCAACATGGTGAAACCCCGTATCTACTAAAAATACAAAAATTAGCTCGAAGTGGTGCCATGTGCCTGTAGTCCCAGCTACTTGGGAGGCTAAGACAGGGGAATCGCTCGAACCCAGGAGGCAGAGGTTGCAGTGAGTCGAGATCACGCCACTGTACTCCAGCCTGGGTGGACAGAGATTCTGTCTCAAAAAACAGGAAAAAAAAGAAATATTACATGGCTCATTGCCTTTTTAAAGATAATAGGTGATAAAATGAACTAAATCCTATAGAGAAACTAAGCTGTTCTTTTTAGGATCTTAGCAAATACTTTTCTACATGATATTTACTATCAATTTTCATAACCAAGAATGAATAAATTATAAAAGCATCCAAAAATGTGAAGAATTTAAAATATCTTTCTTAAACACTCAACTGCTAAAATTTTAGGAAGATGTTTTGAATCTCAAATCTAGACTTCAAATACGTCTAAAGTATTTGTAGAATTGTTTCTCAGCAACTAACATGAAAAGTGTTAGTTTCTTTTTTAAGTTAGATTTTGAAAATGAGTAAAACTGAGTTTGCATTCAGTTTCAAAGTAAATGTCAAGTACTATGGGTACTTCATAAAAATACAACAGGAAGCAATATTTTGTTTTCTGTTCTGTTTTAATGTTTCACTTACAGCTTAGTGGGAAGATAACTTGGAGAATCATCTTTGCTACGAATAAGATCATTACATTTATCGATTGCTTCATGAACGGAGAATGTGTCTCCAATACTATAAAGTATGGCTAGATTCTTAGCAAGCAGTTTGCGGGTAGGAGGCCCTGGGGAGCTGTTCAACAAAGACAGGAGCTGTTCAACAAGAGTCTTCTGTTTCTCCCTTACATCATTCTAGAAAGAAAGATAACACAAAGACAATTCAAAGTCAATATAATTATCTGTAATCCCCTAATATAATTTTTCTTTCATATATTTAAGAACTAAAAAGGCTCTAGAAAAATACAAACTTACTTTGACTGGAAGTTACAAATAAGTTGGTAGTGTGGTCATTATGCCAGACTAATCAGGTAGTTTGCTGCCCTGCTAATAATAAAAAAGCCCTCCAAAAATTCCGAACCACATTACACTGCAATCTCTGTTAACAAATATAAGGGCTCTATGTATTCGAAATCTTTCTTCTTTTGTTTGAAAGGCAGAGCAAATTTGTATTATTATTATTATTGTTTTTTTTTTTTTGAGATGGAGTCTCGCTCTGTCGCCCAGGCTGGAGTGCAGTGGCCCGATCTCCGGTCACTGCAAGCTCCGCCTCCTGGGTTCACGCCATTCTCCTGGCTCAGCCTCCCGAGTAGCTGGGACTACAGGCGCCCGCCACCATGCCCGGCTAATTTTTTGTATTTTCAGTACAGACAGGGTTTCACGGTGTTAGCCAGGATGGTCTCGATCTCCTGACCTTATGATCCACCCACCTCGGCCTCCCAAAGTGCTGGGATTACAGGCGTTAGCCACCGCGTATTATTATTTTTAATAGAGACAATGTGAAATGGTTTGGCTCTGCATCCCCACCCAAATCTCATGCTGAATGGTAATTCCCATGTTTCAGGGGAGGGGCCTGCTAGGAGGTGATTAGATCAAGGGGGTGGATTTCACCCATGCTGTTCTTGTGACAGTGAGTGAGTTCTCACAAGATCTGATGGTTTAAAAGTGTGTGACACTTCCCCGCAACCCTTCCTGCCATGATGTGAAGAAGGTCCTCACTTTCCCTTCGCCTTCTCCCATGACTGTTTAAGTTTCCTGAGGCCTCCCACTCATGCCTGTTAAGCTTGCATATCTGTGCATTAATTAAACCTTTCTTCTTCATAAATTACCCAGTCTCAGGTAGTTCTTTATAGCAGTGTGAGAACGGACTAATACACAAGGTCATACTATGTTGCCTGGGGTAGAGTGCAATGGCTATTCATAGGAGCAATTATAGTGCTACACTACAGCCTCAAATTCCTGGGCTCAAGCAATCCTCCTGCTTCAGCCTACCATGTAACTTGGTCTATAAGCATGCATCACCATGTCCAAATTTGTATTTTCAACTACAGCATCTGAGTTACTAATCCTACACCTCCCTCATATATAGCTGCATAAAGCAGTAAACTATAATCTATAACCAGAGCTGACCTTGTAATGGCTACCTGTTTTATTCAGGTCTATTCCTAAGTGTAGGGCAATTTTCTTTTTGCAAGCTTACGTATATAAATGTTAATAACATTATTCCATTTTCCTTGTCTGCTATCTGAATAAAGAGTACACAGTATCATTATAAAGCTAATGGTATTCAGGTGCTCAATGAGGCCTAAAATTCCACAATAAAATATTTGTCAGTGTATAGAATTTTGTCTTTTGTTTTTTTTTCCCCAAATCTAGAAGTTGCTTTTTTTCCCTCTCTTAAAGATCAGCAAACTTGTCAAATATTTTGATAACTAGAGTCACACAGCTCCCTGTTGTCTCAGAACAAGAATGTGTTTTGGAATGCTACTATTTTAAATTCATAAATAAAATGTCTTCTGTTAAATTCTAAATGTCTCCATGAGTAGTGTTTTTCTACCACTTTGGAACTGCATATAGTACTGTGATTATGTGAAAAAATGTTCTTATTTTTAGGAGACGTAGGCTAAAAGTAAAGTGCCACCTCAATGGCTTAGTAAATTAATCAACCAAACACGGCAAAATGTTACTAATTGCTGAATGTAGGTGAAGGGTATGAGTGATCAGTTTTCCTTTTTCACACTCATGTCATAAGCTTTGAAGAGGGAATCTGTTTATCCATAGGCTCTTGAATTCATACACCTCAAGTCTTCATACCTTTTTAAAGTGAAACTCCCACTACATTGTTTAGCCACTATACTGTACCAGGGCTTTATGTACACGGAGGAACATAGATGCAGACCATAACAAAAACGAAGTATAATAGAAAGTAGTTGTAGTTGGTGTTTCATATATTTTTAAAGTAATACCAAAAACATTAGCTAATTTCTTCCTGCTTTTCTGAATAGCGAAAACTTCTTCTAATAATAAAAATTCTGATGAGGGAACAAAAAATGTAATATACTTCATTAAGTTTTAACAAAGTCTAACATTGTAAAGCTAAATTAGGTTATTCTGGAAAAAACTAGAAAAGCAAACCAAAGGAAGTAAACATGGGCACTTAAACAAAAAAACAGATGTTGTCATTTTACCCACCCTGCTGGTTGCCAACAAGAGCTTCTCCAAGTATCTCAACCACTCAAAAATAAACTCTGCCTTCTGAACTTCACCTAGTTGATTGTATGCTTCTTCATTCAGCAGTAAGCTATGAGCTAATTCCATTCCTTGCAGCAATCCTCCCAGCTGATCACAGTTCTTCTCGTTAAACTTTGGTCAATATACCTAACAATAAAAATCTGCAATACAGGAAAATAATGTATTTTAAAAGGGGGGTAAAAAGGAAGGCAATCATAACGGAAATCAGAAAAGTGAAAACATAATTAAATGTATACATTTTTTATAAATGCTCTAGGGTGAATCTGGGAAAATCCCAATAATGTTCTAGTTAACACTGACATAAAATCCACCCTTATATTCTGTACTCAAGCAGACAGGCAAAAATAGAGTAGCAATATTTGCATTTGTATGCAAAAACTTGCTAAACAGAAGAGACATTCCACTAAAATTCTGAAAATTTTAAGATTAGGCTGTTTATTCTGTGTTGGGTTTTCTTTGTAGTTTAAGTAACTTACTAAAATGGGTAATAGGTACATATTAACAAATGACACCAAACATCCAGACCTTCTACTAGAATTCTATAGTAAAGCTTGCCATCTCTCTGAGCCTTTGCCTAGCTAGGTACATGCCCTGTCATTTACCTGGAGATCCAAGAGGGACTTAAGCCCATTAGCATCAGTTCCCCCAGCCTAATAAAGGCATTGCTTATAGTTTCAGGCTGGGAGTTTAGGAGAGTCCAGTCTTAACTAGGCTTATCTCTGAAAGTCTTGTGAGAGCAAACTTTTTTAAATGGGTATTGTCCAGGAATTATAGCAATCAAGATCATATCTGCTCTGACCTAGATCCAATGCAGCCTTAATTTTGTTGTAGCAAACAATCAACAGAAGACACAGGGTTTGTAAAATTATTGTTTTATTCAACAGCATCTCCTGGGTACACCTTAGTGCTGTTACAGAGCACACGCAGCATATAAGTGTATGTATATACATACATATTCACATTAACATACAAATTTATAAGATGGAATTGTGATTACTAGACAGAATTTTTTATTTTTAGGACATGGATGCTTTACTGCAACTTACTTTTTAAATGGTTAAATCGTGCACTCAACCATAAAATATGGCAAAATGTTAACAGCCGAATACAGGTAGTGGGTATGTGAGTGATCATTTCACTACTCTTCATTTTTCCACATTTTAAAAAGCACAACAAAAAGTAGAAAAAATTATTTAAGAAATAAAACACAAGTTGGCTATTAAAAAATACTACTACTTGCAGGAGTAGCAGCTATCATCAGGAACATTAAAGAACATAGAAGGTACCAGATCATATACAAAAGATGGGTATTCCTATTCACTAGTGTACCTAAATAGAAACATGTTAATTGGAATTTCATAGGAATGTAGATAAAATGCTATGGCTAATTTAACTAAAATATTTAAAATACATATCTTACATTTCCCTAAACAAACCTCATACTTTTACAGAGAAGCCAGTAACTAAAGAGGTATTAGAAAATTAGATGACAGACTTGGGAAAGGCTTTTCATTTTTTCATGTTTTTCTCCAACAGTTTACCTGTTTGAAATTACTTAGAATATCAGCTCATCATAATTATAATATAACTGAAAAAAGCCTCTTTAATAAAAAGACAGTAGTCACAAACTGGTTCCCTGTTGGTCAAGACTGCCTGCAATGCATTGGGGCTAACATTTAAACATAAGAAGATTGCACATAAAAATCTGGGTCCAGGGCCAGGCACAGTGGCTCACACCTGTAATCCCAGCACTTCGGGTAGCTGAGGCAGAAGGATCGCTTGAGTCTTGGGTCCAGGAGTTCGAGACCAGCCTGGGTAACATAGACGGACTTTGTCTCTACAAAAAATTTAAAAATTAGCCAGGCATGGTGGCGCGTGCCTGTAGTCCCCGCTACTTGTGAGACTGAGGTAGGAGGATCACTTGAGCCAGAGAGGTGGAGGCTTCAGTAAGCCATGACCACACCACTGCATTCCAGCCTGGTGAAGAGTGAGACCCTGTCTCAAAATAAAAAAAAGAAAAAATCTGGGTCCAGTGCCATGTGCGATGGCTCATGCCTGTAATCCCAGTACTTTGAGAGGCCCAGGCAGAAGAACTGCTGAGGCCAGGAATTTGAGAGCAGCCTAGGTAACAGTGGGACACTGTCTCCACCAAAAAAAAAAAAAAAAAAAGACGAAAGAGAAAGAAAATATTAGGTCATTTTCAAAAATGTCACTTTTACAGAACAAAGAATATAAACGATGTGACCAGGTGTGGTGGCTCACACCTGTAATCCCAGCACTTTGGGAAGCCAATGCAGGCAGATCACCTGAACTCAGGCGTTTGAGACCAGCCTGGGCAACACGGCAAAACCCCATCTCTACGAAAAATACAAAAATTAGCCAAGCATGGTGGTGTGCACCTGCGGTCCCAGCTGATTGGGAGGTTGAGGCAGGAGTATCGCTCGAGCCCTGAAGGCAGAGGTTGCAGCGAGCCAGGATCACACCACTGCACTCCAGACTGGGGGACAGAGTGAGACTCTGTCTTGAACAACAACAAAAAAGGAATATAAACAATGCTGCTAAACATTCATTTTTACTGAAGCAACAAAAATTCTAGCTTGTTTTAAAAAACCCTCCTTTCCTTTGTTCAATTATCAAAGTGAACTAGCCAAAATATTCACAATTAAGGATACAGTTAATAAATGCTACAGAAATAATTTCTGGAAGAACCCTACTAAATACAGAAAAGGCGAAAAGCAAGTTTGCACTTAGTATCTATGATTGTTTGGGGGGTGGAAATAACCACAGTATCATAGAGAAAATTTCTTATTAATACCAGGGCAAGTCAAAATCCTATCTTCAGAATCAAATTACCCTTTCTAGAAATCATTAAGATCTGCTGAAGAGACATTTTTTTTCCTTAGGCACCAGCAATATTGTGGTGTAAAATGATCTATCAAGAAGCAAAATAGCTAACACAATGTGATGATAAATTATTCAGTAAAAAGCTTGAGATCATAAGCAGGTCATAAAGTCATCTCTAATGCCCTCAATACATTCCTTATGTAAATTACTCCTAAAGGAAGTAGACAATTCATGTTGGTAATCTCGCATCTAAAACTCACAAGTCTAAAATGCACCTGAGAGCTCCACATTCGCACTACCAATGTGATAAGCAAGGGCATTTTGCAAACAGATGGCTGCTGCTCTTATCTGAAGTCTTACCTCATCAGGAAGATGAATACAAATTCAGTCAATGTTATCTGCTATACGTTTTAAAATAACCACAACCCTACATATACCTGAGAAATGCTTATTTTTCTAATTTTTCTCTTAGTTTCCCTTATGTTTCTGTTGAGATTATAAGGTGATTTCCTACAAGTAAACACATATGTCAATATATTTAAATATATTTTTCAAAGTATAGTTAGTTGCCACTTGAAAAAAGGATTTCATAAACCTGCTGCTCCAAATGTAATGCCAGCTATATTTAACAGAAGCAGCTAATATTTACTGCTTACTTATTATAGTCTAAGCAGTACTCTAAGTGCTTTACATTATTTCCTTGAATAATCTGCCAAATTGTCCATGAAGCAGCTATTTTGATTAGCCCTATTTTACAGATGAGGACATTGAAGCACAGAGAAGCTAACTGACTTTCCCAAGGTCACACAGAACCTGGGTGTGCACTTAAGCAATCTGACTTCAGATAAGATTTGTTTTAACCACAACATACTATGCTGCCACCCTTTCATCCAATCAAGCTCCTCAAAAATGTGAGAAGTTAGGCCAGGCCCAGTGGCTCACGCTCATAATCCTAGCACTTTGGGAGGCCAAGGCAGGTGGATCATCTGAGATCAGGAGTTCGAGACCAGCCTGGCCAACATGGTGAAACCCTGTCTCTACCAAAAATACAAAAAATTAGCCGGGCATGGTAGCATATCCCTGTATTCCCCGTTACTCGGGAGGCTGAGGCATAAGAACCGCTTGAACCCAGGAACCCGGGAGGTAGAGGTTGCAGTGAGCCAAGATCACGCCATTGCATTCCATTGCACTCTAGCCTGTGTGACAAGAGTGAACCTCTGTCTCAAAAAAAAAAAAAAAAAAAGCGAGAAGTAGGGCCGGGCACAGTGGCTCACGCCTATAATCCCAGCACTTCGAGAGGACAAAGCAGGAGGGTTGCTTGAGCCCATGAGTTCAAGACCAGCCTGAGCAACATAATGAGACCCCCATCTCTACAAAAAATAAAAAAATTAGCTGGGCATGGTGGTGCACACCTGCAGTCCCAGCTACTCAGGAGGCTGAGGTAAGAAGATCACTTGAGCCCAGGAGGTTGAGGCAACAGCAAGCCGTGATCAAAAAACAAACCCAAAGCAAGTCATTTTTTAAAAAGCTTACATTTTGTACACCATTTGTGGATATACGGAACTAGAGTACACTGTTTCCCAAAGACAGAACATCAGGTTCCTTGGTGTAATAAACTTGGGAATCTTGCATTAAGACAAAGTTAGGGATTTTTACCTACAAGATTTCTCAGGCTATTTAATTAGGTTAATGTATATTATGACTCTCCATGAATGCAATATAGTATGAAGTATTAGTCAAAATGCTGCCAGCACCTAGCAACTTCTAGACCTAAGCAAACTGTTCCAAGGAGAAACATTAACATGTACCTGTTATCATCACTTATTTTATTTATATATATATATATATATATATATATATATATATATATATATATATATATATGTATTTTGGAGATGGAGTTTCACTCTTGTTGTCCAGGCTGGAGTGCAATGGTGCGATCTCGGCTCACTGCAACCTCCACCTCCCAGGTTCAAACAATTCTCCTGCCTCAGCCTCCCAAGTAGCTGGGATTACAGGCATCCACCACCACACCTGGCTAATTTTGTATTTTTAGTAGAGACAGGGTTTCACCATGTTGGTCAGGCTGGTCTCGAACTCCTGAACTCAGGTAATCCATCCGCCTTGGCCTCCCAAAGTGCTGGAATTACAGAGGTGAGCCACCATGCCCGGCCCTATTAATGTATTTTTAAAAGCTACACAAGAATGTTAATTCCATTACTTTACAGCCAAACATTGTATGTGCTTACCCTAAAGCCAATAACTGAACTAAGTTATAAAGGTATTTAAATGCTTTTAGACTAGGTATTTCTCTGGGCACTATTTGCTTCTCTCAAAACTGTCTGTACTTTGTACATGACAGATACTCCTAGTTACTCAGTCATCATTTTCATACCAGAGGTCTTTTATGTTGAGAAAAGTAGGCACTGCAAACTAGACCTAAGGTACCAAGGTAACATCCAAATTATGCTTTTCAAATTGGGATAACTCCAGCATTGTGCCAACAGATTATGAAGCATATTACTATGCTAGAGGTCAAATTTAGACTAAAGGGTCAAATTTTACTTAAAGTTTTCCCTAAGCATTAATTTTTAACATTATTTTATATTAAAATACAGATTTATGCATAATAGAAGGCAAAATTAATAAAACACTTCAAGATAAAACATGAGACTTCAAAGAAATCCTGAGAATGATAATGCCTTTCTAGATGTCCTTTAACAAAAATCACTCCCTTTTGCTGATAAGAATACTATTTTAATGGAAAAATTGAAGAACCACTAAGCTATGAGTAAGTTGAACTATATGAAACTGCCATTTTTATAGGTGAAAAAAAAGGCTGGCTTGACAATTTATGTGATTCAACTTAAGTACCAGTCTTCAAATGTCAGACATAGTGTATGTACTAATGTCTGTACTTTGCATAGTATTCTTTCCTTTCGATTGGCTCTGTATTAAGCCTAGTGACTTTATTAGCCTAGAGTAACACATATGTATATTATTGACTACTAATAGAAAAAGGAACCAGCAGGGCACCAATATTCTAGGGCCAGAGTTTTCTTTTCTTTCCTTTTTTATAAAGATGGAGTCTTCTTTGGGAGGCCGAGGCGGGCGGATCACGAGGTCAGGAGATCGAGACCATCCCGGCTAAAACGGTGAAACCCCGTCTCTACTAAAAATACAAAAAATTAGCCGGGAGGCTGAGGCAGGAGAATGGCGTGAACCCGGGAGGCGGAGCTTGCAGTGAGCCGAGATCCCGCCACTGCACTCCAGCCTGGGCGACAGAGCGAGACTCCGTCTCAAAAAAAAAAAAAGATGGAGTCTTACCCTGTTGCCCAGGCTGGAGTGCAATGGCACAATCTTGGCTCACTGCAACCTCCGCCTCCCGGGTTCAAGTGATTTTCCTGTCTCAGCCTCCAGAGCAGCTGGGACTACAGGCACATGCCACCAGGCCTGGCTAACTTCTGTATTTTTAGTAGAGACAGGGTTTCACCATATTGGTCAGGCTGGTCTTGAACTCCTGACCTCAGGTGATCCAACCGCCTCGGCATCCCAAAGTGCTGGGATTACAGGCGTGAGCCACCATGCCCGGCCTCAGAGTTTTCTTTTCTAAAGTAACTTACTCCAAAACCACATCTAAGAGCAGTTAACAACCGTATTATCAGGCCAGGCGCAGTGGCTCATGCCTGTAATCCCAGCACTTTGGGAAGCCAAGGCTGGCAGATCACTTGAGCCGAGGAGTTCATGACCAACCTGGGCAACATGGCAAAACCCTGTCTCCACAAAACATACAAAAGTTAGCTGGGTGTGGTGGTGCACACCTGTAGTCCCAGCTGTTCGTGAGGCTGAGGTGGGAGGATCCCTTGAGATAGGGAGATGGAGGCTGCAGTGGGCCAAGATCGCGCCACTGCACTCCAGCCTCAGCAAGACCCTGTCTCAAAACAAACAAAACCAACCATATTATCAACAAGGGTTGGTTTTAATTCATTTGGAAATGAGTTAACTTCAATTTTATTTAGGCATGACAGTGTAAGCACCTTCAACAATGTCAACAAATATACAGGCTGCTGATTATTCTGGTCCTGATAGAAACTGCTAATATAATTTTCTCTCTCTAGAGTTTACAGGTCTATTTTGGTATGGACGGAAACATATGTTGAAATTTATTGGGAGAAAAAAGTATTCTAATCTTCTTGGTCATTTTAGTTCCTTAAAATGATTATATCATTTCAAGGGCGGAAAAGGGAAAAATCACAAATAATCAAAGAGGACATTGGACATGAGATAAGATAGGTTTATTGGATTGGTTTGTTAGTGTCTTCCTTCTGGAGCATGAAAATAATTCACAAAACAAAAAAGTTACTAAACAGTAAATGAAACTAATTCCAGAATGTATCAAGTACCTGAAGTGTTGGGATACGTCTCAGACTTAAATTTCAATTATTTTTCTTTGACTTTTACTTCTCTAAAAGACACCGTAACAGCTTCAACTCACCCTATAGTCTTAGTTCCTCAGTTCTGAACAAAAAGCATGAAGTAAACAAACAAAAAAAACCCCAACTGTCAAGAACTCCCACAATTCAAGAAACACAGATAAATCCTAAAATCTAAACCTCTCCCAAAAATACAGTAATTAGCTTTCATCTAGAAGGAAGCTAGATTATTCTACCCTGACCTCAGATTTTCATTTGTGATTTAGGCTTTGCAAAATTATACGTTACAAAAACAGGAACTCACCAGTTACACAGAGCATTAGGCCACACTTGAGATGTTGCTTAAAGAAGGCTGCCCCTGGTATAAAGAAAATTAAGTCCTTTTGTTACAGTACTTTATACATCTCTAGGCAGAATCCTAAAGCTGGTTTGCTGACACTTAACTGGTACACTTTATTAGTTTTAGGGTAAAATGGATAAGAAGCAAGTCATTTATAATGTTAGAGTTCTTTAACACAGTTAAAACTTGATAATTTAAAAATCTTGTCTGTATCAATTCCATCTTTGAATCTGAAATATCTTGCTTCCTTCTTTCTACAATAAAATACTTTAAAATTAGGCTAAAAAAAATCACTTGCCTCAGAAAACAGCAGAAAAATCTCTGAAAATGAAATTCAAACTTAGGATATTATTCTGTATGACCTTAATATTAGTCTTTCTAATTCTCTATAACAACCCTACAAATAAATTGGCTATCATTAGTTAAAAATTTGAAATGTTAACAATATAATAATGATTTAAGCTCAATAGGAAATAATTTGATTGAGCTGAGTGGTTCAAACCTATGCATATTAAATCTAAATATGAAAAATGCAAAAACTTTTATAGCCAATGCTGAAATTTTAGAAAAGCTGATAGTTTAATATAAACAGTGGCAGTACAAATGGTTCAACTCTTTTAGAAAAAAATATTATTTATCAGAGGTTACAAAAATATCAAAACCATTTGACAAAAACATCCAGTTTTTGAAAATTCATAAGAAAAAGGAAAATATAAGTATAAAAGTATTAATTACAGCACTGTAATTAACTGTAATTCCAGTGAAAATTCAAAAGAACTTACAAGTCCAACACAAGAGAAATGGTTAAATTTGACATATTCAAAGAATACTAGGCTGTCATATAAAACCATGAAAACTACAAATGCACAGGAGTGCAAAAGGCTTAATGGGAGGAAAAAAAAGTAAAGAAAACTACGAGTGCAGAAGTTTTACATGTTAAGAGAAACCTTCAGATAAAGCAGTGTTTACCAAGAGTACTTTGTGGAATGCTGCCAGAAGAATGAAAACATGTATTCTGTGGGAAGAGGGGGAAATCCAAGTTGAAATGGTTTTGGGAAATGCCTCGTTGTCAGTTTTCTTCACCAGTTTCTCCATACATGTAACATGGTAATGTGCACTATGTACTGCCAAGAGGGTGTGCAGATAGAGCATTTGATGTTTCTAAACATGTTTTAACCATAGGCTTCTCCTCCACTCCCTTTTTCTTTTTTTCCCAGCCAGGAATCTCATAGAATTGGTGTTCTATAGAATACAATCTTTGAAATACTAATCATTAAAGACTAGCATACGTCAAAAAAATTTAAAATTTTTTTTGTTCATATTATAAAATGATTTCTTTCTTTTTTTTTAAGACAGTCTCGTTCTCTTGCCCAGGCTAGAGTGCAGTGGTGTAATCTTGGCTCATTGCAAGCACTGCCTCCCAGGTTCAAGCTATTCTCGTATCTCAGCCTCCCAAATAGCTGGGATTATAGGCATGTGCCACCATGCCCGGCTAATTTTTGTATTTTTAGTAGAGACAGGGTTTCACCATGTTGACCAGGCTGGTCTCGAACTCCTGGCCTCAAGTGATCTGCCCGTCTTGGCCTCCCAAAGTGCTGGGATTACAGGCGTTGAGTCACTGCATGCAGCCTGAAATGATTTATTGCTAGTAGAAGGATATATAATTTCCACTATCAATGACTATCAATGTCATACTTCTACTTAAAAGAGGGCATTTCTGATTAGTATTTTGGATCAAATTATCTATATAAACAGAATCTTCTCATAAAGATGTAAATAAAGAAAAAAGACGACAGCCAGGTGCGGTGGCCTGTAATCCCAGCACTTTGGGAGGTCGAGGCGGGTGGATCACGAGGTCAAGATTGAGCTCATCCTGGCCAACATGGTGAAACCCCATCTCTACTAAAAATACAAAAATTAGCTGGGCGTGGTGGCACGTGCCTCTAGTCCCAGCTACTCGGGAGCCTGGTGACAGAGCAAGACTCCATCTCAAAAAAAAAAAAAAAGAAGACAAATATATGATGTTTTAACTTTGTATATTTAAGATTTATCAATTCACATAAAAATCTGTGTTAGTCTGTGGCCAGGTGCAGTGGCTCACGCCTGTTAATTCCAGCACTTTGGGAGGCTGAAGCAGGCGGATCACCTGAGGTCAGGAGTTCCATGGAGAAACTCTGTCTCTACTGAAAATATAAAATTAGCTGGGCGTGGTGGCAGGCGCCTGTAATCCCAGCTACTTGGGAGGCTTGAGGCAGGAGAATCGCTTGAACCTGGGAGGTGAAAGTTGTGGTGAGCCAAGATGAGGCCATTGCACTCCAGCCTGGGCAACAAGAGCCAAACTCCATCTCAAAAAAAATTTGTGTTATTCTATAATTGTAAGTAACTTTCACATATACATCCTTTACAAACTAAAAATGCTTGTTGTACTATATATTTTAAAATTTGATTTACGGAATTCTGAATACGAATTCCCACAGTCAAATGAATCCATGTTTTCTAACTCGTACCACAAAAACTTAACTTATGACGAACCCCAGGCACGGCACTAATACTTCTAATTGTAATATATAATGAAAACACATTCAGTGTACCAAGATGCCAAGAATATTTCCTGCAAACTTGGTAGGAACGGGAAGAATGTTGCCGCTCACCACTGCATAATACAAAGCAATATGAACAGCAAATACACACTGCTCTAAGAACTGATGGGGAGCACATCTTATTAGGATGGAGAAGTCAGGGTGGAGTAGGAGAGAAACAGGAGTTACCAAGACAAAGAATTTAACACCGGGACAAGAAATTTATAAGAAGTGGGGTGAAAAAGGGTTACAGGTTGGGGACTGAATTTACTCTGCCTTCTTTTTTTTTTTTTTTTTCCAAAATACTGCATGTTATTGTAAGGAATGAGAAAAATGGTAGAAGCTGGATTCCATGATGGCGAGATTGCCAGTGGGAGCCCTAATTGGACTATAACTGTGTGTAGCAATTCTCCTTCCAGATTACAAAAGAGAACACCCCGGAAGCGTAAAAGAAAGTGTTCTGGGGGGTGGGAGGGGATAAGACTGAGCAGTAGGAACCAACTCTAAGATGTCAGTGACAGAAAAATGATTATTTTTTGAGGATCTACGTACTAAAACCTTTTAATTCACTATCTCATTTAATCCTCGTAATACTGAAACTTAAGATATTATTATTCTAATTTTACATAGAAAGATAATGAGCTAAGAAATTTGTCCGAGGCTGAAATGCTACTTAAGTGGAAGAAGAAGGTAATGTCCATGTCTGTCTGTCTAAACGTCCACATTCTTTCAACTACTTCATATAGTCTCTACAGTAATCACTGCTATTACTAATACAGTTATTGCCATAGCTGGTGAAGCATCCAGTCCTTCTAACTTTGTTGTTCTTTCTCATCACTTCACTTTTATGTCTCCAGTACTTTGAGGCTTTTTGTTAGTGTTATGTCTTCCAGAGACATCAGCTTTCAGAGAGCCCTTTCCATCTAGACGGCAAATCAATAAGTACTAAAAGTATTAGTTTAGTCTTTGGCTATTCTTGACTATTTTTATTATGCTTCATTCCACACACCAATTCTCCCATCTCTCCATGGAAGGGGGATTTCATTCTGGACCTTTAGGAATGCCAGAGGCAGATTTTAAGTTAAGAAGTTTTACTTTTCTTGTATCTCCCACCACACTCTTCTGAAAGTCACTAGCTAGCAATCACACTACTTGGTACCTAACTGAGATTCCAGTAACAGGAAGTAAAAAAACAAAGTCTATAGAGCAATTGTTTCAGAACTCGTGGATTTTACTGACATAAATCCATCAAAGCCTATTCATTCTTAGTTTAGACATGACTAATAATCCAGTTATTTGGATTCTAGATAGAGAAACACATTAAAAGTAAAAGAGCAAACCCACTAAGAGCAGGAAGCTAACAGTGATGAAAGAGACAAATAATATTGAATATAGATATTTTTAAAAGCAGAGCAATATAGGGCTACTTAATACAGGTGCAAAGTGTACAAGATGCCATTATTCCTCCAGCACATCAGGGTTTACAGGAGAGGCCAGAAATTCTTGCCCCCTTTTAAAAATGAGTCAATCCTTGCATCTGTTGCTTGTGCAATCTGCTATCTAGGACTTCCAAGTTTAGGCATTAGACTCTACCTGCTTTGGAATCTTCCTTTTCCCTCTCCTCTAATTGTTCATGTCTCTTACATCCCAGTTAGAATTCACAGATTCACCCTTAATCCACACTATGGTCTAATGTCCTGGCTCTTCCTCATGGTTCCTACATTTATTTATTTATTTGTTTGTTTGTTTGTTTGTGACAGAGTCTCACTCTGTCGCCCCAGCTGGAGAGCAGTGGCACCATCTCAGCTCATTGCAACCTCTGCCTCCCAGGTTCCAGTGATTTTCCTGCCTCAGTCTCCTGAGTAGCTGGGATTAAGGCGCGCACCACCATGCCCAGCTAATTTTTGTATCTTTAGTAGAGACAGGGTTTCACCATGTTGGTCAGGCTGGTTTTGAATTCCTGACCTGGTGATCCGCCTGCCTTGGCCTCCCAAAGTGCTGGGATTATAGGCGTGAGCCACCACGCCCGGCTGGTTCCTACTTTTAATTCACAACCTACCTCATAAAATTTAGCTACCTAACCTAAAATTTAGCTAAATTTCTAACCTCTTGGAGCCTCACCTGAGGGCTTTCCTTGGCAGGCACTGCTTCTCACTCCCTGCCAGATGTCCAGCTAGGCTCTTTGCAACTACAGCTCCCTGGAATAACTCCGTATTATTCTGCCTTCTGACTGCCACTTTCATGTCCTACTCATGGAATACAGTAAACATACCATCTATTCCATCAAATCCCCACAATTGTCTGGAGCAGCACTCTGTAAATCAAACTAACTGATATTTCTGCAGCAAAAGATAGGCAGATTCATATTCACATACGATGGGATAATGACTGCAAATACCTTTGCATCAGTTCAGGTCATGTTTTGCTACCAAATGAATTAAGAAAAAAACTTTTCAGAGCCTTTTAGACTCCAGAATTAGAACTAAGGGATTTTGTACGTGTATATCTGCTTTGCTTTTTTTCTGATTTCCTCCCAAAATAGTTTTTTAAGAGTTTTGGTGATTCAATGGGTAACTTCAGTTTTCTGGTAATTTTATTTACATAAAAAAGGTGTTATTACTTGTTTCGAGTAAGGTATTATTTTGTGTACAGACACACAAATATGCATATATTCAACATGTAGAAACCTCCAAATGCAACAGAAAAGTATATAAATGCTATTGTATATTTACCCATTAAGAAGCATTACTTGGGCAATACAGGACAACTAAGTTACTGAAAAAATACATTACACACATAAAACAACAATTTAGTAAAATTAGCACCATACTATGGGTTTTTTTTTTTCCTTTTCTTTTTTTTTGAGACAGGATCTCAATCTGTCGCCCAGGCTGGAGTGCAGTGGCAGGATCTCAGCTCGCTGCAACCTCTACCTCATGGGTTCAAACGATTCTCCCACCTCAGCCTCCTGAATAGCTGGGACTCCAGGCGTGTACCACCATGCCTGGCTAATTTTTGTTTTTGTTTTTTGAGATGGAGTCTCGCTCTGTCGCCTAGGCTGCAGTGCAGTGGTACGATCTCGGCTCACTGCAACCTCCACCTCTCGAGTTTAAGCAATTATCTGCCTCAGCCTCCTGAGTAGCTGGGATTACAGGCACCGGCCACCACGCCCGGCTAATTTTTTTTTTGTATTTTTAGTAGAGACGGGGTTTCACCCTGTTGGCCAGGCTGATCTCAAACCCCTGACCTCAAGTGATCTGCCCGCCTTGGCCTCCCAAAGTGCCAGGATTGCAGGCATGAGCCACCGCATCTGGTCGATGGTTTTAAGATTGGCAAAAGTATATGTACAGCTTTAAATATTTAAAATTATCACCTTCTTCAAGATTTCCTTCATTTTTGTCACATAACCAGCTCCAATTTCTTAGGCAAATAATTAATATAGTGCTTTAATATGGCCATATTATGCTTCTTTTCTAGAAATAAATATTTTGTGTTGTTACCATTAAAAAAAAAAGAAAAAAAAGCCCAAGCATGATTCAGGATATATACTCCTGTTTCAATCTGTTAGGTATCTGTTTAAAGAGTGCTAACTTTCCATTTGGTTCTCACTGTAAATATGTCTGATTTCTTGTTCAGTTACACTTCCAATAATATTCTGTCTGACCTTATGACCAACTAGGAATCACTAGATTCCTGTTTAAAAAACTCTTTTGAGGCCAGATGTGGTGGCTCCCACCTGTAATTCCAGCACTCTGGGAGGCCGAGATGAGGGGATTCCTTGAGCCCAGGAGTTCGAGAACAGCCTGGGCGACATAGCAAAACCGCCTCTCTACAAAAAATACAAAATATTAGCTGGGCATGGTGGCATGTGCCTGTTGTCCCTGCTACTCAGAGGCTGAGGTAGAAGGATCGCTTGAGTACACTCCAATGACTCTGTCTCAAAAAATAAAATAAAATAAAAATAAACAAATAAATAAAACAAAAAAAACCCTGCTTTGAGTAAAGGTACCTTACTGCTGCTTATGATAAACCCTATGAATGGCATAGTAAAAAGAGAGAAGTTTACTAAACGAAAAAAATTTCCCATACCAGATCTAAATTAAAACTTAACACAGTTGCTAGAGAAAATATAAAAACTCTTCCTCTTCCCTAGACTTACAAAAGGCTAGAGTTGGCCGGGGCGGTGGCTCAAGCCTGTAATCTCAGCACTTTGGGAGGCCGAGGTACGCGGATCACGAGGTCAGAAGATGGGAGGCCATCCTGGCTAACACGGTGAAACCCTATCTCTACTAAAAAACAAAAACAAAAGCAAAAAACAAAACAAAAAAAATTAGCCGGGCGTGGTGGCTAGCACCTGTAATCCCAGCTACTCGGGAGGCTGAGGCAGGAGAATGGCGTGAACCCGGGAGGCGGAGCTTGCAGCAGCCCAGATCGCGCCACTGCACTCTAGCCTGGGTGACAGAACAAGACTCTGTCTCAAAAAAAGAAAAAAAAATTAGATGGGCGTGGTGGCACGCGCCTATAATCCCAGCTACTCCGGAGGCTGAGGCAGGAGAATCGCTTGAACCCAGGAGGCGCAGGTTGCAGTGAGCCTAGATGGCGCTACTGCACTCCAGCCTGGGGGACAGAGCGAGACTCCATCTCAAAAAAAAAAAAAAAGGAGAGAGTTGCCAAAATTATAAAACTTTACACTAGGTAAATGTAGCAGAAAAACCATGCCCTTCCTCTATCATTACACACTGCAGATCCAGAAGCATTTATGAGTCCTACAATTACCTGACATTATAATGAAAAACCAAGATTAATAAGTAAAAGTGAGGCTGGGCGCAGTGGCTCATGACTGTAATATCCCAGCACTTTGGGAGGCCGAGGCGGGCGGATCACCTGAGATCAGGAGTTGGAGACCAGCTTGGCCAACATGGTGAAATCCCGTCTCTACTAAAAATACAAAAATTAGCCTGGCGTGGTGGTGCATGCCTGTACTCCCAGCTACTCGGGAGGCTAAGGCAGGAGAATCACTTGCACCGGGGAGGTAGAGCTTGCAAGTGAGCCAAGATCGCGCCACTGCACTCCAGCCTGGGCTACAGAGCCAGACCCTGTCTCGATAAAAACAAAAACAAACAAACAAACAGAAGAATTAAAACTGAATTTAATCTATTTCCTCCTACAAAAGATTTAGTGATTAAGCACTTAAGAGCTCTAGTTCAGGGGTCCACTAATTTTTTTCTGTAAAGGACCAGACAATACTCTAGGCTTTGGGAGCCATACGGTCTCTATCACAACTACTCAAAAACAAAACATGCACAGCCATAACGAAGGAGCATTGTTGTGTTCAATAAAACTTTTATAAAACTGCCAGCAGAGCAGATTTGACCCACAGGCTGTAGATTGCTGAGCACTATTTTAATTCAAAAATTTAACACTAGAACTAGACAAGGGATCTAATTAAGTGACACAGGCAAGTCTTTACTAAGTTTTTTGGCCCCAGTTAATTGATTTCTCAAATGAGATTTAATAACAGTTTCTCAATGTCTCCTGAAAAAGCAGAAGTGTTATTTATATGAGGACTGTGGTCTCATTAAAGGATTGTTCAAACTCTTCAATTATACTATGGGATAATTAATGAACCACACAAGACTCAATAGAGCTTTTTAAAAAAATGCAGATGTCATTAAACGCTTAATTCAGAATAATTTTAGAATTTAAAAAATTCAGAATTTAACCCTTATGTTATTCATAGTTAAGAAAGACTATTATAAACTACCTCAACCTTTTTGAAACAAAGCAAGAAGAAAGGTAAGTGTATTGGTTAAAGACAAGTAAAAAAATAATTTTTTTCTGTAGATAATATATTCATTAGTTTAATGTAGTTAATTTTAATTAATAATTTAAGAATTAAAAAGGTACTTTGGAGTCATGTATTTTCTGTGACTAAAGTCAGATACAATAATGAATAATACTAAAAAAGTGACCTAATCTAACATCCATAAATAGTGGAGGGAACTTAAGCTAGAATTCAGGTCTCCTGACTTTCAGGTGAGGAGTCTTTTCTTATTCTCCTATTCTATAGTCATCTAGGTAAAACAACTGCATTCCAAGGCACAACAAATCCATACTACAGTATTCTCCAACTGTCACTATTCTTATATTATAAATCCTGCCTGCTTATCAGTGAAGAAAAAAAAAAAGTCAATGGCATTAAAATGTAACACAAATCTCGGCTTCGATACTTTATCTAAAATTACTTTCTCAAAGACATACTTTCTAAAATGTTTGGAAAATTAAACAAAATTCTCCTCTCCCCATCCAACTAATGCTCAATTCTAACCACACTTCTGCTTTCCCTACAGCTTAAGTAATTTCACTGGGAGTATTTTCTCTGGAAGTTCTTAAGTGTACTTGTGGGCCCCTTTTTTTCCTCCTTAAACTTCTAATATCTTTCAGGCTGTAAATTCCTTAAGGGCGCCTAGCCCCAAAAAAGTGCTGCATATTTGTTCAATAAATGAATGCACATAAAAACAATGGATAACTATGACCTTTAATGTAGGAGCTCAAGCCATTTTATTATTATCTGACTTGACAGTCAAGAAAATTATCCCAACTTGCCAGAGGTATCCATTACTGTGATAAATAAACACTATAAAACGCTTTATAAAGTTTCTAAAGACTTTATAATCACTTGAAATAACGCCGCGTTGGCCGAGAGTAGGGTGAAAGAAAATGTTTCCTCACACTAAGCAAATGCCACCAAAGGAAAAGCTTTCTTTCCTGGAGAGAACTGCAACAGTTAGAAAGCAAATATCCACACTCTCCACTGCTCCCTTCTGGGAACTCTCTTTGAGGGTTCCTGCAGAAAACGAACGGGCCTCTGAGGAAGCTCGCCCGAAGGCCGGGCCGGGGCCCGGCTCCTGGCTGACCACTGGCGCAGCGGACGCCGCAGGGCGGGTCCCGGGAGCGGCGAGTTGGCGAGGCGGGCTCCGACTTGCTGACCTTCCCCACACGCCCGGCAACCCCGGCTCCCGCTGGCGGGCAGAGTCCACGCCTACCTGTTGTGCACAGGTGAAGCCAGACTTTCCCGTAGTCCAGGAGGAAGAACGGACCACGCTGTTTATCAGCCGACCCTGTGCCCCAGTCAGCCCCTTCTCGGCGGACTCCAGCCCTTAGGGTCAAGACACCTAGCCCCTCGACCGGTTCTCCCACCGGCTTCTTTCGCGATCACATTGCTGCCGCGACCACCCTCGGGATCCCCGAGCGCTCAACTCATACAGCGGCCCTGGTGCGTTCTCCTTCCCAGCCAACAGGCAGCCCAGACACAGCCCCCTCGCGCCCGGAGGTGTCCCCGCTCCCTGGATCCCCGACTGCCTGCCTTTGGGGGTCCTCCTCAGCTGAGCGTGCGTCCCGGTCCAGCAACGTTACCGGCTGCTCTGCTAACCCTAGCAGAGTCTGGAATTGCCGGCGGCGGCGACAGCGAGGCATTGAGGTGGGCGGGGCGCGCGTGGGGCGTGGCCGGAAAGCTCTCAGCGGCGAGCACCGCGGGAGCTAGCGATTGGGAGCGCGCCCTGCGCCGGGCCGCTGGTCCAAGGCCCCGCCAGCTGGCCGCCGAGCCATCGAGCGCCCACTCTGGCAGGCGTGACTGCTTCACCGTCGAAAGAGCGATGGAGACTGCGGCCCAAGTTAGGATTAGGACAGCGGTTTTTCAGTCCGGAGATTCCGGCCACAACTATTTTTGTCTGTTTTTATCGTAAGCCAGAGTCTTTGGGTGCAGCTCTGGGACACCTAAAGGGCCTGGAGAAATTCAGGCGGGGCCAGTGCTGTGGGGGTAGATGTTAGACGTGGAAGGGACCCTAGAGAGCCTTGACTGTGAGGACTGAGGTAAAGTGACTTGCTCAAGGTCACATACTAAGTCAATGGCAGAACTGAGACTAATAGCCTCTTACCTTGAGTCATGTGCGTTTTCCCACTACACTCAGCGTTTTAAATGTCATTTTTCAAGTTTCATTTTGAATCTATCTCCAGCTTACAAAAAGGTTGCAAGTATAGTACAAAGAACTTTTTTTCCCTGAATTGAGATTTAAATTGCTGACACCATGCCACATTGTCCCTAAGCACCTTCTACATAATCACAATATAACCATCAAAATCAAAACATTTACATAACTCGGCGTTTTACCAATTGTCCCAATAATATTGTTTATGGTAAAAGATTCCGTTCAGAATCAGGCATTGTATTTACTTATCATGTATCTTTCCTACTCTTCAAACTGGAACTCTCAGTCTTGCCTTGCCTTTCATATTCTTGACGCTGTTAAAGATTCCTGGCCAGTTATTTTTGTAGAATGGCCTTCATTTTGGGTCTGTCTGATATTTACTCATGATTACATTTAGCTAGGTATGACAGGACTCTAGAAGTGTTGCTGCTTTCTTCTCATGGCACCCTATCAGGTGGCACGATTTTAACTTCTCTCATTACAGATGTTTACTTTAATAAGGTGATGTCTGTTAGGCTTGTCCAGTGTGGTTACTTTTTTCCCCCCTTTGTAAATTAATAAGTATTTTGTGAGGGAGACTCTGAAACTCTCCTTTCAAGATATTTGTAAATATCTTGTTTCTCATCAAATCTTCAGTTAATGTATTTATATTAATTAGTATGGATCCAGAGGTTTCTATTTTGTTAAATGACTTATAATCCGTTTCTTTCTCTCTTTTCTCTCTCTCTTTTTTTTTTTTTTTTTCTTGAGACAGGGCCTCCTTTGTTGCCCAGGCCGGAGTGCAGTGGCTATTCACAGGTCGATAATGCAATCATGGTGCACACTACAGCCTTGAACTTCTGGGCTCATGTGATCCTTCTGCCTCAGCCTCCCAGGTAAGTAGCTGAGACTGCAGGCATGCACACCACCACACCAGCCAATATTCTGTCTCTATCATTATTTATTTTGATGCTCAATTATCCCAAGTTTGGTGGGTAGGGGCCCCATTCATTCTATCTTCTGTGATATGTGTGTGTGTGTGTGTGTGTGTGTGTGTGTGTGTGTTCAATTTTTTTTTAAGACAAGAAGACAAGGTCTCATATTCATTCTAGCTTCTGTGTTGTGTGTGTGTGTGTGTGTGTGTAATTTTTTTTTTTTTGAGACAAGAAGACAAGGTCTCACTCTGTCACCCAGGCTGGAGTGCAGTAGTCTGATCACAGCTCACTGCAGGCTCAACCTCCTAGGCTCAGGTGATTCTCCCACCTCAGCCACTCAAGTAGCAGGGACAATGGGTGTGCCACTGTGCCTGGCTAATTTTGTTTGTTTGTTTTTGTTTTTGTAGAGACAGGGTTTCACCATTTTGCCCAGGCTGGTCTCGAACTCCTGGGCCCAAGCGATCCACCCGCCTCAGCCTCCCAAAGTGCTGGGATTACAGGTGTGACCCACTGTACCCAGCCTTAAATTCTCTCTCTCTTTTTTTTTTTTTTTTTTGAGACGGAGTCTCGCTCTGTCACCCAGGCTGGAGTGCAGTGGTGTGATCTTGGCTCACTGCAGCCTCCGCCTCCCGGGTTCAAGCAATTCACTGGCCTCAGCTCCTGAGTAGCTGGGATTACAGGCGTGTGCCACCATACCTGGCAAATTTTTGTATTTTTAGTAGAGACGGGGTTTCACTGTGTTGCTCAGGCTGGTCTCAAACTCCTGACCTCATGATCAGCCCGCCTCGGCCTCCCAAAGTGCTGAGATTACAGGCATGAGCCACCGCGCCTGGCCCCAGCCTTAGATTCTGTAAACATTTTATTGTAAAATATTTTTTAATACAGAATAATTAAAAGAGCTTTAAATACCATATACACATAATCCAGATTCAACATTAACAGGTTACCATTCTGAGGCCTTTTGACACATCCCCATCATTCTTTCAGCACTCCCCTAGTTACTAGGGCAATTAGATGTTTCATACTCATCCTGCTCCAGCCTTGGATGTAATCATTTATTCAGGAGCCCTGATTCCTTATAGCGGAGAATGGTATTTAGCACTAGGTATGCTCACTGCTATTGAGATATCCATAGCCCAGGCTGTCTGAGTGGATGCAGTTAGGGAATATTTATACATTCATACACATATACAGCACATCTTTATATGTATCCTTACACACACATTTACAGTTATATTTCTTTGTCTAACAATATATATTGAAAAATCATGTGTTCACAGTAAAACCTCCAATCCAGCATCATACAGTTCATTCTAGTTTTTGCCCTTCCACATTTATAACTACTTTCTCCTACAGAGAGAAGCCTGGCTCCCATTATCCTTGAGATATTTACTTATTTGAACAACCCTGCTATGTGTGAGCAATCATCCATAGTTGCCATCTATTCCTTTGGAGGATACTGCCCTTACCCCACTAAGGTTCTGAAAGCCCCAAATTAGCCATCTCAAGCCCCTCTCTCATCTTTCTTTCCTTACCATCACTCCCACACCCTGTGATCATGCCTAGCCCATAAACCCTGCCGACAATGCTCAGACCCAAACATCCCTTGCCAAGCATCCCCCTTACCTCACTTTATATAGATTAGACATACACTATATATAATCATATATATTAGTTATATATTCTTTACAGCACCCTATATACACATACATACATTCAATATATAGATTAGTTATATATCTCATATATTCATTATATATTAATTTTTATAAAACCCTATATATACACACACTATATATGTTATATATCATATATATTTGTTATATATATTACTTACAGTACCTAAAACATGAATCACATATATAGTGTGTATATCATGTATATATGTATATATATAGTGTGTATATATACAGTGTGTATATGTATATGTAAAGAATAATATGCAAGACATATATTGTGTACATGTATACAGGATATTGTAAAGTACCCTAAAAAAGGAACAAAACTATTATAGGATCCTGAAGGAGAGAGCAATTACTATGAAGTACAGCTGGGAGGCTCATGAAGGGTTTAAAGAGATGACATTTAAAATGGGCTTTGAAGGACACATAAGGATGGATGAGTAGAATATATGCTATTAGATATTGAAAAAACTCTGGACCTTTTAGCAGGCTCAAAGCAGAGAAAGAAATTCATTTTGCCTGAGTACACGGTATGAGAATAACAACATTAGAATTTCAGAATTGGAAGGGATATTATGTATCGAGTCCAACTAATAGTTTTACAACAGATTCAAAGATGGCTCCAGACTTTAAGCTAAGTGACTAAGAGAATGAAATTAGAAGGTGGAGTTTGGAGGGGAAGATAATGAGTTTAATTTTAAACATTTCACATTTGAGGTGACAGTAAGGCATCCAAGGGGAAATGAGGGACTACAGCTTAGAAGAGGGGTCAGAGCTAGAGAAGAGGAGTCAGAGCTAGAGATGTAGAATCCGAATTTTTCCACCTGGTGCTAACAACTGACAGCACTCTGAAACAAACACCAATGTTATCATCTTAACCAAATGGAAATGTGTCCCACTGTTCAACTACCATTATAGTTTGATTATACTTTGTTTAATTTTAAATGGAGATTTTGAGTCACAATAAAGAAGCTGTATTATAGGTAGCAGAAAGAACATAGCTTTGGAATTGGTGACTTGCGTTCAAATTCTAATTACACCACTTAGTAGGCATGACCTAGGGAAAATCACTTCATATCTCAGAAGCTCAATTTCCTCACTTGTAAAGTGAGAATACTATCTCCTTCCCTGAGGTGTTCTAAGGATTTGAGATATAATATATAACTAGCATGTTATATATTACTTACAGAAGGTGCTCATCAGATATTTGATGAAGGAATGGAGAATTTGATATACTTCCTACTTATTTTATACTCACCACTATAAAGCATTATACTGCATTTTCTAGGCTTTGTATAACAGAAAAATTTTCCCACCAATAAATGAAACATTTTTAGAAGTATAACAGTTGGTATTTAATGGTATATGTAAAAATATTGAAGTAAGCCAGTGGTTACCCATTTAACTTGCTATGTGATATCCTGCTATAATTTATTGTTCAAATATAACTAATTCAATGATTTTTGGTTCCAACTAGCATACATTTGGGAAACTGAAAATGATAGATTACCTTTAAGATTACTTCTATTTCTGAAATTGTAAAATTCAATGATGGTAGAACAATATTACTCCAACAATGGAATTCTAGTGTACCCATGGAACTCTAGGGTCCTCCTCTTGATGGTACCCCTCAAGAGGTTAATAGGAGTTCCTTTAAAAAGGCATTCTTGGCCAGGCGCAGTGGCTCACGCCTGTAATGCCAGCACTTTGGGAGGCTGAGGTGGGCGGATCACGAGGTCAGGAGATGGAGATCATCCTGGCTAACACGGTGAAACCCCGCCTGTACTAAAAATACAAAAAAAATTAGCTGGGTGTGGTGGTGGGAGGCTGAGGCAGGAGAATGGTGTGAACCCAGGAGGCGGAGCTTGTAGTGAGCAGAGATCATGCCACTGCACTCCAGCCTGGGCGACAGAGCGAGATTCCATATCAAAAAAAAAAAAAAAAACATTCTTAAATAAGTCTGAGAAGCACTACATATTAATATATTATAGCCATTTCTTAGAGAGTCGTTATGTATATTAGTGGGCTGCATTTGATGCAATGTTTCACAAACTTATTTGGAATATAATATCCTTTTTTTTTAAAAAAGGAATGCATATTAATAAGTTTTAGAATGAATGTTTCTGGGATCAGACTTTGGAAAATGCAGCTTTGGAAGTTTGTTATTAGTGATCTACTCCAGTCATGCCAGGTTGCTCAATGTTGATGGAACCACTGAGGAGACTAGGCTTCACATGTGGCAAACTCATGTCACAAAATTCATGGGTAGGCACAGCTTCCACTCTGTTGATTTCAATGTGATCTGAAGCCTGAGATGACACCAATACCCTACTCTAACAAAAGATCTGCTGGCCCTTTGTGATACAGCTTTCCACTTTGTAGTCTATGAAGCATTATTTGTCAATATACTGCTGAGCTTGCTGTAATCTGTGACAGCTTTTAGCACTAAATTTCTAATGAGAACTTTTGGCAATGGATAGGATTTCCCCCAGTAGCAAACTACCACTATAAATATTCAGTTCAAGAAGTGCTTAAAAACAGAGTAGCAGATCTTGACCTATCATGGCAAGTAAGAGCAAGCCATTTAACCTAGAAAGAAACTGTTAAACTCAGAGCTGGTGCTTCTAAGCAGGAATACTGAACAAAGGTAGATCTGCAACTATGTATTTGGTAACGCTTGACACTAGAAATGACTGCAATTGTGTTCATACCTAACAAGGACTCCTAAGGCCCCTCCCAAATCCTCATTCTCTGATCAGATGAAGAAATACAGTGCTTTATATGTGTGTATAAGCTTTATGGTTTTGTTCCAAACTTGCTGTAATATTTTATAAGAAAGCCACTTAACCTCTTTGAACGGTGCTTTTCTCCTATGGAAAATGAACATGTTATATTAGGGGGTCTCTTAGGGGTTATCCTCTGATTTTATCTTTTTGTTGTTGTTGTTTGTCTTATTTATCCTCTGATTTTATGAAAATCATTCTTCTGGTTTTCATAAAAAAGGGAAAGAGACTTCAGGAAGTCAGTGTTAAGATGCTGTAACCTGGAGTGGGAGAGAAGACCCTGGAGATTGCCTCTGGCTACTGCTTTAATATAGTTTTCACCTTGAAAGGCAGGAAGGATGTGACCCTGAAGGGGTGAGCACCAGGACAGGAAGGTTCCAGTGGAGAGGGGGAGGATCAGGCAGCAACACACCTGCAGTGGCCAGGGACAGCAGGTTCTGCATAATGGAATCTGTAGCAGACTTTAAGAAGTGGGAAGGTGGTGTTTGTGGGGAATCAATAAAAGTCGGGCTAAACGGAATTAAAACAAAGTCCTTGGTCTGCTCATCCATGTTTGCCTGCCAGAAAGTCCCTGATGGGAACCACAGGAAACACTATCATAAGCCAAATTAATCACAAAGTTAATCTATCAAGGTGAAGAAGCAAAAGTTAATGACCTTCCAGCTGAGTTCTAAAAATGAGCCAAAACTCAGAGAATGGGATAGCTCAAGCCAGAGCTAGGACTGAGGAGGAGGGCCATGTTAATTAACTATTATACAAACCCTCAACTTCTGCCACAAGCTCTTTAGGAAAGTCAACTGTTTTACATGCTGACAGGTAACTGAAGAAAGTAAGTTAGTGCTTTTATTCATGGATGCTTCATCCTTTAGGAGTAGCATATAAGGACCCCCACAGAAATCCTATTCACCAGTTGGATATATATTTGATATGAAAACTAATGAAGGATGATCATCCACTTCAAAGTTAAATGTTAGAATAGTAATCACACAAGACAACATTAAGACCCAAATAATTTGTAATAAGATTCATAATTTAAGATTATTTGTCGGCCGGGCGTGGTGGCTCATGCCTGTAATCCCAACACTTTGGGAGGCCGAGGTGGGTGGATCACGAGCTCAGGAGTTCAAGACCAGCCTGGCCAACATGGTGAAACCCCGTCTCTACTAAAAATACAAAAATTAGCAGGGCATGGTGGTGTGCACTTATAGTCCCAGCTACTCGGGAGGCTGAGGCAGGAGAATTGCTTGAAGCTGGGAGGCAGAGGTTGCAGTGAGCCGAGATCACGCCACTGCACTCCAGCCTGGGTGACAGAACGAGACTCGGTCTCAAAAAAAAAAAAAAAAAAAGATTATTTGTCTAATTCAAGAAATTGAACTTATCCAGCAAGCTGGCTCTACATAGTTGATAAATAATATTCTTGTGGAATTATTTTATATATAAGGAAAAACTATATACCTATTATAAAAATACCTATAGAAATTATCAGTTACTATGTTTATGTATATAGATCTATTATTATCTTCTTTGGGACATATGATTCTTGAAGAAAATTCTAATAAAAATTAGTCATATATCAAACTTCTTGTTTAGCTACAAACTTAAAGGCAAAAACCCTATCTAGATGCAAACATTCAACTGACCAGTATGAACAATAGCTAGAAATTGAATTACCCATGTAATATGGTTAAGGTAATCAGTGGAGCCAGAGTCGTAGATCTGGAAGAAAAAGAAAAATGTTAATAATATGGAATAGAATTATATACTCTTGAATTCAATTTGCCAGCCTACAAGCATTCACAGACCAGAGCACAAATCCACTTATAAACCATACTTGCTTATCTTAATAATATTTTATTGACTTACACATTTTCTCCTGTTGTTTGCTTCCTTTCCCTTATATTGTCTGAGACCAAAATCAAGAAAGACATTTTCTTAAATATATGATAAAATATTAAGTTTTTAAAAAGCAAAATATTAAATTCCTTTATTCTAATTGAACTATATTAAAATATGTGTATGGTTATGAACAACAATTATAAGAGATTAAATAAAAAGGAAATAATTGTATTTGAATCATGAGATTAGGAGCTCTTTTATCTTTTCAATATTTGTAGTTGTTTTACTGCCTTTTTTACAAAAAGAAAAAGGGCAAAGCATTTTTTAAAGTTTTCTCTTTGTAATATGCTGATGCAATTTTTCCTACTTTGGAAAGGTACTTGACACAGAGTAAGTGCTCAATGTAAACTTGTTGAGTAAGTATACAAAATGGCAACTAAAATTGCTGGCAGATTTCCTTTAGGGAGAAGCTAAATGATGGTACTCGCCATGCTGAGGTAAGGATAAAATAAGTCAGGATTTACTCATCCACCTAGCCAGGGGCCTCCAATTGCCTATCCTTGCTTCCTTGAGCTGGAATTAGAGATTTATTAGGAGGGTATCCATATAATTTAGTGTCCATGGGGACAGTTCTTAGAGCAAGAAGAGAGCTATTAAACACACTGCTTGGTTCTTAGATATAACACCTAAAACACAAGCAACTAAAGAAAAAAGTTGATAAATCGGACTTCATCAAAATTCAAAACCTTTGTAATTCAAAGGACATTATCAAAAAAAATTAAAAGATAACTCATAAAACAGAACAAAATATTTTCAAATCATTTATTAGATGAGTCTAGTACCCAGAATATAGGGCAGAACTTTTTGGTTTTTTTTTTGTTTGTTTTTGAGACAGAGTGTTGCTCTGTCTAGAGTGCAGTGGCAGGATGTTGGCCCACTACAGCCTCTGCCTCTTGGGTTCAAACGATTCTCCTGCCTCAGCCTCCCGAGTAGCTGGGATTTCAGGCGCCCACCATCACACCCAGCTAATTTTTGTATTTTTAGTAGAGACGGGGTTTCACCATGTTGGCCAGGCTGGTCTAAAACTCCTGACCTCAAGTGATCCACCCTCCTCGGCCTCCCAAAGTGCTGGGATTACAGGCGTGAGCCACCAACCAGCCTGAAAAAACTCTTATTTATTTATTTATTTTTTATTTTTTAAGAGATAGGGTCTCATTCTGTCACCCAGGCTGTAGTGTAGTGGTACAATCATAACTCACTACAGCTTCAAACTCCTGGGCTCAAAGGATTCTCCCACTTGAGCCTTCTGAATAGCTAGGACTACAGGTACATGCCACTACACCTGGCTAAGTTTTTTTATTTTTATTTTTGTAGAGATGGGGTCTATGTTGCTCAGGCTGGTCTCGAACTCCTGGCTTAAGTGATTCTTCTGCCTTGGCCACCCAAAGTGTTGGGACTATAGGCGTGAGCCACCACGTCCAGCCCCAAAGAACTCTTATAATCAACAATAAACCCAATTTAAAAATGGGCAGAAGATATGAATGAACATCTCTCCAAGGAATATATACCAAATGGCCAATAAGCAC